>NC_000023.11:1426351-1726351 GCF_000001405.40 Homo sapiens | reverse complement strand
CTGGGTCTCAGACCTTCAAACTCACAAGCCGTCCCTTGCAGGGAAAAAAAAAAAAAAATCCACATTCTACAGAGAATCCCCTTTCCCCTGCCTTTTTTTCTCCTTCCTTTCCAGGACCAGCAGATAATCAACTAAGAGCCAGGCACCCTTTTAGGTCCGATAAGAAACATTTTACAGCCAGGCACAGTGTTTCATACCTGTAATCCCAGCACTTTAGGAGGCTGAGGTGGGTGGATCACTTGAGGTCAGGAGTTCGACACCAGCCAACATGGTGAAATCCCGTCACTGTTAAAAAATAAATATATATAAATTAGCCAGCCATGGTGATGGGTGTCTGTAGTCCTAGCAACTCAAGCGGCTGGGGCAGAAGAATCGCTTGAACCCGGAAGGCAGAGGTTGCAAAGAGCCAACATCTCGCCACTGCACTCCAGCCTGGGAATCATAGTGAGACTCTGTCTTAAATAAACAAACAAAGACACACACACAAATGTAGTATCTGATAGTTTCGGAGATCAAAAGTGCAGTGGACTGAAACTGAGGTGTCAGCAGGGCTATGCTGCCCTCAAAACTCGAGGGGAAAATCTTGCCGATTCCATTTCTAGAAGCCACCTGTATCCAGTGGCCCCTTCCTCCATCAGCAAAGCCAGCCACGAGTGCTCTTTCTCACTCTGCAGTCCCTCTCGTTCTGTCTCCCCTGCCTCCCTTTTCCACTGATAATGATGTCTGTGATGACATTAGGCTCTCCCCAGAGAATCAGGATAATCTATTTTAAGATTGCCTAATTAGAAACCTTAATTCCATCTGCCACCTTCATTCGTCTTTGCCACGTCACGTCCTTGCAGATTCCAGGGATGAAGATGCAGACTGTTTTGAGAGGGTATGGGGGAGCACTATTCTGCACCTCACAATCAGTAACTTTATTGTCTTCTAATTTATGGAAAGGCAAATAAGAATGTATTGATCTCTGCAATATATTCAAACCCTCTTCCATTTAAAAGTCCCCAAAAAAATCACCTCTGGTAAAAAATAAATTAACTTCAGAAATATATCTTCTTTCATTAAGTGCTCTGGAGCAATAGAGTTCTAATATTCTGACTTAGAGATACTTTCTTCAGTGAGCCAGTCATATAGCAGCCAGATTTCAGCTACTGGTTACTTTGAAAATCATTAATTAATTGTAACTTTTATCTACCAGAGAGAGAAAGAGAGGCAGGCAGGCAGGGTAAGTGGATGGATTAATGGATGGATGTATGGATAGACAGATATGCACATACATACATACATACATAGATACATAGACAGGCAGGTAGGGTGGGTGGGTAGATGAATGGATAGACTGATGAGCTTGAATAGAGATGGAGAGAGAGAGTGAGTGGATGGATGGATGGATGGACAGACAGACGTATGGATGGTTGATTGGATGGGTGGGCAGATGGATAGATTAGATAGCTAGATAACTAGATAGATACATACATACATACACATACATCAGTAGATAGATAGCAGGGTGAGTAGATGGATAAATGGATGGTTGGATGGATGGATGGATAAATAGATAGATAGTCAAGGTAGGTAGATGGATGAGATTGCATAGACAAGGTGGGTAGATGAATAAATGGATGGATGGATGGATACATGAATGGATGGATGGTTGAATGGATAGATCGATGGATGGATGGAAGGATGGATGAATAGATGGATGGGATAGATAGATGATTATGACAGATATATATATAGATAGATACCTCATCTACCATATACAGTCATTACAGACATGTCATGGGTCACTTGGATAGATTCTACGAAATGCATGATGACATGATTTCATTCTTGTATGTGCATCAGAGAGTGCACTTACACAAACCTAGATAGTACAGCCTACTCTACACCTAGGCTACACAATATGGCCTATTGCTCCTAGGTTGCAAACCTGGGCAGCATGTGACTGTATTGAATACTGTAGGCAATTGTAACACAACAATAAGTAATTATGTATCTAAACATACCTAGACATAGAACAGGGTACAGGAAAACTACCATATTGTAATGTTATGGGACTACCATTGTATATGTTGTCCATCATGGACTGAAATGTTATTATGTGGTGCATGACTACATATGTGTGCAGATGGATGGAGGGACGGATGGATTGGTGGATGGATGAGAACATAGATACATAGAAATATAGATAGACACGTCATCTATCATTTATCTATAGCTGTCTATGTATGTATGTATGCATGTATGTATCATCATCTATGTATCCATCTATCATCTATTGATCTATGTATGTATCTATCATCCATCTATAAGTCCATCTATGTATCTATCTATTCATCCGTCTATTATCTACCTATCATCTACCCACCAATATCTGTCATCTATCTATCATCTATGTATCCATCTATCATCTATCTATTCATCTATGTATGTATCTATCATCCTATAAGTCCATCTATCTATGTATGTATCTATCTATTCATCCATCTATTATCTACCTATCATCTACTCACCCATATCTACCTACCTATCATCATCTATGTATCCATCTATCATCTATCTATTCATCCATGTATCTATCATCCATCTATAAGTCCATCTATGTATGTATGTATCTATCTATTCATCCATCTATTAGCTACCTATCATCTATCCACCCATATCTATTTATCTATATATCTATCTACCTATCATCTATCCACCCATCTATCATCTATTCACCTGTGTATGTATCTATTATCCATCTATAAGTCCATCTATGTATGTATCTAGTCATCCATCTATTATCTACCTATCATCTACCTACCCATATCTATCTACCTACCTATCATCATCTGTCTATCTATCATCTATCTATTCATCTATGTATGTATCTATCATCCATCTATACGTCCATCTATGTATGTACCTATCTATTCATCTATCTATTATCTACCTATCATCTGCCCACCCATACCTATTATCTATCTATCTATCTACCATCTGTCTATACACACACACATAGACATACATGGAGAGAGAGAGATGGACAGAGAGACACCATCTAACAAACCTACCACATACTCCATCCACTATATGGGTTTGTATATGTGTGCATATATACATAAATAAAATAGATGAAGGTTATTATTAATTAATGATTGCCCAAGTCAACCAGTAGCTAACATCTGGCTGCCACATAACCAATTTACTGAAGAAACTATCTCTACAAATGTTAGAACTCTATAGCCCCATTGCAGAGAAGTCAATGAAAGACTCGCAGTCCCTGGAAACCAGGGATCTTTTGACTGTCCCCATCATTCTGCATTTTCCAGAATGTCATGGAGTTGGAATGCTACAGTAGGTAGCCTTTTCAGATTGACTTATTTCCCTGAGTAATATGCACTCACAGTTCCTGCGTGCTTATTCATGGCTTGATAGCTCATTTCACTTTAGCACTGAAAATCATTCCATTGTCTGGAGGCAGGTTTTACTTATTTATTTATTATTTGTTTTTATTATTATTATTTTTTGAGACACAGTCTTGCTCTCTCCCCAGGCTGGAGTGCAGTGGCGCCATCTCAGCTCACCGCAACCTCCACCTCCCAGATTCAAGCGATTCTCCTGCCTCAGCCTCCCCAGTAGCTCAGATTACAGGCGCATGCCACCACGCCTGGCTAGTTTTTGTATTTTTAGTGCAGACGGGGTTTAACCATGTTAACCAGGCTGGTTTCGATCTCTTGACCTCATGATCCGCTCACCTCGGCCTCCCAAAGTGCTGGGATTACAGGCGTGAGCCACCGTGCCCGGCCTATTTATTTATTTTAAGGACACATTTGCAGGTTTCATTGCAATGAATGGTGAGAGTCAAATTTTTTAAATCTAAGCATTTTGAAAAGAGAACAACCATTTGACCCAGCCATCCCATGACTGGGTCTATAACCAGAGGAATATAAATCATTCTATTATAAAGACACGTGCAAGGCCGGGCATGGTTTTGGAAGGCTGAGCCAGGCAGGTCACGAGGTCAGGAGATCAAGGCCATCTGGACAACATGGTAAAACCCCATTTCTACTAAAAATACAAAAATTAGCCAGGCGTGGTCATGGGCGCCTGTAATCCCAGCTACTCAGGAGGCAGAAGCAAAAGAATCGCTTGAACCCGGGAGGCAGAGGTTGCAGTGAGCTGAGATCACACCACAAGACTCTGTCTAAAAAACAAAAAAAAGACACGTGCATGCATAGGTTCACTGCAGCACTACTCACAATAGCAAAGACATGGAATACACCTAAATGCCCATCAATGATAGACTGCACAAAGCAAATGTGGCACATATACACCATGGAATACTATACAGCCATAAAAAAGGATGAGATCATGTCCTTTGCAGGAACACAGATGAAGCTGGAAACCATCATTCTCAGCAAACTATCGCAAGGACAAAAAACCAAACACCGCATGTTCTCACTCATAGGTGGGAGTTGAACAATGAGAACACATGGACACAGGAAGGGGAATATCACACACCAGGGCCTGTCGTGGGGTGGAAGGAGGGGGGAGGGATAGCATTAGGAGAAATACCTAATGTAAATGACCAGTTAATGGGTGCAGCACACCAACATGGCACATGTATACATATGTAACAAACCTGCACATTGTGCACAGGTACCCTAGAACTTAACGTATAATCATAAAAAAATAAAAAAAATTAAAAAAAGAAAATGTAGCACATAGACACCATGGAATACTATGCAGCCATAAAAAAGGATGAGTTCATGTCCTTTGCAGGAACATGGTTGGAGCTGGAGGCCATTATCCTAAGCAAACTAATGTAAGAGCAGAAAACCAAATACTACATGTTCTCACTTATAAGTGGGAGGTAAATGATGAGAACTTCTTCACACGAAGAATGAAAGTAGGGTCCACTTGAAGGTAGAGGGTGGGAGAAGGGAGATGAGCAGAAAAGATAACTATTGGGTACTGGTGGCTAATACCTGGGTAAAGAAATAATCTATACAACAAACCCCCATGATAAACTTTCACATGGTCCCTTGTACCTCAAATAAAAATTTAAAAAAAGAAAAACTTTTAAATAAAGGTAAATTTTGACTTTCAAAAAACAAAGTAAATAAAAATAAGCATGGGTTCTCTGACATATAAGCTTCAGTTGAACCACAAAATCATTATAATGAATGCATTGCTGATATTTTACTTCAGAATCCTCATGCTTTTTGCAGGCTAAAGCAATGTAAGACTTCACTTTGCAATAGGCACAATTTGCGGTTGATGACACTTTATTGCTTCTCAGTGGTTTAGAAACATAAATCACTTAGGGGAAAAAAGAATGGCTGCAGTATGATTAAAAAAAGAGAGAGAGAGTATGAAATGTTTAACGACCTCAGCAGCTTTGACAATCCTTGTACATTCTCACACAAAGCTGACAGTGTCAGTTCCAGATGCAGGCCTTTAGACTCAGACTAGAAATCACACTCTCAGCTCTCCTGGGTCTCGGGTCTTCAGATTCACACTGGAACTCACACCCTCAGCTCTCCTGGGTCTCAGGCCTTCAGACTCAGACTGGAACTCACACCCTCGGCTCTCCTGGGTCTCAGGCTTTCAGTCTGGATCTTATACTACATTCACACAGGCATAGACACACACATAGACACACACAACTAAAGAGAGAAATATAGCAGCGGCTCAAATGCGGCGTGCAATGGAGACGGCTATGTTTTTCTTTCCCGATTGATGACTGTTTTCTCAGGCATCTTCCTGGACAGATGGGCATCTTTTTCTCTTAGGAGGAAAGAGCATTTTGCCAGCATTATTCCAGAGAATGTCTGCCACATCCCAGCCACCCACATGGCATCCATTACTGTACACTCTTTGCAAAGGAAGACCCTAAAGAGTAAACCATATAATTGACCAACCTGCATTAAATGCATAGTTGCCCCTAACCCAAGCTCAATTGCGTAGACACCCCAGCCAAGGAAAGACAGCTACCGGCTGGGTGCAGGGGCTCACACCTGTCATCCCAGCACTTTGGGAGGCCAAGGCGGGTGGATCACCTGAGGTCAGGGGTTCGAGACCAGCCTGACCAACATGGTGAAACTGCATCTCTACTAAAAATACAAAAAAAAAAAAAATTAGCCGGCTGTGGTGGCGGACACCTGTAATCACAGCTACTCGGGAGGCTGAGGCAGAATTATCACTTGAACCTAGGAGGCAGAGGTTGCAGTGAGCTGAGATTGCACCACTGCAGTCCAGTCTGGGCGACAGAGCAAGACAAGAGGAAGGACGAAAGGAAGGAAGGAGGGAGGGAGGGAGGGAGGGAAGGAAGAAGGGAGGGAAGGAGGGAGGGAGGGAAAGAAGGGAGGGAGGGAAGGGAAAGAAGGAAGGAAGGAAGCAAAGAAGGAAAGAAGGAAGGAAGGAAGAGAGAGGGAGGGAGGGAGGGAGGGAAAGAAGGAAGGGAAAGAAGGAAAGAAGGAAGGAAGGGAAAGAAGGAAGGAAGGAAGAGAGGGAGGGAGGGAAAGAAGGACTCCACAAGGGAATGAACACTTGCAATGCGTGATTCCAGGTAAACAGGAATGAAAGCAACTCTAGACTCTCCTGACTTCTGGGACCAGGATGCCCCACCAAGGAGGCTGCTTTTGAGGTCCGGTGATGTCGTGCTGCAGAGGGGATGCCTGTGACATTTTTCAGCAATGCAACCTAACAGCCCACTTGCTTGTTTTTTGTCATTCAGAGGCTATTGAGGCAAGAATGGCATCAGGATGGCCAAGCCCCACCTCCTCCTGGACCCCTCCTGGTACCCTGCGTGGCCCTGAAAAGGACCATTCTCTGATGGTAGATCAAAGTCCAGGCAGGCAAAGGGGAGGAAGAGATACTGGTGTTTTTTAAAATTCCCCCGCCCAACTTAGGAGTCACCCAGCTGGAATGCAGTCTCCTGATAGCTTCTGAGATACCTCCTCTTCCTCCACTCTCATCTCTGAAACCCAAGGCCACCAGCATGAAGGAGGAAATAATTAGGGAATGGACTTGATTCATCTTTCAATAAGAATGATTTCATTATTCTTTCTACCTTGGCCCAGAAATAAACACAAATTCACACAATCACATGCAAATGTACCAGGCTTGATAAACTCAGAAGTGTGACGACATTGAAAATACAGCTGAGAACAATAATCTCAATATGGACAAATGGATTTTAAAAGCACTGAAAAAGCTCTCTGATTGAGCTGAAAGATCAGGCCTTCAGACTCAGACTGGAACTCACACCCTCAGCTCTCCTGGGTCTCAGGCCTTCAGACTCACACTAGAACTCACACCCTCAGCTCTCCTGGGTCTCAAGTCTTCAGACTCAGACTGGAGCTGACACCCTCAGCTCTCCTGGGTCTCAGGCCTTCAGACTCAGACTGGAACTCACACCCTCGGCTAAGGAAAATGCCTGCTCTTGAGTTATATGTTCCTTAGCCTTAACCACAACCTAGACAAGATGTTCAGCTTATGGCCATGAACAGAAAATCCCACATTAAAAGGAAAACCATGCAGTAACTATTCAACCTGCTCATGGCCACATCAGTAAGAATACAAGATATATATATATATACATATATATATATATTTTTTTTTTGAGACAGCCTTGCTGTGTTGCCCAGGCTGGAGTACAGTGGCACAATCTTGGCTCACTGCAAGCTCCGCCTTCCAGGTTCAAGCCATTCTTTTGCCTCATCCTCCTGAGTAGCTGGGACTACAGGCATCCGCAACCACACCTAGCTAATTTTGTGTATTTTTAGTAGAGACAGGGTTTCACCGTGTTAGCCAGGATGGTGTCGATCTCCTGACCTTTTGATCCACCCGCCTCAGCCTCCCAAAGTGCTGGGATTACAGGTGTGAGCCACCGCACCCGGCTAAGATATATTTTAAGGACTAATAATGACCATTTATTTGTATAGTTTGACCTCCTGTGTATCAATCAATCAATCAATCAATCAATGTAGAAAAGGTCTCAGAATTGATGAATGCTAGAGGCTCAAAATATACACCATTGACATTCATCATGATCTTTCCAAGTTCTGCTTATGTTGAAAATTATTTAAGGAGAAATTCAGAAACAATATGCACAATTGATTTAACAACTAGACAGAGAACAGTTAAAGAAAAATCATCTTTTGGCTGGGTGCGGTGGCTCACGCCCATAATCCCAGCAGTTTGGGAGGCCGAGGCTGGCAGATCATGAGGTCAGGAGATTGAGACCATCCTGGCTAACACGGTGAAACCCCGTCTCTACTAAAAATACAAAAAATTAGCCAGGCGTGATGGCGGGCGCCTGTAGTCCCAGCTACTCGGGAGGCTGAGGCAGGAGAATGGCGTGAACCCGGGAGGCGGAGGTTGCAGTGAGCCCAGATCATGCCACTGCACTCCAGCCTGGTGACAGAGCGATATTCCATCTCAAAAAAAAAAAAAAGAAAAAGAAAAATCATCTTTTAAATAAACATTTATTTCTCATCAACCTTTGAATGCTTCTCTGAATATGAAACACATTAGGGGCTTGATTTATTCTCTTTCTCCCTGGGTCAAGGATTTGACATTTCTGGGCTGTTTACAACAGAAAATTTACAACTTTCACTTAAAGAGCCAAGAGGCCAAAGTGCAGACACAAACATCGGTCAGACTCATAAGGATCATGGTGAGCACTGATTTTATTCTGAACCAAATGTGTTCAGAATTCTGACACGGCCGCTACCTTACCTCTAGCACTGAACCAGGACTGAGAAGAGAAAGTTGTCACAAGGTAACAACATTGGCCGTCACGCTTGAAGAAAATCTCTGGCAAACGATGTAATTATATCCCAGAGAACAGGAGATGTAAGAGGAGATTTTACATTTGATGACACAAGCGACTTCCCCAGGAAGGAAGCACTCCCACATCTGGGGCATCTTGAAGAAAAGTCAAGCAGATGTTGAGCATTTATTGGCGGCTGAGCATTTATTGCTGCCGCATATACTCATCACGCACATTCTCTTTGAGCCCGATTCTGTTCTAGGAGGTGAACGGAGCAGTGGTTGAGAACAGCCTGATGCCTTGAAACCTTAGAAAACTTGGCTTTTCCTCTTTTATTAACACCCATCTCTTAAGGAGCACATGGTTGAGTAACACTCTTTCTAGAAGCTTTGAGGTCAGATGTAGGGTATCGGTGCTGGGATCCCAGGCATCATTTCATGCTATCCCTGAAATTCACATTCCAACTGGATTCCTTTGAAGCCCAATGCAGAGGGCGGAGCAAAAAGAAGGGGAGGAGAAAAATTGATAGATAATAAATAAAGACCTAGATATGTAGATAGAGACATAGATAGGTAGGTAGGTAGGTAGATAGATAGATAAATAGGGTAGACACAGACAGATGATGGAGAGAGATGACAGATAGATGATAGAGATGATAGATTGCTACATAACTGATCAATAGACAGATGATAGAATGATAGGTACATAAGATAGATGATAGGTAAATGGCAAGATAAGTAGAAAGAATACATGAACAGATGATAGATGAATATGGATAGGTGATAAGTGATGGGTAGATAAATAGATCTATAAATAAATAGCTGGGTGGATGGATAGATGAGGTAAATGATAGATAATACATTAATAGATAATGATAGGTGATAGATAGATACATAAATACATAGATACACAGATGATAGATGGATAGATGATAGGTAGGTAGATAGAAGAGGTAAATGATAATATATGAATAGACAACGATACATGATAGGTAGATAAATAGGTAGAGATACACAGATGATAGATGGATAGATGATAGATTAGATAGGTAGATAGATAAATAGGTAGACAGAGATACACAGATGATGGATAGATGATAGATTAGATAATGGATAGGTAGATATTAATGAAGGTAGATAATTATGAAGATCTATATAAATAGATGATAAATATTCTTGAATTACAACATCTTACAAAGCAATGACAGCTTTTGCTAAGAATAAAATGGCTGACTTAGACACTACACACAAATCCCCAAAGAAGGGATTATAGAAAATAAATGAAGTGAGCTTGAAATTCATGTAAGATGCAGAGAACTTCTAATAGATGAGTCTGGGATTCAGTTAAAGATCTTTGCGCCACCCAGCTCTTGGAAGGGTTCAAAGTATAAGGCAAACTCCACATGGTTAAGTATACAAACTTTTTTTTTTTTTTTTTGAGACGGAGTCTTGCTCTGTCACCAGGCTGGAGTGCAGTGGCGCAATCTCAGCTCACCACAACTCCACCTCCCGGGTTCAAGCGATTCTCCTGCTTCAGCCTCAAGTAGCTGGGACTACAGGCATGCGCCACCACGCCCGACTAATTTTTGTATTTTTTTTTTATTTTAGTAGAGACGGGGTTTCACCATGTTGGTCAGGATGGTCTCGATCTCCTGACCTCATGATCTGCCCACCTCAGCCTCCCCAAGTGCTGGGATAAGTTCTGGAATACATGTGTAGAACGTGCAGGTTTGTTACATAGGTATACAATAGGTATACATGTGCCATGGTGGTTTGCTGCACCTGTCAACCCGTCATCTAGATTGTAAGTCCCGGATGCGTTAGGTATTTGTTCTAATGCTCTCACTCCCCTTGTCCCCCAGCCCCCAACAGGCTCTGGTGTGTGATGTTCCCCTCCCTGTGTCCATGTGTTCTCATTGTTCAACTCCCACTTAATGAGTGAGAACATGCGGTGTTTGGTTTTCTGTTCCTGAGTTAGTTGGCTGAGCAGGATGGCTTCCAGCTTCATCCATGTCCCTGCAAAGGACATGAACTCATCCTTTTTTTTTTTTTTTTTTTTTTTTTTTGGAGACAGAGTTTTGCTCTTGTTGCCCAGGCTGGAGTGCAGTGGTGAGACTTCCACTCACTGCAATCTCTGCCTCCCGGGTTCAAGCGATTCTCCTGCCTCAGCCTCCTGAGTAGCTCGGATTACTGGTGCCCACCACCACGTCCAGCTAATTTTTTTTTTTTGGAATTTTTGGTAGAGACAGGGTTTCATCATGTTGGCCAGGCTGGTCTTGAACTCCTGACCTAAGGTGAGCCGCCTGCCTCGGCCTCCCAAAGTGCTGGGATTACAAGTGTGAGCCACGGCACCCGGCCAATCCCATTCTTTTTCATGGCTGTGTAGTATTCCATGGTGTCTATGTGCCACATTTTCTTTATAGACATATGTACACGTATGTTTATTGCAGCACTATTTACAATAGCAAAGACTTGGAACCAACCCAAATGCCCATCAGTAATAGACTGGATAAACTATATAAGCTTTTTGTTGTTGTTTTGAGATGGAGTCTCCCTCTGTGGCCCAGGCTGGAGTGCAATGGCACGATCTTGGCTCACCAAACCTCTGCCTCCCAGGTTGAAGCGATTCTCCTGCCTCAGCCTCTCAAGTAGCTGGGGTTACAGGCATGGGCCACTATGCCCAGCTAATTTTGTATTTTCAGTAGAGACAGGGTTTCTCCATGTTGGTCAGGCTGGTCTCAAACTCCCAACCTCAGGTGACCTGCTTGCCTTGGCCTCCCAAAGTGCTGGGATTAAATATACAAACTTTTTACTTTCCTTTTTTCTTTTTTTGAGACGGAATCTCGCTCTGTCGCCCAGGCTGGAGTGCAGTGGCACAAATCTCGGCTCACTGCAACCTCTGCCTCCTGGGTTCAAGTGATTCTCCTGCCTCAGCCTCCCGAGTAGCTGGGACTACAGGCACATGCAACCACGCCCGGCTAATTTTTGTATTTTTAGTAGAGACAGGGTTTCACCATGTTGGCCCGGATGGTCTTGATCACCTGACCTGGTAATCTGCCCGCCTCGGCCTCCCAAAGTGCTGGGATTACAGGCGTGAGCCACTGCACCCGGCCAAGTATATAAACTTTTGATGGACCTTTTTGGTGGTTGAGAAACAGGCACACCCAGTTCCCGTCTCTTGTCTTTCCCCCGATGCCCTAATACAGGTGGAAAAGGCTGGATACTCCCAGCCACCCCCCATCAGCGAGGGCTGATGAGGAAGACACAGCTCTGAAGACCAGATACAGGATGAAGTATGCAGGGTGTGGGGAGGTTGGGGAAACACGCCTCCCTGACCGAAATGCGATAATCCCCCAAGGAGATGGCTGTTTCTGCAACAATGATGGGAAGGCTGAAAAATCAGAGCTGCCGTCCAGCTCCCAAACCCTAAATGGACGTGCTCACCTGGCCCTGAATCTGTCCCCTGCATCCTTCACAAGTGAACAATCTCCAGGTCCTTGCTGCCAAAGGCACCACTGAAGCTGAAGATTGAGGCTCCTCCTCCTCTGCAGATGGAGTAATTCCAATATGTAGGACATGTGCCATGACAAAACGCAGCAGAACTGCCAGCCGAGAAAACATTGCCCTGTGCCTTGGAATTGTCTTAGTGTCTCATCAGCATTTGCTTCTCCTAGTTTGAGAGATGGGAGGCGCGAATCTTGACATATTCATCACCAGCATTCCGTCACTAGGACCATATATAAAAAGAGAACTCTACCAGCCTCAGCAACAAAGCGAGACCCCATCTCTAGTAATCAAAAACTAGTAATCAAAAACTAGTAATCAAAAATCTAGTAATCATCAAAAACTAAAATAATTAGCAGACCTTGTAGACATGTGCCTGTAGTCTCAGCTACTCAGGAGGCTGAAGCAGGAGGATCCCTTGAGCCTGGGAGGTAGAGGCTGCAGTGAGCTATGATGGTACCACTGCACTCCAGCCTGGGCAACAGAGGGAGACCTTGTCTCAAAAAACAAACAAACAAAAAATAACAACAACAACAAAACTAGCAGCCAGAAACATTATGCAAATGATGGGGTTGACTGCATTTCAATAAAACTTTATTTACAAAAAAACAAGTGGTGGGCCGTATGTAATAGCACGTCACACACAGGCTGTAATGTGAAAAAAGAGAGAACTCTGATCCATTCCCTCTGCAGCAATTGGCCCCCAGTGGCCAAGGCTTCATTAATACCTGAAAGCTTTCCTAATTCTTCTTCCCATTTCCAATTTAAGTCCAACAAGAGGAAGTCAAATATGCCCCCTAACCACTCACCCAGGACGCCACCATGCTTCCAGTGAGCTGCCTCCAGCTTCCCTGGAGGACAAAGCCTTTCTTCAGGGCACACCTGAGCCTCCCTTTTTCCACGATAAAGCTTTTCCCCTCCTCTGTCTGTCTTTGAGTTTCTGTGATGGTGGCGGACCCCTGCTACAGCAAGCACTGAATAAGTAGCCTTTGCTTGTTCTCTTTTGTGGGGGTCTTTATCTCATTTCCACATTCTGGCAAGGAAATAAGAAACTCAATACTCCTTGAACAGAAATATGGCCAGGCACAGTGGCTGACACTTGTAATCCCAGCACTTTCGGAGGCCAAGGCGGGTGGATCACTTGAGGTCAGGAGTTCGAGACCAGCCTGGCCAACATGGTGAAACCTCATCTCTACTAAAAATACAAAAATTAGCCAGGCGTAGTGGTGGGCACCTGTATTCCCAGCTACTTGGGAGGCTGAGGCAAGAGAATCCCTTGAACCGAGGAGGTGGAGGTTGCAGTGAGCTGAGACCACGCCACTGCACTCCAGCCTGGGTGACAGAGCGAGACTCTGTCTGAAAAAAAAAAAGAAAAGAGAGAGAGATGAAAGAAAGAGAGAGAAAAAGAGAGAGCAAGACAGAAAAAGAGAGAGCAAGAGAAAAAGAGAGAGAGAAAAAGAGAAAGAAAAAGAGAAAAAGAAAGAGAAAGAAACAGAGAAAGAAGAAAGAAAAAAGGACTGATGTGTTATGTATGTATTTATAATCCAACCACATCTGTTGATTCATCTTCCTGCCCCTTCTACACTCTGAATAAATATCAAAAATCTCTTATTCACTGTGAATGTTAAAATTACTGATGAAGAGGTTTAAGAAGAAATAGGGCTGGGCACGGTGGTTCACACCATAATCCCATCACTTTGGGAGGCTGAGACTGGAGGATCGCTTGAGATCAGGAGTTTAAGACCAGCTTAGACAGTATAGCAAGACCCTGTCTCTACAAAAAAAAAAAAAAAAAAAAAAAAAAAAAAAATTAGCTGGGCATGGTGGCATGCACCTGTGGTCCCAGAGACCTGAGAGGCTGAGAGGTGGGAGGATTGCTTGAGCCTCGGAGGTCAAGGCTGCAGCGAGCCGAGATTGGGCCACAGCACTACAGCCTGGGTGGTGACAGAGAGAGCCCTATCTCAAAAAAAAAATAAGAAGAGACGGGTGTGAGGGGAAGAAAGAGAAAGAAAGAAAAAGAGAGACAGAAAGAGAGAAAGAGAGAGAGAAAGAGAAGGAGAGAGAGAGAGAGAGAGAAAGGAAGGGAGGGAGGGAGGGGAAGGCCAGGCACAGTGGCTCACGCCTATAATCCCAGCACTTTGGGAGGCCGAGGTGTGTGGATCACCTGAGGTCAGGAGTTTGAGACCAGCCTGGCCAACATTGTGAAACCGTCTCTACGAAAAATACAAAAATTAGCCAGGTGTGGTGGCACAGGCCTGTAATCCCAGCTACTTGGGAGGCTGAGGTAGGAAAATCGCTTGAACCAGGGAGACGGAGGTTTGCAGTGAGCTGAGATCATCCCATTGCACTCCAGCCTGGGCGACAGAGCAAAACTCGTTTTCAAAAAAAAAAAAAAAAAAAAGAAAGAAAAGAAAAGAAAAAGAAACAGGACATTTGCATATAGTCTTCAAGTCTATACCCCCCAACCCATTGATTATTTCCAGCACATACCACCTTCACCATCAAGATTAACATCACTAGAAACAAGATGTCAAGATGTGTAGACAGGGCCAGGTGCGGTGGATCACGCCTGTAGTCCCAGCACTTTGGGAGGCTGAGGCAGGTGGATCACGAGGTCAGGAGATCAAGACCATCCTGGCTAACACGGTGAAACCCCGTCTCTACTAAAAATACAAAAAATTAGTCGGGTGTGGTGGCGGGCGCCTGTAGTCCCAGCTACTTGGGAGGCTGAGGCAGGAGAATGGCGTGAACCTGGGAGGAGGAGCTTGCAGTGAGCTGAGATTGCGCCACTGCACTCCAGCCTGGGTGACAGAGTGAGACTCCGTCTCCAAAAAAAAAAAAAAAAAAAAAGAGTGTGTAGACATCATGGTAACATCGCCTTACACTGACATCCTAACAAACAGAGGACTTCCAAAAATGCAAAGCCTCCCTCTAACCATGAGAAAACATCAGAAAAACTCAAAATGAGGGACACTGCACAGGTCACAATGCCGCAGCCAGTCTGGAAGATCTTCCCAAGACCAACCAATGGCAAGACTTAAACCATCTGGGCCACAGAGTAAAATAAAAATAAAAATTAAAAATAGCTAAGGATAGTACTGGGTTATAACCCACCACGGAAGGCAATCTCCAGCTAGCTCAAGACATCAGCTCTGTACCTTCCTGTTTGTTAACAGATAGCCATGAGTTTACACTAGTATATATTTACTATACTAATTTAGATGACTTTACACTGATGAGTTTCTACTAACATATTTATATTATAAAAATACTGAGTTTATACTAGTATATATAGGAGTTTATACTATTAATATATAATACAAATTCTAATGAGTTTATACTAGTATATGTGTTTATGAGTTTATAATATATACTAATATACAGATACTGAGTTTATACTAGTATATATGAGTTTATACTAATGAATTTATACCAATTTTTATTGGTATATTTGGTATATTAATTTATCATATTAATATATTATACAAATACTAATGAGTTTATACTACTATATATGTTTATACTAATGAGTTTATAACAATGTATATTTATTATACTAATATTATTATACAAATACTACTGGGTTTATTCTACTATATACATGAGTTTATACTAATGAGTTTACAGTAATATATATTTATGATACTAATATATATTATACAAATACTAATGAGTTTATACTAGTACATATATTAGTTTCTACTAGAGTTTATGTTGATATTTATAATACTAATATGTATTACACTTATACTAATGAGTTTATATTAGCATATATGTTTATACTGAGTTTATACCTATATATTTATTATGCTAATATATATTATACAAATAGTAATGGGTTTATTCTACTATACGAGTTTATACTAATGAGTTTACACTAATGTATATTATACTTATACAAATACTAATGAGTTTATACTAGTATATATATTAGTTTCTGCTAGTTTATGTTGATATTATACTAATATATATTACACTTATACTGAGTTTATATTAGCATATATGTTTATACTAATAAGTTTATACCTATATCTTTATTATACTAATATATATTATACAAATAGTAATGGGTTTTTCTACTATATATGAGCTTATACTAATGAGTTTACACTAATTTATTATACTAATATATATTATACAAATACTAATGAGTTTATACTAGTATATACATGAGTTTATACTAGTATATACATGAGTTTATACTAGTATATACATGAGTTTATACTAGTATATACATGAGTTTATACTAGTATATACATGTTTATACTAGAGTTTACATTAATATATGTTATACAGCCGGAGGAGCCAAGATGGCCGAATAGGAACAGCTCCGGTCTACAGCTCCCAGCATGAGCGACGCAGAAGATGGTGATTTCTGCATTTCCATCTGAGGTACCAGGTTCATCTCACTAGGGAGTGCCAGACAGTGGGCGCAGGTCAGCGGGTGCGCGCACCATGCACGAGCCGAAGCAGGGCGAGGCACTGCCTCACTCCGAAAACGCAAGGGTTCAAGGAGTTCCCTTTCCTAGTCAAAGAAAGGGGTGACAGACGGCACCTGGAAAATTGGGTCACTCCCACCCGAATACTGCGCTTTTCAGACCGGCTTAAAAAACGGCACGCCAGGAGATTATATCCCGCACCTGGCTCGGAGGGTCCCACGCCCATGGAGTCTCGCTGATTGCTAGAACAGCAGTCTGAGATCAAACTGCAAGGCGGCAGCGAGGCTTGGGGAGGGGCGCCCGCCATTGCCCAGGCTTGCTTAGGTAAACAAAGCAGCCGGGAAGCTCGAACTGGGTGGAGCCCACCACAGCTCAAGGAGGCCTGCCTGCCTCTGTAGGCTCCACCTCTGGGGGCAGGGCACAGACAAACAAAAAGACAACAGTAACCTCTGCAGACTTAAATGTCCCTGTCTGACAGCTTTGAAGAGAGCAGTGGTTCTCCCAGTACGCAGCTGGAGATCTGAGAACGGGCAGACTGCCTCCTCAAGTGGGTCCCTGACCCCTGACCCCCGAGCAGCCTAACTGGGAGGCACCCCCCAGCAGGGGCACACTGACACCTGACACGGCCGGGTACTCCAACAGACCTGCAGCTGAGCGTCCTGTCTGTTAGAAGGAAAACTAACAAACAGAAAGGACATCCACACCAAAAACCCATCTGTACATCACCATCATCAAAGACCAAAAGTAGATAAAACCACAAAGATGGGGAAAAAACAGAACAGAAAAACTGGAAACTCTAAAAAGCAGAGAGCTTCTCCTCCTCCAAAGGAATGCAGTTCCTCACCAGCAACGGAACAAAGCTGGACGGAGAATGACTTTGACGAGCTGAGAGAAGGCTTCAGACGATCAAATTACTCTGAGCTACGGGAGGACATTCAAATCAAAGGCAAAGAAGTTGAAAACTTTGAAAAAAATTTAGAAGAATGTATAACTAGAATAACCAATACAGAGAAGTGCTTAAAGGAGCTGATGGAGCTGAAAACCAAGGCTCGAGAACTACGTGAAGAATGCAGAAGCCTCAGGAGCCGATGCGATCAACTGGAAGAAAGGGTATCAGCGATGGAAGATGAAATGAATGAAATGAAGCGAGAAGGGAAGTTTACAGAAAAAAGAATAAAAAGAAATGAGCAAAGCCTCCAAGAAATATGGGACTATGTGAAAAGACCAAATCTACGTCTGATTGGTGTACCTGAAAGTGATGGGGAGAATGGAACCAAGTTGGAAAACACTCTGCAGGATATTATCCAGGAGAACTTCCCCAATCTAGCAAGTCAGGCCAACATTCAGATTCAGGAAATACAGAGAACGCCACAAAGATACTCCTCGAGAAGAGCAACTCCAAGACACATAATTGTCAGATTCACCAAAGTTGAAATGAAGGAAAAAATGTTAAGGGCAGCCAGAGAGAAAGGTCAGGTTACCCTCAAAGGGAAGCCCATCAGACTAACAGCAGATCTCTCGGCAGAAATCCTACAAGTCAGAAGAGAGTGGGGGCCAATATTCAACATTCTTAAAGAATTTTCAACCCAGAATTTCATATCCAGCCAAACTAAGCTTCATAAGTGAAGGAGAAATAAAATACTTTACAGACAACCAAATGCTGAGAGATTTTGTCACCACCAGGCCTGCCCTAAAAGAGCTCCTGAAGGAAGCACTAAACATGGAAAGGAACAACCAGTACCAGCCACTGCAAAATCATGCCAAAATGTAAAGACCATCAAGACGAGGAAGAAACTGCATCAACTAACGAGCAAAATAACCAGCTAACATCATAATGACAGGATCAAATTCACACATAACAATATTAATTTTAAATGTAAATGGACTAAATGCTCCAATTAAAAGACACAGACTGGCAAATTGGATAAAGAGTCAAGACCCATCAGTGTGCTGTATTCAGGAAACCCATCTCACGTGTAGAGACACACATAGGCTCAAAATAAAAGGATGGAGGAAAATCTACCAAGCAAATGGAAAACAAAAAAAGGCAGGGGTTGCAATCCTAGTCTCTGATAAAACAGACTTTAAACCAACAAAGATCAAAAGAGACAAAGAAGGCCATTACATAATGGTAAAGGGATCAATTCAACAAGAACAGCTAACTATCCTAAATATATATGCACCCAACACAGGAGCACCCAGATTCATAAAGCAAGTCCTGAGTGACCTACAAGGAGACTTAGACTCCCACACAATAATAATGGGAGACTTTAACACCCCACTGTCAACATTAGACAGATCAACGAGACAGAAAGTCAACAAGGATACCCAGGAATTGAACTCAGCTCTGCACCAAGCGGACCTAATAGACATCTATAGAACTCTCCACCCCAAATCAACAGAATATACATTTTTTTCAGCACCACACCACACCTATTCCAAAATTGACCACATACTTGGAAGTAAAGCTCTCCTCAGCAAATGTAAAAGAACAGAAATTATAACAAACTGTCTCTCAGACCACAGTGCAATCAACTAGAACTCAGGATTAAGAATCTCACTCAAAACCGCTCAACTACATGGAAACTGAACAATCTGCTCCTGAATGACTACTGGGTACATAACGAAATGAAGGCAGAAATAAAGATGTTCTTTGAAACCAACGAGAACAAAGACACAACATACCAGAATCTCTGGGACGCATTCAAAGCAGTGTGTAGAGGGAAATTTATAGCACTAAATGCCCACAAGAGAAAGCAGGAAAGATCCAAAATTGACACCCTAACATCACAATTAAAAGAACTAGAAAAGCAAGAGCAAACACATTCAAAAAGCTAGCACAAGGCAAGAAATAACTAAAATCAGAGCAGAACTGAAGGAAATAGAGACACAAAAAACCCTTCAAAAATTAATGAATCCAGGAGCTGGTTTTTTGAAAGGATCAACAAAATAGACCTCTAGCAAGACTAATAAAGAAAAAAAGAGAGAAGAGTCAAATAGACGCAATAAAAAATGATAAAGGGGATATCACCATCAATCTCACAGAAATACAAACTACCATCAGAGAATACTACAAACACCTCTATGCAAATAAACTAGAAAATCTAGAAGACATGGATAAATTCCTCGACACATACACTCTCCCAAGACTAAACCAGGAAGAAATTGAATCTCTGAATAGACCAATAACAGGATCTGAAATTGTGGCAATAATCAATAACTTACCAACCAAAAAGAGTCCAGGACCAGATGGATTCACAGCCGAATTCTACCAGAGGTACAAGGAGGAACTGGTACCATTCCTTCTGAAACTATTCCAATCAATAGAAAAAGAGGAAATCCTCCCTAACTCATTTTATGAGGCCAGCATCATTCTGATACCAAAGCCGGGCAGAGACACAACCAAAAAAGAGAATTTTAGACCAATATCCTTGATGAACATTGATGCAAAAATCCTCAATAAAATACTGGCAAAACGAATCCAGCAGCACATCAAAAAGCTTATCCACCATGATCAAGTGGGCTTCATCCCTGGGATGCAAGGCTGGTTCAATATACGCAAATCAATAAATGTAATCCAGCATATTAAACAGAGCCAAAGACAAAAACCACATGATTATCTCAATAGATGCAGAAAAGGCCTTTGACAAAATTCAACAACCCTTCATGCTAAAAACTCTCAATAAATTAGGTATTGATGGGACGTATTTCAAAATAATAAGAGCTATCTATGACAAACCCACAGCCAATATCATACTGAATGGGCAAAAACTGGAAGCATTCCCTTTGAAAACTGGCACAAGACAGGGATGCCCTCTCTCACCACTCCTATTCAACATAGTGTTGGAAGTTCTGGCCAGGGCAATTAGGCAGGAGAAGGAAATAAAGGGTATTCAGTTAGGAAAAGAGGAAGTCAAATTGTCCCTGTTTGCAGATGACATGATTGTATATCTACAAAACCCCATTGTCTCAGCCCAAAATCTCCTTAAGCTGATAAGCAACTTCAGCAAAGTCTCAGGATACAAAATCCATGTACAAAAATCACAAGCATCCTTATACACGAACAACAGACAAACAGAGAGCCAAATCATGAGTGAACTCCCATTCACAATTGCTTCAAAGAGAATAAAATACCTAGGAATCCAACTTACAAGGGACGTGAAGGACCTCTTCAAGGAGAACTACAAACCACTGCTCAAGGAAATAAAAGAGGATACAAACAAATGGAAGAACATTCCATGCTCATGGGTAGGAAGAATCAATATTGTGAAAATGGCCATACTGCCCAAAGGTAATTTACAGATTCAGTGCCATCCCCATCAAGCTACCAATGCCTTTCTTCACAGAATTGGAAAAAACTACTTTAAAGTTCATATGGAACCAAAAAAGAGCCCGCATAGCCAAGTCAATCCTAAGCCAAAAGAACAAAGCTGGAGGCATCACACTACCTGACTTCAAACTATACTACAAGGCTACAGTAACCAAAACAGCATGGTACTGGTACCAAAACAGAGATATAGATCAATGGAACAGAACAGAGCCCTCAGAAATAATGCCACATATCTACAACTATCTGATCTTTGACAAACCTAAGAAAAACAAGCAATGGGGAAAGGATTCCCTATTTAATAAATGGTGCTGGGAAAATTGGCTAGCCATATGTAGAAAGCTGAAACTGGATCCCTTCCTTACACCTTATACAAAAATCAATTCAAGATGGATTAAAGACTTAAACGTTAGACCTGAAACCATAAAAATCCTAGAAGAAAACCTAGGCATTACCATTCAGGACATAGGCATGGGCAAGGACTTCATGTCTAAAACACCAAAAGCAATGGCAACAAAAGCCAAAATTGACAAATGGGATCTAATTAAACTAAAGAGCTTCTGCACAGCAAAAGAAACTACCATCAGAGTGAACAGGCAACCTACAAAATGGGAGAAAATTTTCGCAACCTACTCATCTGAGAAAGGGCTAATATCCAGAATCTACAATGAACTCAAACAAATTTACAAGAAAAAAACAAACAACCCCATCAAAAAGTGGGCGAAGGACATGAACAGACACTTCTCAAAAGAAGACATTTATGCAGCCAAAAGACACATAAAAAAAATGCTCATCATCACTGGCCATCAGAGAAATGCAAATCAAAACCACTATGAGATATCATCTCACACCAGTTAGAATGGCAATCATTAAAAAGTCAGGAAACAACAGGTGCTGGAGAGGATGTGGATAAATAGGAACACTTTTATACTGTTGGTGGGAGTGTAAACTAGTTCAACCATTGTGGAAGTCAGTGTGGTGATTCCTCAGGGATCTAGAACTAGAAATACCATTTGACCCAGCCATCCCATTACTGAGTATATACCCAAAGGACTATAAATCATGCTGCTATAAAGACACATGCACACGTATGTTTATTGCGGCATTATTCACAATAGCAAAGACTTGGAACCAACCCAGATGTCCAACAATGATAGACTGGATTAAGAAAATGTAGCACATATACACCATGGAATACTATGCAGCCATAAAAAATGATGAGTTCATGTCCTTTGTAGGGACATGGATGAAATTGGAAATCATCATTCTCAGTAAACTATCGCAAGAACAAAAAACCAAACACAGCATATTCTTACTCATAGGTGGGAATTGAACAATGAGAACACATGGACACAGGAAGGGGAACATCACACTCTGGGGACTGTTGTGGGGTGGGGGGAGGGGGGAGGGATAGCATTGGGAGATATACCTAATGCTAGATGACGAGTTAGTGGGTGCAGCGCACCAGCATGGCACATGTATACATATGTAACTAACCTGCACAATGTGCACATGTACCCTAAAATTTAAATAATAAAAGAAATAAACTTAAAAAATTTAAAAAAAAAGCAATAATTGGGAAAGGTGAATATCTTACTTAAGAATCATTGTATTCTGGGATCTTACCTATTGGAATTCTAATGTTTCCATTTTTATTTGCTATATAATAATGATGACATTTTATTTCACAATTGCTGACGTATTGATCTTTCTTTTAAAGCTCTGACTATGCCCCGTTCTTGCTAAAGGACCTACTTTCAATGCCCCTCATTGCCTACAGAATAAAGTACAAAATTCTTGTCTGATATAAAAAAAATATATATATTATACATATATTACGTATACTAATGAGTTTATACTAGTATGTATTTATACTAATGAATTTATACTAATACATATATTTATACTATTTAAGTAATAATGAGTTTATACTAGTATATATATGACTTAATAGTAATGAGTTTATATTATACCAATGCTGATGAGTTTATTCTACTATATATGAGTTTATACTGAATTCAAATATATATTTATTATGCTAATATATAATACAGAGTTTACAGTAACATATGTTTATTATACTAATATACTTTATACTTATACTAGTGAGTTTATACTAGTATATATATGAATTTATACTGAGATCATATTAATGTTATATATAGATATTTGTATTTCTTGTGTATATGTATATGGCATATTTTATGTGTATTACATATATATATATATACATTATATATACCTTTATAAAAGGATTAACTCAAACATAAACATGGGAGAAGAGCCCAACCTCCCTTACAAAAGAATTCCTATTATTCCACCAGACACTTCCCCACTACTCCAAGCAGGAGAAGTCAAGTAGAATATAATCCCCGGTAAGAGAGAGTTGCTCGGATAGTTTGGCCTGGCTTCCAAGGAGGAAATGATAGAACGAGAAACATAGCAACTTCTCTGTGGAGACACCAGGCAGAGGCCACCTCCGCTGAGTCATCGACGTGGAGACACCTGGCAGAGGCCACCTCCGCTGACTCATCAACCCTGGAGACACCTGAGAGAGGCCACCTCCGCCAAGTCATCAACGTGGAGACACCTGAGAGAGGCCACCTCCGCTGAGTCATCAATGCTGGAGACACCCGAGAGAGGCCACCTCCACCGAGTCATCAACACTGGAGACACCTGAGAGAGGCCACCTCCGCTGAGTCATCAATGCTGGAGACACCCGAGAGAGGCCACCTCCACCAAGTCATCAATGCTGGAGACACCTGAGAGAGGCCACCTCCGCTGAGTCATCAATGCTGGAGACACCTGGCAGAGGCCACCTCCGCTGAGTCATCAATGCTGGAGACACCTGGCAGAGGCCACCTCCGCTGAGTCATCAATGCTGGAGACACCTGGTAGAGGCTACCTCCGCTGAGTCATCAACACTGGAGACACCTGAGAGAGGCCACCTCCGCTGACTCATCAACCCTGGAGACACCTGAGAGAGGCCACCTCCGCCAAGTCATCAACGTGGAGATACCTGAGAGAGGCCACCTCCGCTGAGTCATCAATGCTGGAGACACCTGGCAGAGGCCACCTCCGCTGAGTCATCAATGCTGGAGACACCTGGCAGAGGCCACCTCCGCTGAGTCATCAATGCTGGAGACACCCGAGAGAGGCCACCTCCGCTGAGTCATCAATGCTGGAGACACCTGAGAGAGGCCACCTCCGCTGAGTCATCAATGCTGGAGACACCTGAGAGAGGCCACCTCCGCTGAGTCATCAATGCTGGAGACACCTGACAGAGGCCACCTCCGCTGAGTCATCAATGCTGGAGACACCCGAGAGAGGCCACCTCCGCTGAGTCATCAATGCTGGAGACACCTGAGATAGGCCACCTCCACTGAGTCATCAATGCTGGAGACACCTGAGAGAGGCCACCTCCGCTGAGTCATCAATGCTGGAGACACCCGAGATAGGCCACCTCTGCTGAGTCATCAATGCTGGAGACACCTGAGAGAGGCCACCTCCGCTGAGTCATCAATGCTGGAGACACCCGAGATAGGCCACCTCTGCTGAGTCATCAATGCTGGAGACACCTGGCAGAGGCTACCTCCGCTGAGTCATCAATGCTGGAGACACCTGGCAGAGGCCACCTGTGCTGAGTCATCAACGCTGGAGACACCTGGCAGAGGCCACTTCCACCAAGTCATCAATGCTGGAGACACCTGTTGGAGGCCACCTCCACGTCGCATGGGCAGGTACAAGATGTCAACGGGACGTCTTCAGCGATACCAGCATTGATGACTCCAGTTCCCTCTGTGGTCCGCTTCCCACCCTCCTCAGCCCCTAGCCTGAACCTGGAAAAACGTGATGGACATTTCTCAGCACACCTGTACCACGACTCTTCAAAATCGTCAAGCTCTTAAAAACAAGGGAATTGGCCAGGCGCGGTGGCTCACGCCTGGAATCCCAGCACTTTGGGAGGCCAAGTAGGGCGGATCACGATGTCAAGAGATCAAGACCATCCTGGCTAAAACGGTGAAACCCCATCCGTACTAAAAATACAAAAAATTAGCAGGGCGTGGTGGCGGGTGCCTGTAGTCCCAGCTACTCAGGAGGCTGAGGCAGGAGAATGGCGTGAACCCGGGAGGTGGAGGTTGCAGTGAGCCGAGAACGCAACACTGCACTCCAGCCTGGGCGATAGAGCAAGACGGCGTCTCAAAAAAAAAAAAAAAAAAAAAACAAGGGGCGTTTGAGGAGCTCTGCAGAGACTGCAGAAAGCCAAGACCAGGCAGTGACTAAGTGCAATATGGCACCCTGGATGGGAACTTGAATCTAAATAAAAGAAAGGACCGGAAAATCTGGCGAAATGCAAACACACTCTGCAGACTTGCTAATCGTGTTGCATCGCCGTTGACGTCTCATTGTGATAAATGCACCCAGGTTATGTAAGATAGCAGAGGAAGCTGACTGAGAGGGGTGCGAAGGACTTTCTGTACTGTTTTTGTAATCCTCCTGTAAGTCTGCAGTTGTTCCAAAATTTAAAAGTGTAGAAGGTGCAGCTATGAAAATGAATGAGATCATGTCCTTTGCAGGGACATGGATGAAGCTGGAAGCCATCGTGCTCAGCAAACTCACACAGGAACAGAAAACCAAACACCGCATGTTCTCACTCAAAAATGGGAGTTGAACATCAAGAACACATGGACACAGGGAGGGAACATTACACACCGGGGCCTGTTGGGGGCTGGGGGGCAAGGGGAGGTATTTGTCCTAATGCATGCAGGGCTTAAAACCTAGATGACAGGATGACAGGTGCAGCAAACCACCATGGCACACGTGTACCTATGTAACAAACCTGCACGTTCTGCACATGTACCCCAGAACTTGAAGTAAAATAAAATAAAATTTTTAAAAGACAGTTTAGAAGGTTGACTTATCAATTTTAAAAACGCAAAGCCAAAGTGGATGACTGGCTTGACATTATCTGCCATTTTCCCATGAATATTCCAGTTAATAATGAGAATTTTGACAGCAAAAGAGAAAAAAAGTCAAGCTTGATTTTATTTCATAAAAGCTATTAGGAATGGCCAACTCATAACTAACATGGTTAGATATTCAGAAGATTCATTATGAGAAACCTGAATTTCTCTACTAATGAATTATGCAAATATAGGAACCCTATAGGAATATAGGAACTGCCTCAGCCTCCCGAGTAGCTGGGATTACAGGCATGCACCAACATGCCTGGCTAATTTTTTGTATTCTTAGTAGAGACGGGGTTTCACCATGTTGGCCAGGCTGGTCTCAAACTCCTGACCTCACGTGATCCACTTGCCTTGGCCTCCCGAAGTGCTGGGATTACAGGTGTGAGCCATTGCACCTGTCCTCCAATTTTTAAAAATGCTTTTCATCTGCATATTTTTCAAATCACATGGCTACTTTAAAACATGCTTATGTTCATATACATAAGACACTTACAAACTAAAAGGTCAATTGATCTCTAATCTTCCATCTGGATCTCTACCTGTTCTCTATACATTGGCATGTAAGGAAATTGGGGTATTTTTCCTAATGAAATCACAGAGAGACCATTCATTGGAAAGGAAAATAGAAAGTGTAGGAAACATGTTAGTTCTTGGCTGTTCCCTAAGAAAAAGAAAAAACTGGGAAGTCATAAACTTCATCATTGTACCTTGACATCTTGTATCTCGAATATTATTCAGCCAAAAAAAGGGAATGAAGTCCTCATCGTATTAGTTACAATAGCTACGATATGGAATAACCCAAGTATCTATGAACATGGAGGAATAGATCATGGTCCACCCATAGAGAAGACTATTACTCAGCCGTGAAAAGGAATAGGAAGTCTTTGTGTTATTCACAATAGCTAAGGTATGGGATAACCCAAGTGCCTATCAACAGATGAATGGAGGAATAGATCATGGTCCACCCATACAGGAGAATGTTACTCAGCCATGAAAAGGAATAAGAAGTCTTTGTGTTATTCACAATAGCTAAGAGGTAGGATAACCTAAGTGTCTATCAATAGATGATTGGAGGAATGGAACATGGTCCACCCATACAGGGGAGTATTACTCAGCTATGAAAAGGAATATGAAGCCTTTGTTATTCACAACAGTTAACGTATAGGATAACCGTAGTGCCCATCAACAGATGAATGGAAGAACAGAACATGTTCCACCCATACAGGGGAATATTACTGAGCCATAAAAAGGGAATGAAGTCCTCACTGCAATAGTTACAATAGGTAAAATATGGGATAACCCAAGTGTCTATCAATAGATGAATGGAGGAACAGAATGTGGTCCACCCATACGGGGAATATTACTCAGCCATGAAAAGGAATAGGAAGGCTTTGTGTTATTCACAACAGCTAAGTTATGGGATAACCCAAGTTCCCATCAACAGATGAATGGAGGAATAGATCATCGTCCACCCATACAGGAGAATATTACTTAGCCATAAAAAGGGAGTGAAGTCCTCACTGTATTAGTTACAATAGCTAAGATATGGGTGTCTATCAATAGAGGAATGGAAGAACAGAAGATGGTCCCCCCATGCAGGGGAATATTACTCAGCCATGAAAAGGAACGTGAAGTCTTGGCATTATTCATAATAGCTAAGTTATGGGATAACCCTAGTGCCCATCAACAGACGAATGGAGGAACAGAACATGGTCCACCCATACAGGGGAATATTACTCAGCCATAAAAAGGAAATGAAGTCCTCACTGCAATAGTTACAATAGGTAAAATATGGGATAACCCAAGTGTCTATCAATAGATGAATGGAGGAACAGAATGTGGTCCACCCATACGGGGAATATTACTCAGCCATGAAAAGGAATAGGAAGTCTTTGTTTTATTCACAACAGTTAAGGTATAGGATAACCCTAGTGCCCATCAACAGATGAATGGAAGAATAGAACATGGTCCACCCATAGAGGGGAATATTACTCAGCCATGAAAAGGGAATGAAGTCCTCACTGCAATAGTTACAATAGGTAAAATATGGGATAACCCAAGTGTCTATCAATAGATGAATGGAGGAACAGAATGTGGTCCACCCATACAGGGAATATTACTCAGCCGTGAAAAGGAATAGGAAGGCTTTGTGTTATTCACAACAGCTAAGTTATGGGATAACCCAAGTTCCCATCAACAGATGAATGGAGGAATAGATCATCGTCCACCCATACAGGAGAATATTACTTAGCCATAAAAAGGGAGTGAAGTCCTCACTGTATTAGTTACAATAGCTAAGATATGGGTGTCTATCAATAGAGGAATGGAAGAACAGAAGATGGTCCCCCCATGCAGGGGAATATTACTCAGCCATGAAAAGGAACGTGAAGTCTTGGCATTATTCATAATAGCTAAGTTATGGGATAACCCTAGTGCCCATCAACAGATGAATGGAGGAACAGAACATGGTCCACCCATACAGGGGAATATTACTCAGCCATAAAAAGGAAATGAAGTCCTCACTGCAATAGTTACAATAGGTAAAATATGGGATAACCCAAGTGTCTATCAATAGATGAATGGAGGAACAGAATGTGGTCCACCCATACGGGGAATATTACTCAGCCATGAAAAGGAATAGGAAGTCTTTGTTTTATTCACAACAGTTAAGGTATAGGATAACCCTAGTGCCCATCAACAGATGAATGGAAGAATAGAACATGGTCCACCCATAGAGGGGAATATTACTCAGCCATGAAAAGCGAATGAAGTCCTCACTGCAATAGTTACAATAGGTAAAATATGGGATAACCCAAGTGTCTATCAATAGATGAATGGAGGAACAGAATGTGGTCCACCCATACGGGGAATATTACTCAGCCGTGAAAAGGAATAGGAAGGCTTTGTGTTATTCACAACAGCTAAGTTATGGGATAACCCAAGTTCCCATCAACAGATGAATGGAGGAATAGATCATCGTCCACCCATACAGGAGAATATTACTTAGCCATAAAAAGGGAGTGAAGTCCTCACTGTATTAGTTACAATAGCTAAGATATG
Organism: Homo sapiens; assembly: GCF_000001405.40. NCBI lineage: Eukaryota > Metazoa > Chordata > Mammalia > Primates > Hominidae > Homo > Homo sapiens. The sequence continues at coordinate 1,697,288 of NC_000023.11, read as the reverse complement.
GGTGTCTATCAATAGAGGAATGGAAGAACAGAAGATGGTCCCCCCATGCAGGGGAATATTACTCAGCCATGAAAAGGAACGTGAAGTCTTGGCATTATTCATAATAGCTAAGTTATGGGATAACCCTAGTGCCCATCAACAGACGAATGGAGGAACAGAACATGGTCCACCCATACAGGGGAATATTACTCAGCCATAAAAAGGAAATGAAGTCCTCACTGCAATAGTTACAATAGGTAAAATATGGGATAACCCAAGTGTCTATCAATAGATGAATGGAGGAACAGAATGTGGTCCACCCATACGGGGAATATTACTCAGCCATGAAAAGGAATAGGAAGTCTTTGTTTTATTCACAACAGTTAAGGTATAGGATAACCCTAGTGCCCATGAACAGATGAATGGAAGAATAGAACATGGTCCACCCATAGAGGGGAATATTACTCAGCCATGAAAAGGGAATGAAGTCCTCACTGCAGTAGTTACAATAGGTAAAATATGGGATAACCCAAGTGTCTATCAATAGATGAATGGAGGAACAGAATGTGGTCCACCCATACGGGGAATATTACTCAGCCATGAAAAGGAATAGGAAGTCTGTGTGTTATTCATAATAGCTAAGGTATGGGATAACCCAGGTGCCCATCAACAGATGAATGGAGGAACAGAACATGGTCCACCCATATGGGGAATATTACTCAGCCATGAAAAGGAATATGAAGTATGTGTGTTATTCACAATAGCTAAGGTATGGGATAACGCAGATGCCCATCAACAGATGAACAGATGAAGAAAATGTGGTATATACTCACAGCAGAACACTATTCAGGCTTTAAAAGGAAGACAATCCTGTCATTTTTGACCACGTGGAAATGAACCTGGAGGACATTATGTTGACTGAAATAAGCCAGTCACAGAAAGACAAATACCACATGATCTCACTTCTACATAGAATCAAAAAAATTGAAATTATAGAATCAGAGCATAGAACCATAAATCATAGAATCATAGAATGGTGGTTACCAGGCGCTGGAGAAGGTTGGAAGATGTTGGTCAAAAGATACAACGTGGCCCGGCGCGGTGGCTCACACCTGTAATCCCAGCACTTTGGGAGGTCAAGGCAGGCAGATCACAAGGTCAAGAGATCCAGACCATCCTGGCTAACACGGTAAAACCCTGTCTCTACTAAAAATACAAAAAATTAGCCAGGCGTAGTGGCACACGCCTGTAGTCCCAGTTACTTGGGAGGCTGAGGCAGGAGAATCACTTGAACCCGGGAGGCGGAGCTTGCAGTGAGCCAAGATTGCACCACTGCATTCTAGCCCGGGTGACAGAGTGAGACTCCATCTCAAAAAAAAAAAAAAAAAAAAGATACAAAGTTTAGTTAGAACGTATACATTAAAAAGCTCTATTGTACATCATGGTGACTAGAGTTTATAATGATGCATTATTATTATTATTATTATTTTTTGAGACAGAGTCTCGCTCTGTCACCCAGGCTGGAGTGCAGTGGTGCGATCTCAGGTCAATGCAACCTCCACCTCCCGGGTTCAAGCAATTCTCCTGCCTCAGCCTCCTGAGTAGCTGGGATTACAGGCACATGCCATCCACGCCTGGCTAATTTTTGTATTTTTTGTAAAGACAGGGTTTCAGCATAGCGGCCAGGCTGGTCTTGAACTCTTGGACTCAATCGACCCACCCACCTCAGCCTCCCAAAGTGCCGGGATTACAGGCGTGAGAGCCACTGCGCGCAGCCACCATGTATTATATTCCTGAAAATCACTAATAGAGTACGTTTCAAGAGTTCTCTCACAAAAATAGTAAGTATGTGAGGTTATGCAAATGTTATTTTGCTCAATTTAGCCATTTCACGATGTATACATATTTCAAAACATCATGCTGTATATAGTACATCTGTACAATTGTCTGTCAATTAAAAAGTTAAATCATAAATAGGCTGAGTGCAGTGGCTGACACCTGTAATCCCAGCACTTTGTGAGGCCAACACAGGTGGATCACCTGAGGTCAGGAGTTGGAGACCAGCCTGGCCAACATGGTGAAACCCTGCCTCTACTAAAAATACAAAAATTAGCCCTTGTAGTGGTGTGTGCCTGTAGTCCCAGCTACTGGGGAGACTGAGGCAGGAGAATCACTTGAACCCGGGAGGCGGAGGTTGCAGTGAGCTGAGATTGCATCACTGCACTCCAGCCTGGGAGACAGATTGAGACTGTGTCTCAAAAAAATAAATATATAAAAATACATCAGAAATAAACCTTTGAAAATATTCCAGATCATTCTGCAAATATAAAAATAGTAATACCTCCATATAAAATTTTTTAAAGAAAGATTTTAAAAAGTCCTGATATAGGAAACAACGGGAATGAACCTTGAAGATATCATGGCCAGTGAAAGACACCAGACACAGAAGGCCACAGAGTGTCTGATTCCATTTCTCTGAAACGTCCAGAAAAGACAAATCCATAGAGCTAGAAAATGGATTCGTGCTTCCTCGGGGCTGAGGGCAGGAGAATGGGAGCAAATGATTAATGGATAAAAGAGTTTCCCTTTGGGGGGATGAAAATATTTTGAAAGTAGAAAGCAACAGTGGTTGTACAACATTGTATTTGCTTGTTTGTTTTGAGATGGAGTCTCGCTCTGTCGCCCAGGCTAGAGTGCAGTGGCACAATATCAGCTCACTGCACCCTCTACCTCCCAGGTTTAAGCGATCCTCCTGCCTCAGCCTCCTGAGTAGCTGGGACTACAGGGTTCCACCACCATGCCCAGCTAAATTTTTTGTTTTTTTTGTTTGTTTGTTTTCAGAGATGGAGTCTCGCTCTATCACCCAGGCTGGAGTGCAGTGGCGTGATCTCAGCTCACTGCAACCTCCGCCTTCTAGGTTCAAGCGATTCTCCTGTCTCAGCCTCCAGAGTAGCTGGAATTACAGGCGCCCACCACCATGCCCAGCTAATTTTTGTATTGTTAGTAGAGACAGGGTTACCCACATGGGCTATGCCTGTCTCGAACTCCTGACCTCAGGTCATCCGCCACCCCCACCCCCAACCCCAGGTGCTAGGATTACAGGTGTGAGCCACTGCACCTGGCTAATTTTTGTATTTTTAGTAGAGACAGGGTTTCTCCATGTTGGTCAGGCTGGTCAAGAACTCCTGACCTCAGGTGATCCACCCGCCTTGGCCTCCCAAAGTGCTGGGATTACAGGCGTGAGCCACCGCGCCCGGCCTGTGCTTTTGTTCCCTGGTACTCACGGTGAATTTTGTGATGTGTATTTCACAATTAATTTTTACAAAACCACAACAGACAAACTTATGCAGGCCTGACACGCCGGCTTTTCCACTGTGGTTGTAGTTCAGCTTTCAAGAACATCGCTCGAGGGAGAGGCGATTGCTGGTGAGAAATATTATAAAATAAGCCAGATATGGTGGTGTGTGCCCGTAGCTCCATTTACTCAGGAGGCTGAGGTAGGAGGATCGCTTGAACCTGGGAGGTGGAGACTGCGGTGAGCTATGATTGTGCCACCGCACTTCAGCCTGAGCCACAGAGTGAGACACCATCTCTAAGAGAAAAAGAAAAAGGGCCGGGCATGATGGCTCATGCCTGTCATCCCAGCACTTTGGGAGGCCGAGGCGGGCGGATCACGAGGTCAGGAGATCGAGACCATCCTGGCTAACACGGTGAAACCCCGTCTCTACTAAAAATACAAAAAAATTAGCCGGGCGTGGTGGCGGGCGCCTGTAGTCCCAGCTACTTGGGAGGCTGAGGCAGGAGAATCGTTTGAACCCGGGAGGCGGAGGTTGCAGTGAGCCAAGATTGTGCCACTGCACTCCAGCCTGGGCCACAGAGCGAGACTCCATCTCAAAAAAAAAAAAGAAGAAAAAAGTCAACATGTATTCTTGCAGAATTCTTTTGCTTGCTTCACTTAGTGAAGGATGGTGCAGGGGAGTCAAAAATCTCTTAGGAAAAAAGAGCAAAATGCTGACTTTCTTTTTCTCTTTCAACATTTTTAGAGATGGGGTCAGACTATGTTGCTCAGACTGATCTCGAACACCTGGTCTCAAGCGAGCCTATGGCCTCAGCCTCCCAAAGTGCTGGGACTACAGACACAACCACACATAGCTAATTAAAAGAAAAAAAAAAAGGCCGGGCGCGGTGGCTCACACCTGTAATCCCAGCGCTTTGGGAGGCCGAGGCGGGTGGATCACGAGGTCAGGAGATCGCGACCATCCTGGCTAACATGGTGAAACCCCGTCTCTACTTAAAATACAAAAAAATTAGCTGGGTGTGGTGGCGGGCGCCTGTAGTCGCAGCTACATGGGAGGCTGAGACAGGACAATGGCATGAACCCAGGAGGTGGAGCTTGCAGTGAGCTGAGATCGCACCACTGCCCTCCAGCCTGGGAGACACAGCAAGACTCGTCTCAAAAAAAAAAAAAAAAAAAAATTGGGGCCGGGTACAGTGGCTCCCGCCTGTAATCCCAGTACTTTGGGAGGCCAAGGTGGGTTAATCACCTAAGGTCAGGAGTTTGAGACCAGCCTGGCCAACATGGTGAAACTCCGTCTCTACTAATAATATAAAAACTAGCCAGCCACAGTGGCAGGCACCTGTAATCCCAGCTACTCAGGAGGCTGAGGCAGAAGAATCGCTTGAACCCAGGAGGCAGAGGTTGCGGTGAGCCAAGATTTTGTATGAACACTTCTATTTTTTTTTTTTGGAGTTAATTTTTTTTTTAATTATACTTCTAAGTTCTGGGGTACGTGTGCAGAACGTGCAGGTTTGTTACATAGGTATCCACGTGCCATAGTGGTCTGCTGCACCCATCAACCCATCATCTACCTTATGTATTTGTCCTAATGCTATCCCTCCCCTAGCCCCCCGACTGGCCCCAGTGTGTGACATTCCCCTCCCTGTGTCCATGTGTTCTCATTGTTCAACTCACACTTATGAGAACATGCCGTGTTTGGTTATTTTTTTACTTTTTTTGAGACAGAGTCTCGTTCTGTTGCCCAAGCTGGAGTGCAGCGGTGTGATCTCAGCTCACTGCAACCTCCGCCTCCCGGGTTCAAGCAATTCTCCTGCCTCAGCCTCCCAAGTAGCTGGGATTACAGGCACATGCCACCACACCTGGCTAATTTTTGTATTTTTTGTAGAGACAGGGTTTCAACATAGTGGCCAGGCTGGTCTTGAACTCTTGAACTCAATCAACCCACCCACCTCAGCCTCCCAAAGTGCTGGGATGACAGGCGTGAGCCACCGCGCCCAGCCACCGTGTATTATATTCCTGAAAATCACTAACAGAGTACATTTCAAGGGTTCTCTCACAAAAATGATAAATATGTGAGGTTATGCGAATGTTATTTTGCTCAATTTAGCCATTTCACGATGTATACATATTTCAAAACATCATGCTATACATGGTACATCTGTACAATTATTTGTCAATTAAGTTAAATCATAAATAGGCTGGGCGCAGTGGCTGACACCTGTAATCCCAGCAGTTTGGGAGGCCGACGCAGTGTGTTAGTTTGCTGAGAATGATGGTTTCCAGCTTCATCCATGTCCCTGCAAAGGACATGAACTCATCCTTTTTTATGGCTGCATAGTATTCCATGGTGTGTATGTGCCACATTTTCTTTATCCAGTCTATCATTGATGGACATTTGGGTTGGTGCCAAGTCTCTGCTATTGTGAATAGTGCCGCAATGAACATACGTGTGCCTGTGTCTTTATAGTAGCATGATTTATAGTCCTTTGGGTATATACCCAGTAACGGTGACAAACGTTGCCATTTTAAGTTCCTGCTCCCTTGCTAACCTCATGCATTTCAAGAAAATCTCTTCTAACAACAAGCAGCCAGAAAAAGCAAACTGTAAAACACAAATAAAACAGCTCGGGCACAAAGGGAGGGAGAAGAATTTCTTGCTTAACCACCAAACTTCAAACTCATACAATGGGCCCTAATAAGCACATTCCTTTCCTTTTAGGTGCACTAAAATAGAAAAGCCGAAGGGAAACTTGGGGGTGGGTATGCCTGCAGCTGCAGGAAAAAAACAAATTAAAAAAGGAAAAAAACAAACACAGGCCAGGGGCAGTGACTCACGCCTGTAATCCCAGCACTTTCGGATCACCTGAGGTCAGGAGTTCGAGACCAGCCTGGCCATCATGGAGAAACCCCGTCTCTACTAAAAATACAAAATTAGCCGGGCGTAGTGGCGGGTGCCCGTAATTCCAGCTACTCGGGAGGCTGAGGCAGGAGAATCGCTTGAACCCGGGAGGCGGAGGTTGCAGTAAGCTGAGATCAGGCCACTGCACTCTAGCCTGGGCAACAAGAGCAAAACTCCGTCTCAAAAAATAAATAAATAAATAAATAAATAAATAAATAATACAAAAATTAGCCAGGCGTGGTGGTGCATGCCTGTAATCCCAGCTACTCAGGAGGCTGAGGCAGGAGAATCACTTGAACCCGTGAGGTGGAGGTTGCAGTGAGCCAAGATCGTGCCACTGCACTCCAGCCTGGGCAACAAGAGTGAAACTCCGTCTCCAAAAAAAAAAAAAAAAAAACAAACACACACAAAACTCTCCCTCCCAAATAAGCAAAACAAAAAAACCCACAAAAACATTCCAAGCCTGTAATAAGCTCACCCACCCTAAACCCTTAAGAACTCTTAGGTCTGTTTAAAAAAAACTGCTCCTAACCAAAATTGGCCCAAATCGTCTCTCAGGTTTATTTACCAAAATAAACCTGTCTTTAACTGTTAAGCCGCTTTTCCTATTTCTTTCCTCTTTCTTTAACTCTTACAGCCAGGGGCTGTGGGAGGGGAATGAGGAGGGACTGTTTTTTTGTTGTTGTTGTTTGTTTGATTGCAGAGGGAGTCTCACTCCGTCACCCAGACTGGAGTGCAGTGTCGTGATCTCGGCTCACTGCAAGCTCCTCTTCCCGGGTTCAGACCATTCTCCTGCCTCAGCCTCCCGAGTAGCTGAGATTACAGACGTGCGCCACCACGCCGGGCTGATTTTTGTATTTTTAGTAGAGACGGGGTTTCTCCATGTTGGCCAGGCTGGTCTTGAACTCCTGACCTCAGGTGATCCACAGGCCTCGGCCTCCCAAAGTGCTGGGATGACAGGCGTGAGCCACCGCGCCCGGCCCTGAGAGTGTTTCATGAGGACATAGTTTCAGTTGCGGAAGATAAACAAGCTTGGGAAGTGCAGGGTGGTGAAAACTGCACAATAATGAGAATGTCCTTAATGCTACTGAACTGTACATTTAAAAAAGGTTAAAAACAGGAGTTCAAGAGCAGCCTGGCCAACATGGTGAAAACTCATCTCTACTAAAAATGCAAAAATTAGCCGGGCACGGCAGCACACGCCTGTAGTCCCAGCTACTCAGGAGGCTGAGGCAGGAGAATCACTTGAACCCAGGAGGCGGAGGTTGTAGTGAGCCGAGATCGCGCCACTGCACTCCAGCCTCGGTGACAGAGCCAGACTCCTTCTCAAAAAATAAATAAATAACAGGAAGGGGAATATCACACTCTGGGGACTGTGGTGGGGTGGGGGGAGGGGGGAGGGATAGCATTAGGAGATATACCTAATGTTAAATGACGAGTTAATGGGTGCAGCACACCAGCATGGCACATGTATACATATGTAACTAACCTGCACAATGTGCACATGTACCCTAAAACTTAAAGTATAATAAAGAAAAAAAAAATTAAAAAAAATAAATAAAAAATAAATAAAAAATAAATTACCTTAGGGAAAACTGAAAAATAAATAAATAAATAAATAAATGGCCGGGCACAGTGGCTGATGCCTGTAATCCCAGTACTTTGGCAGGCCAAGATGGGCGGATCACAAGGTCAGGAGATCGAGACCATCCTGGCCAACATGGTGAAACCCCATCTGTGCCTCTGGTCCCAGCTACTCAGGAGGCTGAGGCAGGAGAGTCACTTGAACTCAGGAGGCGGAGGTTGTAGTGAGCAGAGATTACGCCACTGCACTCCAGCCTGGGTGACAGAGCGAGACTCCTTCTCAAAATAAATAAATAAGTAACTAAAAATGGTTAAACAGGTAAATTTTTTTTTTTTTTTTTGGAGCTGGAGTCTCACTCTGTTGCCCAGGCTGGAGTGCAGGGGCGTGATCTCGGCTCACTGCAAGCTCCGCCTCCCGGGTTCAAGCGATTCTCCTGCCTCAGCCTCCCGAGTAGCTGGGACTACAGGCGTCCGCCACCATGCCCAGCTAATTTTTTGTATTTTTAGTAGAGACGGGGTTTCACCGCGTTAGCCAGGATGGTCTCGATCTCCTGACCTCGTGATCCACCCGCCTTGGCCTCCCAAAGTACTGGGATTACAGGCGTGAGCCACCGCGCCCAGCCAAAACAGGTAAATTTTAGGTTACGTATACCTTACCCCCGTAAGAAACTCATTCAAGAATTTCAAAAAATTCAGAACTAAGCACTCTGTACCACCTCCTTTGTTAACTCCATGTCACTATCTCCTGACCCGCATTCCTGCAACCATCTCCTATCCTACCGGCTTACACAGTTGTTCCCCACAATTTACTTTCCCCCCTCCCCTCCCCCCGAGACAGAGTCTCACTCTGTCACTCGGGCTGGAGTGCAGTGGCACCATCTCGGCTCACTGCAACCTCCGCCTGTTGGGTTCAAGCAATTCTTCTGCCTCAGCCTCCCGAGTAGCTGAAATTACAGGTGCGCACCACCTCACCTCACCTGGCTAATTTTTGTATTTTTAGTAGAGACGGGGTGTCACCATGTTGGCCAGGCTGGTCTCGAACTCCAAACCTCAGGTGATCTGCCTGCCTCAGCCTCCCACAGTGCTGGGATTACAGGTGCGCACCACCACACCTGGCTAATTTTTGTATTTTTAGTAAAGATGGGGTTTCACCTTGTTGGCCAGGATGGTCTCGAACTCCCGACCTCAAGTGATCCGCCCGCCTCGGCCTCCCAGAGTGCTGGGATCACAGGCGTGAGCCACCGCACCTGGCTTATAATTTACTCTTGACACCGCTGTAAAGGGATCTTTTAAAAACCTTAGTGAAACGCATGTGAGTGCCCTACTCAAAAATCTACAATCTGTCCATCGAGAGAAGAGTGAAGTAACAAAATATAATTCATTCACATACGACTTCGAGTAACTCTATGTACCTCCCAAAGTCCTCATCTTCAAATATCATCACATTGGATGTTACGGCTCCACAAACGAATTTGGGGAGCAGTACAATTCAGTCCATTCAACGGTGTCTCCTCAAAAAGATATGAGTATGGCTTAACCCCCTAGAACCTGAGAATGGGACCGCGTTTGGTATAAGACTCTTTGCAGAAGTAATCTAGTTAAGGAGTTAGGGATGAGAACATCATGGATTAGGGTGAGCCCCAAGTCCACTATTTGTGTCTTTTTTTAAGACACGGAGTTTCACTCTTGTCCCCCAGTTGGGGTGCAGTGGCACGATCTCGGCTTACTGCAACCTGGCCTCCTGGGTTCAAGCAATTCTCCTGCCTCAGCCTCCCAAGTAGCTGGGACTACAGGCACCTGCCACCATGCCCAGCTAATGTTTGTGTTTTTAGTAAAGACAGAGATTCACCACATTGGCCAGGCTGGTCTCGAATGCCCGACCTCAAGTGATTCACCTGCCTCAGCCTCCCAAGGTGCCACCGCACCTGGGTTTTTTTTTTTTTTTTTTTGAGATGGAGTCTCTCTCTGTCACCAGGCTGGGGTGCAATGGCACGATCTTGGCTCACTGCATCCTCTGCCTCCTGGGTTCAAGTGATTCTCCTGCCTCAGCCTCCTGAGTAGCTGGGATTACAGGTGCCCATCACCACGCCTGACTAATTTTTGTACTATTAGTAGAGAGAGATTCACCATTTGGCCAGGCTGGTCTCGAACTCCTGACCTCGTGATCTGCCTGCCTCGGCCTCCCAAACTGCTGGGATTACAGGCATAAGCCACCATGTCCAGCCTTTTTTTTTTTTTTTTTTAAGAGATAGAGTTTCCCTCTTGTCGCCTACCTGGAGTGCAGTGGTGTGATCTCGGCTCACTGCAACCTGGCCTCCAAAGTTCAAGCAATTCTCTTGCCTCAGCCTCCCGAGTAGCTGGGACTACAGGCACCCACCACCATGCCCGGCTAATTTTTGTATTTTTAGTAGAGACAAGGTTTCTCCATGTTTGCCTGGCTGGTCTCGAACTCCTGCCCTTGGGTGATCTGCCTACCTCGGACTCTTAAAGTGCTGGGATTCCAGGCATGAGCCTATAAAGAGCTGGGATTACAGGCAGCTGATTGTACCTGTATCACTTAGATTTTAACTAGGAAAGCAAAGTCTGTTCAGTGCTTGTCTGAGTATATATTAATACATCTAGAATTCCATGCATTGCCTAAGTCTTTATCATCAAAGAAAATAGCTGTCCAAGAGCAGAAACCACTGATGAATTTGTGAGATGCTTTAGGAATATTTTGCCCAGCTGGCATTCACAGGAGGAGGCAATAGCTTCTTCCGGAGAACACCCGACCAAAACAATCACATTCTTTCTGATTTGTTTAGCTCTGATGTTGTTCAAAACTAGAGCAGATTTTCAGGCAAGACTGAAGTGGAGATAATAAGTCCTCCTTTGTGGGCTGGTGGTCCCTGCTGTCCCAGGAGAAGAGTTAAATCCACTCTTGGGAAGTGCCAAGAAAGCTTCGTGTTTTTTTATTTTTATTTTATTATTATTATACTTTAAGTTTTAGGGTACATGTGCACAATGTGCAGGTTAGTTACATATGTATGCAAGTGCCATGTTGGTGTGCTGCACCCATTAACTCGTCATTTAGCATTAGGTATATCTCCTAATGCTATCCCTCCCCCCTCCCCCCACCCCACAACAGTACCCAGTGTGTGATGCTCCCCACCCTGTGTCCATATGATCTCATGGTTCAATTCCCACCTATGAGTGAGAACATGCGGTGTCTGGTTTTTTGTCCTTGCGATAGTTTGCTGAGAATGATGGTTTCCAGCTTCATCCATGTCCCTACAAAGGACATGAACTCATCATTTTTTATGACTGCATAGTATTCCATGGTGTATATGTGCCACATTTTCTTAATCCAGTCCATGATTGTTGGACATTCGTGTTCTATGCTGCTCTGAATAGTTCCACCGTTAAATAAAAGAGGCAGGGAAAATACACTCCCTCGAGTTTTTTGTAAACCCCAAAATCCCTGGAGAAATAACACACCCCAAGAATAATTCTAAAAATTGGCACGTGCCATGGTGTTACTGTAGCGGAAATCTCAAATGCTCAAAAACAAAGTGGACAATGAAAGAAGGTAATTATGTGGAAATAGAGCCCAGACAAAGAATGCAATACTGTCCCAGAATAAACCGTCACCCATGACTCACACCGGGCGTTCAAGATGTCCACAGACGTGTGGGAAAATGAAACCCAGCCGTCTGCCTTCTCTTCTTTCTTTGAAATCTCTCATCCATCAGCAGCTCTGTTGGGCCATCCCTCCCAAGGCAGGCACCTTTTATCTGAGTGAACTCTCTGGGGCTTTTGCTAGACAAGGGATCAACAGGGCTTTGTCCTCATTCAGAAATGATGAATGTGGCTTTCAGGATTCCTTGGAAAGTAGCAAAAGTGTCAATAGGACTACCTCAAATTAGGCATGATACATGATGCTGTATAGCTTGATTCAAGTTTGCATCAATGACAGGGACACATTATAGATACATCTACAGTACCAGCCCAAAATGAAACAGTCACCGAATACCCTACATAGCTCTGTGATGGGCTAAGACCTGAGACAGACTAGAAAAAGCAGACTGTGAACATACTCTGAGGGAAAAACTACTACAGAAACCTCCTCTCTCTAGTACCTTCCTGGGGCCACTGTAATAATTTAACAAAACTAGAGGCTTAAGACCAGGCGTGGTGGCTCACGCCTGTAATCCCAGCACTTTGGGAGGCTGAGGCGGGTGGATCACAAGGTCAGGAGATCGAGACCATCCTGGCCAACATGGTGAAATCCCGTCTTTACTAAAAATACAAAAATTAGCCGGGCATGGCTAATTTTTTATCTGAGTTCACTCAGATAAAAGGTGCCTGCCTTGGGAGGGATGGCCCAACAGAGCTGCTGATGGATGAGAGATTTCAAAGAAAGAAGAGAAGGCAGACGGCTGGGTTTCATTTTCCCACACGTCTGTGGACATCTTGAACGCCCGGTGTGAGTCATGGGTGACGGTTTATTCTGGGACAGTATTGCATTCTTTGTCTGGGCTCTATTTCCACATAATTACCTTCTTTCATTGTCCACTTTGTTTTTGAGCATTTGAGATTTCCTCTACAGTAACACCATGGCACGTGCCAATTTTTAGAATTATTCTTGGGGTGTGTTATTTCTCCAGGGATTTTGGGGTTTACAAAAAACTCGAGGGAGTGTATTTTCCCTGCCTCTTTTATTTAACGGTGGAACTATTCATAGCAGCATAGACACATAGTAGCTGTAGTCCCAGCTACTGGGGAGGCTGAGGCAGGAGAGTAGCTTGAGCTAGGGAGGCGGAGGTTGCAGTGAGCCGAGATCGGGCCACTGCACTCCAGCCTGGCCACAGAGTGAGACTCTGTCTCAACAACAACAACAAAAAAACTGGAGGCTTAAAACAGTAAGAATTTCTCTCCTCCCAGTTCTGGAGGCAGAAATCTGAGATCAAGGTGTGAGCAGGACCATGCTTCCTCCGGAGGCTCTAGGGGAGGCCCCTTCCTGCCTCTCCCAGCTCCTGGGGACTCCAGGCATCCCTGGGCTTGTGGCCGCATCACTCTACTCTCTGCCTCCATCTCCACGTGGCCTTCTCCTCTGTGTCTGAGTCTCCTTTTCTGTCTCTTACAAAGACACCTGTCATTGTATTTAGGTATATCTGCAAATGCTAAGGTCCCCTTCACAGGCTCTAGAGAGATTAGGACGTGGACATGTATTTTAGGAGAAAATAATTAATCTCATTACACCTTCTAATCATCATATTTTACCCACAGAATTGGCTGATAAATTAAAGGTGTCTTACAGTGTCTACAGCAGCAAAAAACTGTCTGTATATAAGATGGACAAGAATCCCTCCAACACCCCAGAGCAGAAATTAATCTGAGAAATACACCTGCAACTTAATTCAAATATTCATAGAATTCATAAGTTCCTGATTAGGTGAAATCTCTCTTCAAGCTGGTATGTCAAGATATTTATTTTTAATAAATCTCCAAACCCATATCAGAGGTAACAAATTTCCCTTTCCAAATAATACACTTCAGCATCTCCATATATAAATAACATTCGTTATTCAGGAGCATGAAAATAGCAGCAGGGATGAAATAATTCAAACTGGAACATCAAAAGAGAAGAAAATGAAAAACACAGGTTTCAAAGTTTAGAAACTGAAAAAAAAAAAAAAATGAATTGATATATTCCAACCAGAAAAGAAATCGAGAAGGAAGACACATCTGATGATGAGTGTCCACCATCTCTTGAAGTGAACATCAGAATAGCAGAAACTATGCAGCTGCGTGTGAAGCTTATGAGAGGATCAGGTGAGAAGAAGACAAGCCTCCACCCCCACTGGCTGCCTGACAGGGGGTGGGAGGGCAGCCTCTTTGACTATCTAACCCTTCCCTGGATGATACGTGAACTGGGAATTGGCTATAGAGATGGATGCCTGACATTCATTGTCATATGTAGAAAGCTGAAACTGGATCCCTTCCTTACACCTTATACAAAAATTAAGTCAAGATGGATTAAAGACTTAAATGTAAGACCTAAAACCATAAAAACCCTAGAAGAAAATCTAGGCAATACCATTCAGGACATAGGCATGGGCAAAGATTTCATGTCTAAAACACCAAAAGCAATGGCAACAAAAGCCAAAATTGACAAATGGGATCTAGTTAAACTAAAGAGCTCCTGCACAGCAAAAGAAACCATGATCAAAGTGAACAGGCAACCTACAGAATGGGAGAAAAATTTTATAATCTATCCATCTGACCAAGGGCTAATATCCAGAATCTACAAATAACGTAAACAGATTAACAAGAAAAAAACAACCCCATCAAAAAATGGGTAAAGGATATGAACAGACACTTCTCAAAAGAAGACATTTATGCAGCCAACAAACATATGAAAAAAAGCTCCTCCTCACTGTTCACTAGAGAAATGCAAATCAAAACCACAATGAGATACCATCTCACACCAGTTAGAATGGGAATGGCGATCATTAAAAAGTCAGGAAACAACAGATGCTGGAGAGAATTGGAGAAATAGGAATGCTTTTACACTGTGGGTGAGAGAGTAAATTAGTTCAACCATTGTGGAAGACAGTGTGGTGATTTCTCAAGGATCTGGAACCAGAAATACCATTTGACCCCGCAATCCTATTACTGGGTATATACACAAAGGATTATAAATCATACTATAAAGACACATGCACACATATGTTTATTGCTGCACTGTTCACAATAGCAAAGACTTGGAACCAACCCAAATGCCCATAAATGATAGACTGGATAAAGAAAATGTGGCACATAGACACTATGGAATACTATGCAGCCAGAAAAAAGAATAAGCTCATGTCCTTTGCAGGGACATGAACGAAGCTGGAAACCATCATTCTCAGCGAACTAACACAAGAACAGAAAACCAAACACTGCATGTTCTCACTCATAAGTGGGAGTTGAACAATGAGAACACATGGACACAGGGAGGGGAACATCACACACCGGGGCCTGTCAGGGGCTGGGGGTTAGGGAAGGGACAGCTTTAGGACAAATACGTAATGTAGATGACGGGTCAATGGGTGCAGCAAATCACCATGGCACGTGTATACCTATGTAACAAACCTGCACGTTCTGCACATGTACCCCAGGACTTAAAGTACAATGAAAGAAAGAGAGAGAGAAAGAGAGAAAGAGAGAAAGAAAGAGAGAAAGAGAGAGAGAGAAAGAGAAAGAGGAAGAGAGAGAGAAAGAGAGAAAGAAAGAGAAAGAGAGAGAGAGAAAAAGAGGAAGAGAGAGAGAAAGAGAAAGAGAGAGAGAAAGAGAGAAAGAGAGAGAGAAAGAGAAACAGAGAAAGAGAAACAGAGAAAGAGAAACAGAGAAAGAGAAACAGAGAAAGAGAAACAGAGAAAGAGAAACAGAGAGAAAGAGAAAGAGAAACAGAGAGAAAGAGAAAGAGAAACAGAGAGAAAGAGAAACAGAGAGAAAGAGAAAGAGAAACAGAGAGAAAGAGAAAGAGAAACAGAGAGAAAGGGGGAGGGGGAGAGGGAGGGAGAGGGAGGGAGAGGGAGAGAGAGGGAGAGAAAGAGAGAAAGAGAGAGGAGAGAAAGAGAGAGAGAAAGAGAGAGAGAGAGAGAAAGAGAGAAAGAGAGAGAGAAAGAGAGAAAGAGAGAGAGAGAGAAAGAGAAAGAAAAGAGAGAAAAAGAGAAAGAGAGAGAGAGAGAAAGAGAAAGAGAGAAAGAGAGAAAGAGAGAGAAAGAGAGAGAAAGAGAGAGAGAAAGAGAGAGAGAAAGAGAAAGAGAGAGAAAGAGAGAAAGAGAGAGAGGGAGAGAGAGAGAGGGAGAGAAAGAGAGAAAGAGAGGAGAGAAAGAGAGAGGAGAGAGAAAGAGGAGAGAGAGAGACAAAGAGAGAGACAGAGAGACAGAGAGACAGAGAGACAAAGAGAGACAAAGAGAAAGAGAGAGAAAGAGAAAGAGAGAGAGAAAGAGAAAGAAAAAGAGAGAAAGAGAAAGAGAGCAAGAGAAAGAGAGAAAGAGAAAGAGAGAGAAAGAGAGAAAGAAAGCTAGCTTCAATTGGAAAAAAAAAGGATATACCAATTATTATTTTTTTTTCTTCCAGCTCCTAAACGTTGAAACCTGAATCTTTCATGTTCTCCTCTTTTGGTGTCTCTGTTTGAATTAATTCCATCTGTGCTGCTATTTTCCCTCTCCTGAGTAAGGAAAGTTATTTCCATATTGAAATGCTGAAGCGTATTATTTGGAAACTCCTAGGTTTGCTGACTTTCTAGAAGCATTCGCAGAAGACAGCGTGTAGTCACACTCACAGCTACGATTTATTTATTTATTTATTATTTATTTATTTATGTATTTATTTAGAGACGGAGTCTCGCTCTGTCCTCCAGGCTGGAGTGCAGGGTGTGATCTCAGCTCACTGCACACTCCACCTCCCGGGTTCACACCATTCTCCTGCCTCAGCCTCCCGAGTAGCTGGGACTACAGGCACCTGCCACTATGCCTGGCTAATTTTTTTGTATTTTTAGTAGAGATGGGGTTTCACCCTATTAGCCAGGATGGTCTCGATCTCCTGACCTCGTGATCCGCCCGCCTCGGCCTCCCAAAGTGCTGGGATGACAGGCGTGAGCCACCGCGCCCGGCCAGCTATGATTTATTATAGCCAAAGCACACAGAACAAAATGAACAAAGGGAAGATGCACATTGAGAAAAGTTTGGGAAAAGCAAGGGTCAAGCTTCAGAGTCTCCAAGTGGAATCACACACGATATACCCAGTTCTCCGAGCAACAGGTCCTGATCACACATGTCAGTCAAATGCTGTCGACCACAGAAACTCATTGGAGACTCAGCCTAATTGGGGGCTGTTTACTAGGGGCTGGTCCCATAGGCAACCACCCCCAAGTACCTCCCCAAATTCCAGGGTCCCACCCAGAAGGAAAGCAGGTGTTTGGCATAAATCACATTATGAAGAGGCTTTACACAGTGAGGCACCCTTGTCATTTAGGATGGTGAAACTTCTACACGCAAGTTCCCAGACGCCAGCCAGGAGCCAAAGTACCATGCTACCTTATCTAAAGAGAGCAGGATTTTTTTGTTGTTTGTTTGTTTGTTGTTTTTTTGAGACGGAATCTCGCTCTGTCACCAAGCTGGAGTGCAGTGGCACGATCTCAGCTCACTGCAGTCTCCGCCTCCCAGGTTCGAATGATTCTCCTGCCTCGGCCTCCCGAGTAGCTGGGATGACAGGCGCGCACGAGCACGCCTGGCTAATTTTTGCATTTTTAGTAGTGGTGGGGTTTCACCACGTTGGCCAGACTGGTCTCGATCTCTTGACTTCGTGATCCGCCCGCCTCGGCCTCCCAAAGTGCTGGGATTACAGGCGTGAGCCACGAGCCTGGTCTAAAGAGAACAGTTTTCTATATTAATTATTTCTTTATTTTTTGAGACAAGACTGATCAAAGAGACCCTTTCTACCAATAAGATACCAAATTCCCACCTAATTCTGGTATGGCATCAAAGGACAGATAGCAGGCCCTGAAGGAATCAGCATATTTTTCTGCAAAATATATTGTCTTTCACTTATCTTGGCACATCTCCGCAAAGCCATCTCTTGTGGGGGAAATTTGCATTCTGTAAAGAATCCCTATACAAAAATCAGCCGGGCGCGGTGGCAGGTGCCTGTAATCCCAGCTACCTGGGAGGCTGAGGCAGGAGAATCTCTTGAACCCCGGTGGCAGAGGTTGCAGTGAGCCGAGATCCAGCCACTACACTCCAGCCTGGGCGACAGAGTCACACTCCATCTCAAAAAAAAAAAAAGGAAAGAAGGGAAAGATTCCCTGTATTAGTCTGTTCTGATTCTGCTAATAAAGACATGGCTGAGACTGGGTCATTTATAAAGGAAAGAGCTTTAACGGACTCACCATTTCACATGGCTGCAGGAGGCCTCACAATCATGGTGGAAGATGAACACAGAGCAAAGGGACGTCTCCCGTGGTGGCAGGCAAGACGCGGTTTGGTTAGGGAAACTCCCCTTTATAAAACCACAAGATCTCGGGAGACTTAGTCACTCATTAGAACAGCATGGAAAAAACCTGCACCATGATTCAATTACCTCCCACCACGTCCCTCCCAAGACATGTAGGAATTATGGGAGCTATAATTCAGGGTAAGATTTGTGTGGGGACACAGCCAAACCATATCAATCCTCTTCTCTCATCACGTCTTCCCTGGAGAGTCCGACAGCTTTTAACCTCTGATGTGAGACATTTACCCCAGCCTGGCCAACATGGTGAAACCCCATCTCTACTAAAAATACAAAAATTAGCCCGGCTGGGTGGCAGGTGCCTGTAATTCCAGCTACTTGGGAGGCTGAGGCAGGAGAATTGCTTGAACCTGGGAGGCGGAGGTTGCAGAGAGTGGAGATTGTGCCACTGCACTCCAGCCTGGTGATAGAGCGAGACTCTGTCTCAAAACAAGAACAAAACAAAACAGAGAGACATTTACCATCCATTCTTTCTAAGCCTGCTACCTGCTGGCTTCATCTACATCACAAAAACCTTGTCTTCCACAACCCCCATCATGTAAACTGAGGCATTTCTTTCTGCTAAATTGAACGGCATATCAGAAAATCCTTGAATCCACATATGACCCCGAGGCGCCCACGTAGAGATGTCCTACCTTTCTGGCCCAAACCAATGTACGCCTTCCATGTATGGATGTATGTGTTTGTTGCAACGTCTGTCTCCCTAAAATGTGTAAAATCAAGCTGTAACCCAACCACCTTGGGCAATTCTCCAAACCTCCTGAGGCCGTGTCACGGGCCACGGTCCTTAACCTTGGCACAATAAATGTCCATATTGATGAGATCTGTCTCACATAGTTTTTGATTTACAGTTTGCAGATGGCTGCCTTCTCCCTATATCTTGATAGGATTATCCCTCTGTGTGTGTCTGTGTCCCAATATCTTTTTTTTTTTTTTTGAGACAGAGTTTTCACTCTTGTTGCCCAGGCTGGAGTGCAGTGGCACGATCTCAGCTCACTGCAACCTCTGCCTCCCGGGTTCGAGCAATTCTCCTGCCTCAGCCTCTCGAGTAGCTGGGGTTACAGGCATGCACCACCATGCCGGACAAATTTTTGTATTTTTAGTAGAGACGGGGTTTCACCATGTTGGCCAGGATGGTCTCAATCTCTTGACCTCGTGATCCACCCACCTCGGCCTCCCAAAGTGCTGGAATTACATGCGTGAGCCACCGCGCCCGGCCGTTTTTTTTTTTTTTTCGAGACAGAATCTCGCTCTGTTGCTCAGGCTGAAGTGCAATGGCACAATCTCGGCTCACTGCAACCTCCGCCTCCCCGGTTCAAGCAGTTCACCTGCCTCAGCCTTCTGAGTAGCTGGGATTACAGGCACCTGCCACCATGCCAGGCTAATTTTTGTATTTTTAGTAGAGACAGGGTTTTGCCATGTTGGCAAGGCTGGTCTTGAACTCCTGACCTCAGGTGATCCACCCACCTCGGCCTCTCAAAGTGCTGGGATTATAGGCGTGAGCCACCGTCTCCATTCCCAATGTCCTCTTACAAGAACGTCAGTCTTACTGGATCAGGGTCCACCTTAGTAACCTCATTTTACTTTAATAACCTCATTTTACCTTAATAACCTCATTTTACCTTAATTACCTCTTTACATACCCTACCTCCAAATACAGCCACATTCTGAGGCCCTGGGGTTAGGGCTTCAACCTAGGAATTTTAGAGGGGACACAGTTTAGCCCATAAAAAAAGGATCGGCCGGGCACGATGGCTCACGCCTGTAATCCCAGCACTTTGGGAAGCTGAGACGCGCAGATCACGAGGTCAGGAGTTCGAGACCAGCCGGACCAACATGGGGAAACCCCATCTTTACTGAAAATACAAAAAGTTAGCCAGGCATGGTGGTGGGCACCTGTAGTCCCAGCTGCTCAGGAGGCTGAGGCAGGAGAATCAGTTGAACCCGGGAGGCAGAGATTGCAGTAAGCCGAGATCGTGCCATTGAACTCCAGCCTGGGAGGCAGAGTGAGACTCCATCTCAAAAAAAAAAAAAAAAAAAAGAGGCTCACTCTTCTTTATCATTGAGTCGCCTGAATCAGTGAGCAATCCCTGGTCACACCCTTTGGAACTCACCCACAGACTCCTGAGCTGGATTCTCCTGGGCAGGCCTGGGACTCTGCATTGGAACATCTCTCTCTCTAGAGGGTGATTCTCCTGGAGTTAACCCAGCCCCAGCCTGAGGACCACTGCTCTAGAATCTTGCACCCTCCACCCACAGGGGCAAGACTGACACTCAGGGCCCACAGGTTCTGATATCTTCCCGGACTTTCACCCACAGTGCAGAAAAACGCTGAGTGCCAAGGCTCACTGCTACCACGGCACCTGCCGTGATTGGCGCTGATGCTTAGAGACGAGGATATGCTTCTCCTCGTCCTTTTGTGTGCTGGGTCGGGGGTACAGAGGCAGTTGGAAGCTCCTGGCCTCCCACTGGAGGGAAACTCCGATGATTCCACCCTGTCCTTCTTCCCTGAGTCCTCCCGTCCCCTCCCGGAATCCAGGCACCCACAGGTCATCTGTGACTCTCTCAGTCACCCCGCAAACCCACGAGGACCCCTTATTCTCTCTCCTTCGGTGGTGTATCAGACAGGGAAACAGAACCAATAAGATGGAGAAAATCAATAGGAGGTAGATATGATTTTTTTTTTTTTTTTTTGAGATGGAGTCTCACTCTGTGGCCCAGGCTGGAGTGCAGTGGTGCGATCTCGGCTCACTGCAGCCTCCGCCTCCCACGTTCAAATGATTCTCCCGCCTCAGCCTCCCGAGTAGCTGGGACTACAGGTGCCAACCACCATGCCCGACTAATGTTTCTTTTTATTTTTAATAGAGACAGGGTTTCACCATGTTGGCCAGGCTGGTCTCGAACTCCTGACCTCGTGATCCACCCTCCTTGGCCTCCCAAAGTGCTGGGATGACAGGTGTGAGCCACTGCGCCCAGCCTGGAGGTAGATGTTTTATACATACTTATGGACAGACATGTAAACACACATGTAGATAGGTTACAGAGAGATTTTAAGAAATTGGCTACTGGTTTTATACATATAGATATTACATATATATATATATATATATATATATACACACACACACATACACATGCAAAGAGAAATGTTAAGGAATTGTCTATATAGAAGGAATTGTCTATATAGGAAATACATATTGGCTTTAATCACACTTATATAGACACAGGTAGATAGATAGATAGATAATATATATAGAGAGAGAGAGACAAAGAGATTTTAAGGAATTGTCTGTGTAGGAGGTATATGTTGGTTTTTTACATACATATAGATATATAATGTCTATGTAGCTATTTATCTATATATAAATATACACAAAGACAGAGATGTTAAGAAATTCTCAATATTAGGATGTACATATTGGCTTTATCCATACATATCTATATAGAGATATATAATAGCTACATATCTATATGTAGGCCTGGCACGGTGGCTTACGCCTGTCATCCCAGCACTTTGGGAGGCCGAGGCGGGCAGATCACCTGAGGTCAGGAGTTTGAGACCAGCCTGGCCAACACGGTGAAACCCCGTCTCTACTAAAAATACAAAAAATTAGCTGGGCATGGTAGTGGGCACCTGTAGTACCAGCTACTCAGGAGGCAGAGGTGGGAGAATTGCTTGAACCCGGGAGGTGGAGGTTGCAGTGAGCCAAGATCACACCATTGCACTCCAGCCTGGGCAACAGAGCAAGACTCCGTCTCAAAAAAAAAAAAAAGAGGCGGGTGGGGGAGAGAGAGAGAGAGGCAAAGAGATTTTAAGGAATTTCTATGTAGGAGGTATATGTTGGTTTTTTACATGCATATATATATATATATATATACAATATATGTCTATATATACAATATATATCTATATATACTATATATCTATATATATATACAATATATATCTATATAGATACAATATATATCTATATATAAATATACACAGACAGAGACTATCTATACATCTATATATAAAATACACAGAGAGAGAGAGATGTTAAGGAATTATCAGTATAGGAGGTACATATTGGCTTTGTCCATACATATCAATATATAGATATATAATAGCTATATATCTCTATCTAGGCCGAGTACGGTGGCTCACGCCTGTAATCTCAGCACTTTGGGAGGCCGAGACGGGCAGATTACCTAAGGTCAGGAGTTCGAGTCCAGCCTGGCCAACATGGTGAAACCCCGTGTCTAGTAAAAATGCAAAAAATTAGCCAGGCGTGGTGGTGGGCACCTGTAACCCCAGCTACTTGGGAGACTGAGGCAGGAGCATCGCTTGAACCCGGGAGGTGAAGGTTGCAGTGAGCCAAGAACACACCATTGCACTCCAGCCTGGGTGACAGAGCAAGACTCGGTCTCAAAAAAGAGACAGAGAGAGAGGCAAAGAGATTTTAAGGAATTGTCTATGTAGGAGGTATATGTTGGTTTTTACATACATATAGATATATAATGTCTATATATCTATATATAGGTATACACAGAGAGAGAGATGTTAAGGAATTGTCAATATAGAAGGTACCTATTGGCTTTATCCATACAGATCTATATATAGATATATCTATATATATACATACAGAGAGAAAGGAAAGATTTTAAGGATTTGTATACATAATAGGTACATATTGGCTTTATTCATGCATAGCTATATGTAGACATATAATATCTCTATATCTATGTCTATATAAATCTATATACACAGAGAGCGACTTTAAGAAATTAACTATGAAGGAAGTATATGTTGGTTTTATACATACATATAGATATTTGAAGGAGAGACATTTTAAGGAATTGGCTACGTAGGAAGTATATATTGGTTTTATACAGACATCTATAGGTCTTGAGAGAAAGGGAAAGAAATTTGAAGGAATTGTCTAAGTAGGAGGTATATGTTGGTTTCATATATACATGTATTGATATTTGAGAGAGATTTTAAGAAATTGGCTAAGGCCGGGCGTGGTGGCTCACGCCTGTAATCCCAGCACTTTGGGAGGCTGAGGCGGGCGGATCACGAGGTCAGGAGTTTGAGACCAGCCTGGCCAACATGGTGAAACCCTTTCTCTACTAAAAATACAAAAATCAGCCAGATGTGGTGGTGGGCACCTGTAATTCCAGCTACTCGGGAGGCTGAAGCACGAGAATTGCGTGAACCTGGGAGATGGAGGTTGCTGTGAGCCGAGATCGTGCCACTGCACTCCAGCCTGGGCAACAGAGCAAGACTCTGTCTCAAAAAAAAAAAAAAAGAAAGAAATTGGCTAAGTAGGAGGTTTATGTTGATTTTATGCATGCATATATAGATATTTGAGCGAGAGATTTTAAGGAATTGTCTAAGTAGGAGGCATATGTTGGTTTTACACATACATATATAAATATCTAAGAGAGATTTTTAAGGGATTGGCCATGTAGGAGGTATAGCCATGTAGGAGGTATATGTTGGTTATATGCATGCATATAGATATTTGAGAGAGATTTTAAGGAATTGGCTATGAAGGCGGTGTATGTTGGTTTTACGCATGCATATAGATATTTGAGAGAGAGAGATTTTAAGGAATTGGCTATGAAGGCGTTATATGTTGGTTTTATGCATGTGTATACAGATACCTAAGAAAGGAAGATTTTAAGGAATTGGCTCAATGATTCTGGAGGGGAAACACTAAATTCTTCAGGTAGACCAGCAGGCTGCAGAACTCAGGAAGAGTTAATGCTGCAGCTGGAACCCGAATCCCGGGAGGCAGAATCCTTTTGTCCTTGGAAAACATTGGTCTTTGCACTTAAGACCTTCAACTGATGGGACGAGGCCCACCCTCATCGTGCGTGGTCCCTGGCTTCATTCAGACTCTGAACAAAATGTTCATCTCATCTGAAAGATACCTTCACAGCACCATGTAGCCCAGTATCTGACCACATACCAGGTACTGTGGATACAAAATTCACCATTTCAGGCAGTTCACGCTTCAAGACAGCTTGTGTGGATGGTGCCTCACCACCGCCTCCTGGTGTTCATTGAGAATATTACACCCAGGAATGCACCTCTCCCCTTCATACCTTTATGAGTTTTGTTTTTTGTTTTTGTTTGTTTTTGTTGTTGTTTTGGTTTTTTGTTTGTTTGTTTTCTGAGAAGGAGTCTCGCTCTGTCCCCCAGGCTGGAGTGCAGTGGTGAGATCTCAGCTCACTGCAACCTCCGCCTCCCAGGTTCAAGAGATTCTCCTGCCTCAGCCTCCTGAGTAGCTGGGATTACAGGCGCGCACCACTACGCCCAGATAATTTTTGCATTTTTAGTAGAGACAGGGTTTCATCAGGTTAGCCAGGCTGGTCTCGAACTCCTGACCTCGTGATCTGCCTGCCTCAGCCTCCCAAAGTGCTGGGATTACAGGCGTGAACCACCATGCCCGACCCTTTTCATATCTTTTCAAAGCATTTGCAAGTCCCCAGACGAGCTGAATCTCATCTCAGCCTGAGCTCAAACCCTGGAATGGAGATTGTGAATTCCCTTTGGACACAAAGTGAGGGGAGAGGTAAGGCAATTCTGCGGTAGGCAGCATTCTACTAAGAAGTATTCTTATGAAAGGCCAGGCGTGGTGCCTCACGCCTGTAATCCCAGCACTTTGGGAGGCTGAGGTGGGCGGATTACTTGAGGTCAGGAGTTTGAGACCAGCCTGGCCAACATGGCGAAACCCTGTCTCTACTAAAAATACAAGAAATAAGCTGGGCGTGGTGGTGCACGCCTGTAACCCCAGCTACTCAGGAGGCTGAGGCAGGAGAATCACTTGAACCCGGGAGGCAGAGGTTGCAGTGAGCTGAGATGGTGCCATTGCACTCCAGCCTGGGCGACAGAGCGAGACGCCATCTCACACACACACACACACACAGACACACACACAGACACACACACACACACACTGGGCGACAGAGAGAGACTCCATCACACACACACAGACACAAAAGAATTGTTTTTATGAAAGTTAAGACTCAGGGCCAGCATGGTGGCTCACACCCGTAATCTCAGCACTTTGGGAGGCCAAGGTGGGAGGCTCACTTGAAGTCCAGAAGTTTGAGACCAGCCTGAGCAACATACTGACATCCTGTCTATAAAGAAATGATTTTATTTATTTTATTGAAATTTCATTTCAGACAGGGTCTCAGTCTGTCACCCAGGCTGCAATGCCACGATCTTGGCTCAATGCAGCCTCGATGTCCCGGACTCAGGAGATCCTCCCACCTCGGCCTCCCAAAGTGCTGGGATTACAGGAATGAGCCACTGCACCCAGCCAAAAAAATTTTAAAAACACCTAGCCAAGCATGGTGGCACAGGCCTATAATCCTAGCTACTCACATGGCTGAGGCAGGAGGATTGCCTGAGCCCAGGAGTTTGAGACTGCAGTCAGCTAGGATTACACTACTACACTCCAGCCGGGGCAACAGAGCAAGATCCTGTGTCTAAAATAAATAAATGAATAAAAGTTAGACATCAGTGCTTGCAAGAAATTTAGCGTCTTCATTCATTCATTGATTTTCCCACAGTTATCAAATGTCTCCTCTGAGCTAGGGTCCACTCTAACGGGGCCCGATACAGTAACAACCAGTGTTCACAGAAATAGCAAGCTCTCAGCTTCCTTCTCTCCTGCCTCTTAATTTCAAAATCTCTTGCTCACACACATCGGTGTCACACGCGTCCGTGTGAAGAGAGTCCGGGCTGAGTCCATAAAAAAGAGTCAGCAAAGGGTGGCGGGATTATCATTAGTTCTTATAGGTTTGGGATAGGCAGTGGAGTTAGGAGCAATTTTTTCTAGGCAGGGAGTGGATGCCACAAAGGACATTCTCAACGGTGGGGAGAATATTACAAAGTACCTTCTTTTTTTTTTTTGAGATGGAGTCTCGCTCTGTCGCCCAGGCCGGACCGCAGTGGCGCGATCTCGGCTCACTGCAACCTCCACCACCCGGGTTCACGCCATTCTCCTGCCTCAGCCTCCCGAGTAGCTGGGACTACAGGCGCCCGCCACCACACTGGGCTAATTTTTTTGTATTTTTAGTAGAGACGGGGTTTCACCGTGTTAGCCAGGATGGTCTCGAACTCCTGACCTCGTGATCCGCCCGCCTCGGCCTCCCAAAGTGCTGGGATTACAGGCGTGAGCCACCGCGCTCGGCCTACAAAGTACCTTCTTAAGGGCGGGGGAGGATATTACAAAGTACCTTTCCAAGGGTGAGGAGGCTGTATCGTACAAAGTACATTCACAAGGACAGGGGAATATCACAAAGTACACGACTGCAAGGGCGGGGAGGGTGTATTGTCCCAAAGTCAACTGATCAGTAAGGGTGGAGCAGGAACAGATCACAATGGTAGAATGTCATCTTCTGTGGTCCTTCAGTTGCTCCAGGCCATCTAGATGTATACATGCAGGTCACAGGGGTGACCTGACAATCAGTCCACAAAGGAGCTGTCCAAGGCTGCGTCAGTGGCGTGGAAAACAATACGTATGGAAATTTTAAAGACCAGTGTTGGGTCTTTGGCTGTCCTAGACACCTGCGGACGCCTGAAAGTCTGGAAATGCACTGTTTGTAAGAAAAGGCCTTTGAGAGGCAAATGCACCCCTAAGCAGTAACATGAAGTTGGAAGAGGATACACAGAGGAGTTTAGGGATGGAAGAAAGCTTAAAGTGGGTGAGAAGAGCCCGGTGCAGTGGCTCACGCCTGTAATCCCAGCATTTTGGGAGGCCGAGGCGGGCGGATCACCTGAAGTCAGGAGTTCGAGACCAGCCTGGCCAACATGGTGAAACCCCGTGTCTACTAAAAATACAAAAAAAAAAAAAAAAAAAAAAAAATAGCTGGACGTGGTGGTGGGCGCCTGCAGTCCCAGCTACTTGGGAGGCTGAGGTAGGAGAATCGCTTGAACCCGGAGGCGGAGGTTGCAGTGAGCCGAGATCACACCATTGCACTCCGCACTGGGCAGCAGAGTGAAACACCATCTCAAAACAGAAACAAAAAAAAACAAATGGCTGAGAAGGACCAGAGACCCCTCCAAAGGTCCTGCCACCCCCCACCTCGAGGCATGGAAATAAAAAGAAAAATTGTGAGTTTCTTCAAGAGACATTCTGGGCAGCTAGCTAGCCCTACAACCATTCGGGGCGTGAATGAATAACACAGTAAACAAGCAAATAGTAACTCAAACAATAGCCACCCCTAGTAAGCCAGACTCATAAGATGTTTGATTCCCCATAGAAATGAAAGAAAACATAATGATATATGTCTCTGAGTTGTTTTTGTTTTTCTTTCTTCTTTGTTTGTTTGTGAGATGGAGTCTCGCTCTGTCGCCCAGGCTGGAGTGCAGTGGCACAATCTCAGCTCACTGCAACCTCCGCCTCCCGGGTTCATGCCATTCTCCTGCCTCAGCCTCCTGAGTAGCTGGGACTACAGGCACCCGCCACCATGCCGGGCTAATTTTTTGTATTTTTAGTAGAGACGGAGATTCACCATGTTGGCCAGGCTGGTCTCAAACTCCTGACCTTGCGATCCGCCTGCCTCAGCTTCCCAAAGTGCTGGGATTACAGGCATGAGCCACCGCGCCTGCCTGTTTGTTTTTGAGACGGAGTTTCACTCTGTCGCCCAGGCTGGAGTGCAGTGGCGCAATCTCGGCTCACTGCAACCTCCGCCTCCCGACTTCAAATGATTCTCCTGCCTCAGCCTCCCAAGTAACTGGGATTACAGGCACACACCACCAAGCCCGGCTAATTTTTATATTTTTAGTAGACACGGAGTTTCACCATGTTGGCCAGGCTGGTCTCAAACTCCTGACCTCAGGTGATCTGCCCGCCTCGGCCTCCGAAGGAGAGCCTGTCCCAAAGACAGGTTATACCTGTCTCAGCCTTTTCCTGCTCACAGGCGAGTGCCCAGAAAGCCTCATGAACGTTGCTGGAAATGAAAATCATCTCTCTTAGCTTCAAAGAAAGAGGAGTCAGAGGGGGTGAAAAGTGAAGTGGCCGGCACGCCCGGCGGGCTGCGGTGAATGAAATGTCAGGTTTCCAGGTGTAAAACGGTCCCCTGCGGACATCAGAAACAACCTTTCCACTCCTCAGCCTGCAAATGCTCAATTAGACAAACGGAACCTTGTGGCAGCTTTTATCTTTCTCTCTAATGGTCATTAAACGTACTGGCCTTTGATTTTAAAAGTCCAGGACCTGTCCGGGCGCGGTGGCTCACGCATGTAATCCCAGCACTTTGGGAGGTCCAGGTGGGTGGATCACAAGGTCAGGAGTTCGAGACCAGCCTGGCCAATATGGCGAAACCCCGTCTCTACTAAAAGTACAAAAAAATTAGCTGGGCGTGGTGGCACATGCCTGTAATCCCAGCTACTCCGGAGGCTGAGGCGGGAGAATTGCTTGAATCTGGGAGGCGGAGGTTGCAGTGAGCCGAGATTGTGCCACTGCACTCCAGCCTGGGCAACAGAGCAAAACTCCATCTCAAAAACAAAGAAACAGCCGGGCGCAGTGGTTCATGCCTGTAATCCCAGCACTGTGGGAGGTCCAGGTGGGTGGATCACAAGGTCAGGAGTTCGAGACCAGCCTGGCCAATATGGCGAAACCCCGTCTCTACTAAAAATACAAAAAAATTAGCTGGGCGTGGTGGCACATGCCTGTAATCCCGGCTACTCGGGAGGCTGAGGCGGGAGAATTGCTTGAATCTGGGAGGCAGAGGTTGCAGTGAGCCGAGACTGTGCCACTGCACTCCAGCCTGGGTGACAGAGTGAGACTCCGTCTCAAAAAAAAAAAAAAAAAAAGTCCAGGACCTGACTTTCATCCCTGGAGATGTCCCAAGCAAGATAAAAATCCTGTAATCCTTACCAGCGAAAGCACGCCAATTCACCGGGCACAGAAATAATGAATTTCTCTAAACTATTATTATTATTATTATTATTATTATTATTATTATTATTATTTGAGATGGAGTTTCCCTCTTGTTGCCCAGGCTGGAGTGCAGTGGCTGGATCTCGGCTCACTGCAACCTCCACCTCCTGGGCTCAAGCGATTCTCCTGCCTCAGCCTCCCGAGTAGCTGTAATTACAGGTGCCCACCACCACACCTGGCTAATTTTGTATTTTTAGTAGAGATGGGGTTTCTCCATGTTGGTCAGGCTGGTCTCGAACTCCTGACTTCAGGTGATCCGCCTGCCTCGGCCTCCCAAAGTCCTGGGATTACAGGCGTGAGCCACCGCGCCCAGCCGAATTTCTCTAAATTATAAAGCACAGAAGGCAGAAACCACTATGGACAGGTTTGTTCAAGAGTTCTCAGAGCTCCACAGTCGGCTCGGGAACATTTTAGAGAATGCTTGATAAACACAAGGAATGAACAATTCATGATTCTATGAATGAAATGAGTTCATTTCCTTCCCTAATCAAGACGCTGTACTGGGTTAAAATGTATCCCCCCTCCAAAACAAATTCACGTCTACCCAGAACCTCAGAGTGTGTCCTTAATTGTAAGTAGGGTCTTTCTACATGTGATATAGTTAAGGATGTTGAAATAGGATCATCTTGCATTTAACTTGGGTCCTAAATCCACTGACAGGTGTCCTTCTAAGAGACAGAAGAGGAGACACGGACACAGAGGAGAAGGCCATGTGGAGACGGAGGCAGAGACTGGAGTCATGCGGCCACAAGCCCAGGGACACTTGGAGCCCGCAGGAGCTGGGAGAAGCAGGAAGGACCCTCCCCAGAGCCTCCGGAGGGAGCTGCATGTAGTTGAAAGATCTGTTCACGTGCTATTGTCCACAAGCTGCAGTGGGACATTATTTGGAAATAGTGTCTTTGTAGATATGATTACTTAAGTATGTAGAGATGAGGTCATATGGAGTTAGGGTGGACCCTAAATGCAATGACAGGTGTCCTTCTGAGAGACAGAAGAGGAGACACAGACACAGAAGAGAAGGCCACGTAGAGATGGAGGCAGAGATTGCAGTGATGCGGCCAGAAGCCCAGAAATGTCTGAAGCCCCCAGGAACTGGGAGAGGCAGGAAGGACCCTCCCCTAGAGCCTCTGGAGGGAACCAGACACAATTGCAAAGACTTGAATGGTGATCCCCAAAAGATCTGTCCATGTCCTAACCCCCAGAATCTGTGAACCGGACCTTATTTGAAAATAAGGTCATTGCAGATGTAATTAGTTAATGATCTTGAGAGGAGATCATCCTGGAGCAGGGTAGGCCGTAAATGCAATGACAGGTGTCCTCCTAAGAGACAGAAGAGGAGACACAGACACAGAGAAGAAGGCCACGTGGAAACAGAGACAGAGACTGCAGTGATGTAGCCACAAGCCCAGGGATGCCTGGAGCCCCCAGGAGCTGGGAGAGGCAGGAAGGACGCTCCACTGCAGCTTCTGGAGGGAGCTGAATACAACTGGAAGAGATTGAGTGGTGTCCCCCAAAAGATGAGTCCACATCAAAACCTGAGAACCTGTAAATGGGACCATATTTGGAAAAAGGGGTCTTTGCAGATGTAGTTATATTAAGGATCTGGAGATGAGATCATCCTGCAATAGGGTGGGCCCTAAATGCAATGACAGGTGTCCTTTTAACAGACAGAAGAGGAGACACAGATGCAGAGGAGGTGGCCACGTGGAGATGGAGGCAGAAACTGGAGTGATGGGGCCACAAGCTCAGGGACACCTGGAGCCCCCAGGAGCTGGCAGAGGCAAGAAGGACCCTCCCCTAGAGCCTCCACAGGGAGTGTGGCCCTGAGACTCCTGGTCTACAGGACTGAGAGAGAATGAGTTTCTGTTGTTTCAATCCCCTAGTACCTATCAGTGAGACTTTATTTGGAAATACGGTTTCTGCAGATATAATTAATTCAAAAGCTCGAGATAAGATCATCCTGGACAACAGTGGACCCTAACTCTAATGACCACAGTCCTCATAAAAGACAGACGAGGAGACACGGACACAGAGGAGAGGGCCATGTGGAGACGGAGGCAGAGACCGGAGTGATGCGGCCACAAGCCCAGGGACACCTGGAGCCCCCAGGAGCTGGGAGAAGCAGAAAGGACCCTCCCCTAGAGCCTCCAGAGGGAGCACGGCCCTAAGACACGTTGTTCTGAGACTTCTGTTCTCTAGGAGTGAGAGAGAATGAGTTTCTGTTGCCTTAAGCCCCTAGTACCTGTCAGTGACACTTTATTTGGAAACAGCGTGTCTGCACACATAATTAATTCAAGGAGCTTGAGATGAGATCATCCTGTAGGAGAGTGGACATAAATCTAATGACCACTGTCCTCACAAGAGACAGAAGAGGAGGCCGGGAGTGGTGGCTCACGCCTCTAATCCCACCACTTAGGGAGGCCGACGCGGGCAGATCACGAGGTCAGGAGATCGAGACCATCCTGGCTAACACGGTGAAACCCCGTCTCTACTAAAAATATAAAAAAATTAGCCGGGCGTGGTGGCGGGTGCCTGTAGTCCCAGCTACTCAGGAGGCTGAGGCAGGAGAATGGCGTGAACCCGGGAGGTGGAACTTGAAATAAGCCGAGATGGCGCCACTGCACTCCAGCCTGGGCGACAGAGTGACACTCAGTCTCAGAAAAAAAAAAAAAAAAAGAGAGACAGAAGAGGAGACACAGACACAGAGGAGAAGGCCACGTGGAGACGGAAGCAGAGACTGCAGCGATGAGGCCACAAGCCCAGGGACACCTGGAGTCCCCAGGGGGTGGGAGAGACACGATGGACCTTCCCCTAGAGCTTTCGAAAGGAACTGGATGCAACTGAAATGGATTGAACTGTAGTCCAGCAAAAGCTACCTGGCAATGCCTCATGCACAGTCCCTCTCTGCATCTTGAAAGCCAGCTGTATAGCCTCTTCCAATCTCTCTGACTCTGCCCATGCTACCTCCTCTTCTGAGAACCCTGTGAAGACACTGGGTCCATCCAAGATGCAGGATCATGTCCCATCTCCAGATCCTTACCTTTATCGCACCTGCAACATTCATTTTGCCACGTGAAGTCACATGTTCACAGGTGCAGGGATCCAGGAATTAGGATGTGGCCATCATCATGGGTGTTATTTTCCCTACCCATATACCCCAATCCGAGGGATGAACGATAGCTCTGAAGTCAGTGATTATAGCAAGATTACCACCTACCCTTGAAAACATCAAATGTATTGACTTTTAGAGGTTGTGAGGGACCATTCCCTCAAGTCCAAAGACACAAAGACACAAAGGGTCCTTGTCTTGACAAACCCCATCATCCTCGTGTTTTGGAGGGTTTTGTTTGTTTGTTTGTTTTATTGAGATGGAGTTTCACTCTTGCTGCCCAGCCAGTGGCGCGATCTCGACTTACCGCAACCTCCACCTCCCGGGTTCCAGCAATTCTCCTGCCTCAGCCTCCCGAGTAGCTGCGATTACAGGCACCTGCCACCACGCCCGGTTAATTTTTGGATTTTTAGTAGGGACGGGGTTTCACCATGTTGACCAGGCTGGTCTTGAATTCCTGACCTCAAGCGATCCACCCACATTGTCCTCTGAAAGTGCTGGGATTGCAGCTGTGAACCACCGTGCCCTGCCAGCTTTAATGTTAATAGCTGTATTTGTGGTATTTGAATATGTGTTTTTGTTAACCTGACCTGCAATTCCCTAGAGCACTTTTTAAAAGCCTGCTTTATCAAATCTGAAGTTGTACGGAGAAAGGTGATCTTTCTGGTACTTGCTGGAGGTGTTCTATTTTTTTTTTTTGTTAATGTCTCTCAAACTGCCACATGAATGCACCACTTTAAAAGGACTGAATAGTCAAATGTTCATCAAAGCAAAATACAGATACTCCTTGACCTAAAATGGCTTACGTCCTGATAAACCCATTGTAAGTTGAAAAGATCCTTGCTTGAAAAGACATTTAATACAGCTAGCCTTCCAAACATCATCGCTTAGCCTGCCTTAAACACAGTACTCACATTTGTCTACAGTTGGGCAAAATCACCTAACGCAAAGACTATTTTAGAATACAGTATTGACTGTCTCATGTAATTTATTAAATACTGTGCATAACATCAATTTTTTGTTTGTTTGTTTTGAGACAAAGCCTTTCTCTGTTGCCCAGGCCACATTGCAGTGGCGTGATCTCGGCTCACCGCAACCTCCACCTCCCGGGTTCAAGCGATTCTCCTGCCTCAGCCTCCTGAGTAGCTGGGATTACAGGTGCCCGCCACCACACCCTGCTAATTTTTGTATTGTTAGTAGACACGGGGTTTCACCATTTTGGCTAGGCTGGTCTCGAACTCCTGACCTCAGGTGATCCGCCTGCCTTTTAAAAATTAAAAAAAAAAAAGACAAAGAGAGTCTGTCTCTGGAGTGCAGTGGCTGGAGTTCAATGGCGCGATCTCAGCTCACTGCAACCTCCGCCTCCCAGATTTAAGTGATTCTCGTGCCTCAGCCTCCTGAGTAACTGGAATGGCAGGCACTTGCTACCACGCCCGGCTAATTTTTTTTGTATTTTTAGTAGAGACAGGGTTTCACTATGTTGGCCAAGCTGGTCTCAAACTCCTGAGCTCAAGTGATCCACCCGCCTCGTCCTCCTTAAGAGTTGGGATTACAGGCATGAGCCACCACACACAGCCTGAATAAAGTTTTGACAGCATTACTGATTACTGTTCTGAGTGACATTTATTATTTTATATTTTTTTCTTCCCGGAGAGCTATTATGTCCATATGAAAACAATTATTAAAGCGTACAAAATTACAGCTAGACACGTGGAATAAACTCTAGTGTTCTAAAGCCCTGTAGAATGATGATAGTTAACAATAATATATTCTACAGTTTCAAATAGTTGGAAGGAGGATATTAAATGTTCCCTACACAAAGAAATGATGGGCATGGTAGCTCATGCCTGTAATCGCAGCACTTTGGGAGGCCGAGGCAGGTGGATCCCCTGAGGTCAGGAGTTCCAGACCAGCCTGGCCAACACGGCAAAACTCTGTCTCTACTAAAAAAACAAAAATTAGCTGGCTGTGGTGGCACATGCCTGTAATCCCAGCTACCTGGTAGGCTGAGGCAGGAGAATTGCTCAAACCCTGGATGTGGAGGTTGCAGTGAGCCGAGATCATGCCATTGCACTGCAGCCTGGATGAGAGAGCGAGAGAAGAAAGAAAGACAGAAAGAAAGAGAGAGAGAGACCAAAAGAGAGAAAGTGAGACAGAGAGACAGAAAAAGAAAGAGAGAAAGAAAGGGGAGAGAGAGAGAGAGAGAGAACGGAAGGAAGGAAGGAACAAAGGAAGGAAGGAAAGGCAGTTCGACGTGATGGACATGCTATCAATCATCTCATTATAGATTATATGGATCTGATCATTAATTATACATTGATCATTATATGCTATAAGGATCTGATAATTACACACTATATGGATAGAAACATCACTATGTATCCCGTGAATATGTGCCATTTTTCTCAATTAAAAAGAATAAAATAAGGCCGGGTGCGGTGGCTCACGCCTGCAATCCCAGCACTTTTGGGAGGCCGGGTGGATCACGAGGTCAAGAGTTCGAGATCAGTCTGACCAACATGGTAAAACCCCGTCTCTACTAAAAAATATATATATATATATATATATATATATACAAAAAAATTAGCCGGGTGTGGTTGCGCTTGCCTGTAATCCCAGCTACTGAGGAGGCTGAGGCAGGAGAATCGCTTGAACTCGGGAGGTGGAGGTTGCAGTGAGCTGAGATCGCACCACTGTGCTCCAGCCTGGGAGGCAGAGTGAGACTGTCTCAAAAAATAAAAAATTTTTTAAAAAAAGAATAAAAATTTTAAAAAGCACAGAATTTGTATAACTCATTCTGACAAATAAAAGTCACTTGTTCTTTTTTAATCGAATAAATGGATACGAGGTTTTGCTATGTTGCCCACGTTGGTCTCAAATTCCTGGGCTCAAGTGATTCTCCCACCTCGGCCTCCCAGAGTGCTGGGATTACAGGCGTGAGCCACTGTATACGACCTAAAAGTCACTTTTTTTTTTTTTTAATACGGAGTCTTGCTCTGTTGCCCAAGCTGGAGTGCAGTGGCTCGATCTCGGCTCACTGCAAGCTCCGCCTCCCAGGCTCAAGTGATTCTCCTGCCTCAGCCTCCCAAGTAGCTGGGATTACAGGCACCCCCCACCACGCCAGGCTAATTTTTGTATTTTTATTATAGACAGGGTTTCACCATGTTGGCCAGGCTGGTCTCGAACTCCTGACCTCAGGTGATCCTCCCACCTTGGCCTCCCAAAGTGCTGGGGTTACAGGCGTGAGCCACTGCGTACGGCGTAAAAGTCACCTATTTTTAAACAAAAAACAAAAGAACAATGTGACCGAAGAGAACAGCAGTAAATGACACAGAACTCACTCTGCTGCTTTCACAAACCCTCCATGCCCCGCATCTCACCGGATCCCCGGAAGCTGGTGGCCCCAGATGAATTTGTAAGCTTCCTTCCTGCCAATGCTTCGTGCAAGTGCACGCCGGGGCAAGCCCATCGAGAAGCCGAATTGCTTCTGCCGCTTCCCCTCTAAGCGCTGTTGAAACTTGGCAGCAACGTGCCAGGGGGGACCCCTTCCCACTGTGCAGGCGCTGACGTGATTCACAGGGTTCGCTAGATTCGCACTCAACCCAACTCTGGGCTGTGGTGGGCCCTGTGTGATTGACAGCTGCCTGGCTCTATAGCGGGGTGACTTCAGC
The DNA here is from genome assembly GCF_000001405.40 of Homo sapiens. Lineage (NCBI taxonomy): Eukaryota > Metazoa > Chordata > Mammalia > Primates > Hominidae > Homo > Homo sapiens. The sequence continues at coordinate 1,661,761 of NC_000023.11, read as the reverse complement.
TAGACTCAGCCAATGGGGAGCAGGTGCAGGGGCTAGGGGGCGGGAAGAGAGAGAGAGAGAGAAGGCCCTGTGTAATTGACATCTGCCTGGCTCTGCTTGACATCACCTGGCTGGGTGACTTCATCAGGGTTCAGCCAATGGGGAGCAGATGCAGGGGCTAGGGGGCGGGAAGAGAGAGAAGGCCCTGTGTAATTGACATCTGCCTGGCTCTGATTGACAGCACCTGGCTGGGTGACTTCAGCAGGGCTCAGCCAATGGGGAGCAGGTGCAGGGGCTAGAGGGCGGGAAGAGAAGGCCCTGTGTAATTGACAGCTGCCTGGCTCTCATTGACATCACCTGGCTGGGTGACTGCAGCAGGGCTCAGCCAATGGGGAGCAGGTGCAGGGGCTAGAGGGCGGGAAGAGAAGGCCCTGTGTAATTGACATCTGCCTGGCTCTGATTGACATCACCCTGGCTGGGTGACTTCAGCAGGGCTCAGCCAATGGGGAGCAGGTGCAGGCACTAGGGGGCGGGAAGACAGAGAAGGCCCTGTGTAATTGACATCTGCCTGGCTCTGACTGGCGTCACCCTGGCTGGGTGACTTCAGCAGGGCTCAGCCAATGGGGTCCAGGCGCAGGGGCTAGGGGGCGGGAAGAGAAAGAAGGCAAAGAACGGATTCCTTCTCCTCTACCTTTAGCCCTGGGCGTCAGGACTTGATAGAACAGCCCCTCCCTTGCTCCTTGAGGTCTGGGATTTGCATCAGCCTCCCTGGCGTTTTCTTCTCATTTGACCCGCCCCCCCTTCTCAGTGACCCTCCTTTTCTCCAAGGCTCTGACGCCACGGAGCAAGAAGTCAGTTCGCCGCCTGTACACTGACCTATGTAGGCAGATATTATTATTATTATATTATTATTACATTTTTATTATTATATTTATATTTCATTTTACTTTATTTTACTTTTTATCTTATTTTATTTTAGAGACAGAGGCTCGTTGTGTTGCCCAGGCTGTAGCGCAATGGTGCAATCTCGGCTCACTGCAACCCCCAACTCCCGGGTTCAAGCGATTCTCCTGACTCAGCCTCCTGAGTAGCGGGGATTACAGGCATGCGCCACCAACCCTGGCTAATTCTTGTATTTTTCAGTGGAGATGCGGTTTCTCCATGTAGGCCAGTCTGGTCTCGAACTCCTGACCTCAAGCGATCCGCCCGCCTCGGCCCCCCAAAGTGCTAGGATTACAGGCTTAAGGGTCATTTTTAAGAAGACTCCTTGTTCAAAGAAGTCTGCTGAGCAGTGAGTTTGTGCTAAAACAGCTTGCGAAGCTCGGAGAGGAGACTGTTCGCATTCCCGAACTCGTGTTGGGTCACACACGCCGCTGTTGGGAAGACAATGGCACCTGCCGCTCAGACCCATCGAGGCCGGACAGGGGTTTTATCAAGGTCAGCCCCAGGTCGCTTCCCGTCTGTAAATGGAGTCTCGTGGTGCCCGAGGTCGGGGGTGGCGATGCCCGGAGATCGTGCAACGGCTCCTGGGAGGTAGGAAGATCTCTGGTGCCGTCCGGGTGCACTCTGGGTGTGAGCACTAACCAGCGAGCCCCCTGGCCTGCAGAGACGGCCTTTCCTCCACACTCAGGTCACCTGTGAGGAATGTACCTATGGCCCAAGAAGCCGAGATGGCCCAGAGCGCAGGGCTCTCTCGGGGCAGGTTGTGCTTTTTCACACCTCGGACGCTGCCCTGCTGTTCCCTCCGCTACCACATCCACCCAGGGCTGAACGCACCAGGCTCGTTGCCACCAGGCCTCACCTGGGACCACACAGAGAGTGTCTGCCTGTGCCCCTCCTCTCACACACACAAATCAGCATGTGCCTATACACATACGCACTTGCACATACACGCACACACATAGATGCACACATGCAGACACACGTATACACACATGTGCAAATGCTCACATTCACATACACAAATACAAATACAAATGCATACAGACACTAACAGGCATACACACTCATACATATCCATATCTACACACACCCAAATATACACATGCACAAACACATACACACAAATGCATACAGACACCAGCATACACGTGCATACATATCCATATGTACACACACAAAGGCACACATGCACATATGCACACATACACACAAATGCATACAGACACTAATATACATGCTCATACATATCCATATCTACACACGCAAATATACACATGCACATACACACAAATGCATACAGACATTAATATACACGCTCATCCATATCCATATCTACACACACAAATGCACACATGCACATATGCACAAATGCATACACAAACAACTGCACACACACTAGCATGCATATACACACACATGCACACACACAGACACCCAAATATACACATGCAGAAACACACTCATGTGCAAATACATAATACACTTACACAGACATAAATACACAAATATAAACACACACATTCACATGCATACACAAAGAGGCAAACACACACAGACAGCCATACATATACAAACACACATCCACAAAGACACACACATATGTACAGACACAAACATAATCACAAGCAAAGATAACACACAAACACATACACAGACACACGCAGAAACACACACGCATACACACATTCCTGAAGCTCTCCACCTCTACCAGCCACACAACCATATGCACACACATACACATTTCTTAGTTAAGAAAAATAGACCGGGCGCGGTGGCTCACGCCTGTTATCCCAGCACTTTGGGAGGCTGAGGTGGGCGGATCACGAGGTCAGGAGTTCGAGACCATCCTGGCTAACACAGTGAAACCCCGTCTCTACTAAAAATACAAAAAATTAGCCAGGCGTGGTGGCTCATGCCTGTAATCCCAGCACTTTGGGAGGCCGAGGCGGGGAGATCGCGAGGTCAGGAGATCGAGACCATCCTGGCTAACACAGTGAAACCCCGTCTCTACTAAAAATACAAAAAATTAGCCGGGCGTGGTGGCGGGCGCCTGTAGTCCCAGCTATTCGGGAGGCTGAGGCAGGAGAATGGCGTGAACCCGGGAGGCGGAGCTTGCAGTGAGCTGAGATCGCCCCACTGCACTCCAGCCTGGGCGACAGAGTGAGATTCTGTCTCAAAAAAAAAAAAAAAAAGAAAGAAAGAAAGAAAAATAGAAAAACACATCTTTAGAAACTATCACCTGCAAACTGCAAAACAAACAAACAAACAAACAAACAAAAAAGTGTGCTGGGGCTTGGATACCACAACTGACAACCTAAATTATTGAGGTAGCAAACTGCCTAGAAGAGGTAGACATTTGCGGCCCTGAAATCAGGACCCGGCGGTGAGAGACACCGCCTGCGTTGTTTTTACAGTTTTATTAGCCACATCCCTCAGGGAATCTCACCGCAGGTCTCAGGAGCTCTCTCTAATCTTGTTAACCTTCTGCGCCTCTCCTCCCGGAGTACAAACTAATCTTTCTTAATGCAAGAGGACAGGGCAGCTTTGGAAAGGCCGTCACCAGACAGCCAGCGTTCCCCATCCTCACAACTGGACCTTGGAGAGCTTTGGTGTATGGAAACCGGCTCCCCTGGAGGGGGGAGGTGAAACGTTGAAACCCTGACAGACGGTGTCACTGAGCTTAGAGCTCATGTTTCTAGAAAAGGCAACAGATGCAGTGTCTGATGACGAAGCTTAATTTGGGATGTGCTGAGCAGGAATTATTTAAACCAATCCGTTGATGAATTTGTCTTTAAGGAATATGTCCTTTCTCTCGTGAGTCACTCAGGCTCCTGGACACCTGCCTGCCAGCCCTCACTGAATCTCCCCAGAGGCTCTTCATGTCTGCTGCCTGACAATTTTCTCCAGAGTGTACAAAAGCAAAGGAGAGAGCTCCCCTCCCAGACTGCTGGAGGGATGTGGGGACTTACCGCATGGCTGATGCTCTCAGGTTCCAGCCAGACTTAATGTCCTAAAATGCACCCAAGACAGGCAGGCCTGGGTCCAGACGGCCAGCGGGGAGGGCTGCCCGGGCTCGTCTGCAGAGCCCGGAAAAGGAGGAGGAGGTGAACAGAGGAAGGAGGAAGGGTGATGGGGCCTGCAGGGTGTGATATGACGTGAGTTATCACCTCCCTTTGTGCTGCTGCTGTTTCTTACTGTGGGAAAATACCCATCACACACAGTTTGCCATTTTAAAAATTGCACAATGAAGAGACGATTTAGTGCACTGAGCATTTTACACAACCACCGGCCCTAGCTAGTTCCAGAACACCTTCGTAACCCAAAAAAAAACACCCCATACCCATTAAACCGTCACTCCCCAGTCTCCCTGCTCTCAGCCTTAAGCAATCACCCATCTGCTCTCTGACTCTGCAAGCAGTCTTATTCTAGACACTTCATGCAAATGATATTGTGCCATTTTGCACTTTTGTGCCTGGGTGTTTTTTGTTGTGGTGGTGGTGGTGGTTGTTTTGTTGTTTTTGTTTTCACTCCGTTACTTCTACACCAAACTAATACATGATGTATTCAGTCAGAGGCTATCAAGGACTCAAAAGAATACAACCTTTTCTCTTTTTTTTGAGATGGAGTCTCACTCTGTCACCCACGCTGGAGTGCAGTGGCGTGATCTCGGCTCACTGCAACCTCCGCCACCCGGGTTCAAGCGATTCTCCTGCCTCAGCCTCCCGAGTAGCTGGGATTACAGGTAACTGCCACCATGCCCGACTAATTTTTTTTGTATTTTTAGTAGAGATGGGGTTTCACCATGTTGGCCAGGCTGGTCTCAAACTCCCGACCTCAGGCGATCCACCCACCTCGGCCTCCCAAAGTGCTGGGATGACAGGCGTGAGCCACCACACCTGGCCCCCATTTTTATGGTTATTTCTTGATGATATGCTAAACTAGGAGTGGATTATTCATATGGACTCTTTTTAGACCATATACATTGTATTAGTCAGGGTTCCTTAGAGGAATAGAACTAATAGAAGATATATACACACACACGCACACACACACACACATATATATGTATTGTGTGTGTATATATATGTGTGTGTGTATATGTGTGTATATATGTGTGTATGTGTGTATATATGCGTATACACACGTGTATATATGCGTGTACACACGTGTATATATGTGTGTACACACGTGTATATATGCGTGTACACACGTATATATGCGTATACACACGTGTATATATGCGTATATGCACATATGTGTACATGCACATATGTGTGTATACACATGTGCATATACACATATATGTGTATACATGTATATATACACATGTGTGTGTATACACGTGTATATATGTGTGTATATATACACGTGTATATATACACACATATACGTACATATATATGTGTGTGTGCGTGTGTGTGTATCTTCTATTTGTTCTATTCCTCTAAGGAACCCTGACTAATACAATCTATATGGTCTAGAAAGAGTCCACATGAATTATATATATATGAAGGGGAGTTTATTAAGGAGAATTAACTCACAGAGTCACAAGGTGAGGTCCCACCATAGGTCATCTACAAGCTGAGGAGGCAGGAAGCCAGTCTGAGTCCCAAGGATTAAGAACTTGGAGTCCAGTGGTCCAGGGCAGGAAGCATCCAGCAAAGGAGGAAGATGGAGGCTGGGAGGCTAAGCCAGTCTAGCCTTTTCACGCTCCTCTGCCTGCTTTTATTCTGGCCAGACTGGCAGCTGATGAGACGGTGCCCACCCAGATTGAGGGGGGTTCTGCCTCTCCGAGTCCACTGACTCTAGTGTTATTCTCCTTTGGCAACACCCTCACAGACACACCCAGGAACAACGCTTTGATTGGATCTTTCAATCCAATCAAGCTGCCATTCAGTATTAACCATCACGCCCAGGAAACTCACTCACGGGTCACGATATGCGAAGGTCACTCTAAAATCACTCTAGCTATAAGAGATATTACCCGGGCCTGGCGTGGTGGCTCACGCCTGTCATCCCAGGACTTTGGGAGGCCGAGGCTGGTGGATCACTTGAGGTCAGGAGTACAAGACCAGCCTAACCAACATGCTGAAACCCCATCTCTACTAAAAATACAAAATTTAGCCAGGCATGGTGGTGCGCACCTGTAGTCCCAGCTACTCGGGAGGCTGAGGCAGGGGAATCACTTGAACCTGGGAGACGGAGGTTGCAGTGAGGCGAGATCGCGCCATTGCACTCCAGCCTGGGTGACAGAGAAAGACTCTGTCAAAAAAAAAAAAAACAACCATCAGCTGGTCTGCCTTATTCCAGGAGGCCCACAGAAAGTCTTGGGCAAAATGAAACAGCAGACTCTGGTCCCAGCTCTCTGGCTTTACACATCTACAGACCCTGGGTACCCCCAGCAGGCAGCACCCAGCAGGCCTGAATTATCCTGTCTCCCCCTCCTCCCCAGACGCGGTCTTGAGCCATGTCCTGTTTTGGAACTGTGGCTAAGGGGAGCTTGTGGGTATCAAGTCTCCAGGTATCAGCAGCTCCTCTCATAAACCAAAAATAGGCCGGGCGTGGTGGCTCATGCCTGTGATCCCAGCACTTTAGGAGGCTGAGGCAGACGGATCACGAGGTCAGGAGTTCAAGACCAGCCTGACCAACATGGTGAAGCCCCATCTCTACTAAAAATTAAAAAATTAGCCAGGCATGGTGGCGGGCGCCTGTAGTCCCAGCTGCTTGGGAGGCTGAGGCAGGGGAATCGCTTGAACCCGGCAGGCGGAGGTTGCAGTGAGCCGAGTTGGGGCCACTGCACTCCAGCCTGGGCAACAGAGCGAGACTCCTTCTCAAAAAAATAAAAAATAAATAAATAAAGCAAAAATAAAAATCTGAATGGACTCCCTCCTTGGCCAGGACACTCTAAAATTTAACATGAAATTATTTCAATTTCAATTTAAAGTTCATGCCATGTTGGGAAGTGGAGGTTGGCCAGGCCTCGCCACACCCCTCTGTTACCAGAAAGGGGTCCTCATCCAGATCCCAAGAGAGGGTTCTAGGATCTCATGCAAGAAAGAATTGAGGGCAAGTCCATAGACCAAAGGGAAAGCGAGTTTATTGGGAAAGTAAAGGAATAAAAGAATGGCTACTCCGTAGACAGAGCAGTCCCCAAGGTTGCTGGTTACCCATTTTTATGGTTCGTTCTTTCTTTTCTTTCTTTCTTTCTTTTTTTTTTTTTTTTTTTTTTTGATTTTGAGACGGAGTCTTGCTCTGTCACCCAGGCTGGAGTGCAGTGGCATGATCTCGGCTCATCGCAACCTCTGCCTCCCAGGTTCAAGCGATTCTTCTGCCTCAGCCTCCCGAGTAGCTGGGACTACAGGCATGCACCACCACGCTGGGCTGATTTTTGTATTTTTAGTACAGATGGGGTTTTGCCATGTTGGTCAGGCTGGTGTCAAACTCCTGACCTCGTGATGCGCCCGCCTCGGCCTCCCAAAGTGCTGGGATGACAGGCGTGAGTCACCGCACCTGGCCTTTATGGTTATTTCTTGAAGATATGCTAAACAAGGGGCGGATTATTCATGCCTCCCCTTTTTAGACCATATAAGGTAACTTCCTGACGTTGCCATGGCATTTGAAAACTGTCATGGTGTTGGTGGGAGTATAGCAGTGAGGACGACCAGAGGTCACTGTTGTGGCCATCTTGGTTTTGGCGTGTTTTGGCTGGCTTCTTTACTGCAACCTGTTTTATCAGCAAGGTCTTTATGACCTGTACCTTGTACCAACCTCCTATCTCATCCTGTGACTTAGAATGCCTTAACCATCTCGGAATGCAGCCCAGTAAGTCTCAGCCTCATTTTACCCAGCCTCTATTCAAGGTGGAGTCGTTCTGGTTCAAACACCTCTGATATTTTCAGCATGAACATCAACACAGACCTTAAGTCTGGTAAGAAACATCTGGAGTCTCTGGTCGGGTGCGGTGGCTCACGCCTGTCATCCCAGCACTTTGGGAGGCCGAGGCGGGCAGATCATGAGGTCAAGAGATTGAGACCATCCTGGCCAACATGGTGAAACCCCGTCTCTACTAAAAATACAAGAATTAGCTGGTCATGGTGGTGCATGCCTGTAATCCCAGCTACTCGGGAGGCTGAGATAGGAGAATCACTTGAACCTGGGAGTCGGAGGTTGCAATGAACCAAGATTGCGCCACTGCACTCCAGCCTGGATGACAAGAGTGAAACTCCGTTAAAAAAAAAAAAAAAAAAAGAAAAGAAAAAGAAAAGAAAAAAAAAACATTTGCAGTCTCTTCTCTCAGAAGCCTGCTACCTGGGAAGCTTCATCTGCATAATAAAACCTCGGTCTCTACAACACCATCATAAGCCAGACATTCCTTACTACGGATAATAACTCTTTCAACCAATTGCCAATAAGTATGTTTTTGTTTGTTTGTTTGTTTGTTTTGAGACAGAGTATCCATGTGTCGCCCAGGCTGGAGTGCAGTGGCGTGATCTCGGTTCACTGCAACCTCCACCTCCCAGGTTCAAGCAATTCTCATGCCTCAGCCTCCCTAGCAGCTGAGATTACAAGCATGTGCCACCACGCTGTGCTGATTTTTTTGTATTTTTAGTAGAAACCGGGTTTCGCCATGTTGGCCAAGCTGATCTCAAACTCCTGGCCTCAAGTGTTCAAGCGATTCTCCTGCCTCAGCCTCCCAAGTAGCTGAGATTACAGGTTCACACCACCACACCCAGCTAATTTTTTTTTTTTTGACAGAGTCTCGCTCTGTCTCCCAGGCTGGAGTGCAGTGGCGCAATCTCGGCTCACTGCAAACTCCTGCCTCAGCCTCCTGAGTAGCTGGGACTACAGGCACCCGCCACCACATCAGGCTAATTTTTTTTTTGTATTTTTAGTACAGACGGGGTTTCACCGTGTTGGCCAAGATGGCCTCGATCTCCTGACCTCGTGATCTGCCCGCTTCGGCCTCCCAAAGTACTGGGATGACAGGTGTGAGCCACTGCGCCCGGCCTGATTTTGTATTTTTAGTACAGACAGGGTGTCACCATGTTGGCCAGGATGGTCTCGAACTCCTGACCTCAGGTGACCCACCCACCTCGGCCTCCCAAAGTGCTAGGACGACAGGTGTGAGCCACCGCGCCCGGCCCTGAATATGTTTAAGTGTAACCCCGCTTTGAGTCACCCTGCCGTTCGAGATAGAACCAACGTACATCTTACATGTATTGACTGATGCTTCAAGTCTTCCTAAAATGTATAAAAGCAAGCTACACCCCAACCACCTTGGGCCCACGTCATCAAGACCTCCTGAGGTTATGTCGTGGTGTCCTCCACCCTGGCAAAGTCAACTTCCTCAATTATGGACACCTGGCCTCAGATCCTTCTCGCCTTACAATTCGAAGAGAGAAAACGATGCTTCCTCCCCCTAGTGGCCATCAGGACAATTGCTTCCATTCAAGGCAAAGTTCTTCCAGAGAAATCTCTTCTGGATGTGGCTTACCAGGATCCATACTAGAAAAAAATGCAGAAACAGCGCCTCGGTAATTTCTGACATTAGAGTTCATGGTGACCGGGTGTGGTGGCTCACACCTGTCATCGCAGCACTTTGGGAGGCTGAGGCGGGTGGATCACGAGGTCAGGAGTTCGAGACCATCCTGGCTAACATGGAGAATCCCTGTCTCTACTAAAAATATAAAATTAGCTGGGTGTGCTGGCACATGCCTGTAGTCCCAGCACTTTGGGAGGCCGAGGCAGGCGGATCATGAGGTCAGGAGTTCGAGACCAGCCTGGGCAACATGGTGAAACCCTGTCTCTATTAAAAATACAAAAATTAGCCAGGTGTGGTGGCACATGCCTGTAGTCCCAGCACTTTGGGAGGCCGAGGCAGGCGGATCATGAGGTCAGGAGTTTGAGACCAGCCTGGGCAACATGGTGAAACCCTGTCTCTATTAAAAATACAAAAATTAGCCGGGTGTGGTGGCACATGCCTGTAGTCCCAGCACCTTGGGAGGCCGAGGCGGGCAGATCACGAAGTCAGGAGTTCCAGACCAGCCTGGGCAACATGGTGAAACCCTGTCTCTATTAAAAATACAAAAATTAGCCGGGCATGGTGGTGTGTGCCTGTAATCCCAGCTCTTTGGCAGGCTGAGGCAGGAGAATCGCTTGAAACCGGAAGGCAGAGGTTGCAGTGAGCTGAGATCACACCATTGCACTCCAGCCTGGGCAACAAGAGCGAAACTCTATCTCAAAAATAACAATAATAATAGAGTTCACGGTCCAACAGTGAAGTGTGATAGAAAAGGAAACGGTACAGTCCCATCTTGAAGTCCACTTTTAAATAATAAGGTGCTCATTGGAAGGCAATCGAATCAAAACATAAGGCTGAGATGAGGAACAGCCCAAGCCATACATGTTCAAGGTGTTAAGGAAATAGAATTAAAAAGCAAAATCTCTACCAGGAGTGGTGGCTCATGCCTGTCACCCCAGCACTTTGGGAGGACGAGGCGGGCGGACCACTTGAGGTCAGGTGTTCGAGACCAGCCTGAGCAACATGATCAAACCCCATCTCTACTAAAAAATACAAAATTAGCCAGGCCTGTAATCTCAGCTACTCAGGAGGCTGAGGCAGGAGAATCGCTTGAATCCTGGAGGCAGAGGTTGCAGTGAGCCGAGATCAGCCACGACACCCCAGACTGAGTGACAGGGACTCTGTCTCAAAAAAAAAAAAAAAAAAACAACCAAAGGCCAGGTGCAGTGGCTCACACCTCTCATCCCAGCACATTGGGAGGCCAAGGTGGGCAGATCACTTCAGGTCAGGAGTTCGAGACCAGCCTGACCAACATGGAGAAACCCTGTCTCTACCAAAAAAATACAAAAATTGGCCGGGTACGGTGGTTCACGCCTGTAATTGCAGCACTTTGGGAGGCCAAGGCAGGTGGATCACCTGAGGTCCGGAGTTCGAGACCAGCCTGGCCAACATGGTGAAACCCGTCTCTACTAAAAATACAAAAATTAGCTGGGCGTGGTGGCACATGCCTGTAATCCCAGCTATTAGGGAAGCTGAGGCAGGAGAATCGCTTGAACCTGAGAGGCGGAGGTTGTGGTGAGCTGAGATCACGCCATTGCACTCCAGTCTGGGCAACAAGAGAGAAATTCTATCTCAAAAAAAAAAAATACAAAAATTAGCCAGAGATGATGGTGCACAACTGTAATTCCAGCTACTCGAGAGGCTGAGGCAGGAGAATCGCTTGAACCGTGGAGGCGGAGGTTGCAGTGAGCCGAGATCTTCCAGGGCACTCCAGACTGAGTCACAGGGACTCTGTCTCAAAAAAAAAAAAAAAAAAAAAAAAAAAAAGCAAAAAAATCTCCTCCCGATCCAGGAACTCCTTCCTTAACCCCTCTCCTCAAGGGTAGAAGAAAAAGAAAACCATTTTTCTACAGAACAAGCATTCAATTCAAATGTGATATACACCCCAGGCCATCCGTGAAAGGGATCAGAAACACAGAAAGAAATCTCACCCTTTTATGGGCCGGGTGTGGTGGCTCACGCCTGTCATCCCAGCACTTTGGGAGGCCGAGGCAGGTGGATCACCTGAGGTCGGGAGTTCGAAACCAGCCTGACCAACATGGAGAAACTTTGTGTCCACTAAAAATACAAAAAATTAGCCGGGCATGGTGGTGCGTGCCTGCAATCCCAGCTACTCGGGAGGCTGAGGCAGGAGAATCGCTTGAACCCGGGAGGGAGAGGTATCCGTGAGCCAAGATCGCACCACTGCACTCCAGCCTGGGTAACAAGAGCAGAACTCCGTCTCAAAAAAAAAAAGAAAAGGAAAAAAAGAAAGAAATCTCATCCTTTTACGCAGCAAAGTGGAGACAGCCCTTTCCTTTCGTTTTCTGAAACTAAACAAGGACTCATTTTGACTGGAGGTGTAGGCTTTGCAATTTGGAGTGAGGTGACAGATTAAATTAAGCTCTTCTCCTCTGTGGACCCCGGGGGATGAGGCTTTTTTTCCTCCCCCTTGGGGATCACATTTCAAAGAGATTCCTCCCAGACACTGCAGGAAACATTCTTGAGCTATGGTGCCGCTTTCTTTAAAAGATTTACACACATTTGAAAAAGGCCGACAAAGAACTTGCAGCTACCAGTTTGCTGGGGAGGGGGGCGGGGCGGAAAGTGGGAAAATATCCCTCTCCTCATTTTTCAACAAGAGAAAATGTAAGCCTCCGATTTTTTTTTTTTTTTTTTTTTTGAGACCGAGTTTTGCTCTTGTTGCCCAGGCTGGAGGGCAGTGGCGCGATCTCGGCTCACTGCAACCTCCACCTCCCGGGTTCAAACGATTCTCCTGCCTCAGTCTCCCGAGTAGCTGGAATTACAGGCGCCCACCACCACGCCCAGCTAATTTTGTGCTTTTTAGTAGAGATAGGGTTTCACCATGTTGGCCAGGATGGTCTCGAACTCCTGACCTCAACTGATACACCCCCTTCGGCCTCCCAAAGTGCTGGGATTACAGGCATGAGCCACTGCGCCAGGCCAGCCTCTGAAGTTTTAGTGTATCTGCCCTTGATGGGGGAAAATAATGAAAAAATCCTTTTGGATGTGGGATTGTTTTTAGTGAAAACCAACATTTAAAACAGCAAAGCAGACTGGGCACGGTGGCTCACGCCTGTAATCCCAACACTTTGGGAGGCCGAGGCGGGCGGGTCACGAGGTCAGGAGTTCGAGACCAGCCTGGCCAACATGGTGAAACCCCGTCTCTACTAAAAATACAAAAAAAAAAATTAGCCGGGCGTGGTGGCAGGTGCCTATAACCCCAGCTACTTGGGAGGCCAAGGCAGGAGAATCGCTTGAACCCAGGAGGTGGAGGTTGCAGTGAGCCGAGATCTTGCCTTTGCACTCCAGCCCAGGCGACAGTGCGAGACTCCATCTCAAAAAAAAAAAAAGCGGCAAAGCACTAAAGTTGGGGCGGGGGGTTGCTTTTTCCCCATTCATGGTCACCCCAGCCCTGACTGCCTCTGACAGGTGCAATCTTGGAGCGAAGGAAGCCGGGTTACATCAGCTGCCCCATGCTGCCACCTGCTGGCAGGCACCGGTTCTCGCTCTTCCGGAATGGTCCACATGTTGCCATGGCCCCAAGAGGGTTTCCCTGAAGAACTGGGCTGTCCAGATCTAACGTATGTTTGCAAAGAGCATTCAAGCCCAGGCGGGCTACATGCATGAGCCTGAGCCACTTTAGGGGTGGTCACAGTGCTTATAATTTTTTTAGGGGGTGGAGAATCTATATACTCACAGAGGGATGCCCCTTGACTTACAGTGGGGTTACCTCCCCACAAGTCTATCATGGGTCCACATACCTTAACTTAAAAATGCATTTAGTATCTTGATACACTGATCGTAACGCTGAAAAGTTGTAAATCCAACCACTGTAAGCTGGAAACCGTCTGTATATATGAACGTATACACACGCTTTTATTTTACTTATTTATTTATTTTGAGATGGACTCTCGCTCTGTCGACCAGGCTGGAGTGCAGTGGCGCGATCTCGGCTCACTGCAACCTCTGCCTCCCGGGTTCACGACATTCTCCTGCCTCAGCCTCCCTAGTAGCTGGGGCTACAGGCGCCCGCCTCCATGCCTGGCCAATTTTTTGTATTTTTAGTAGAGATGGGGTTTCACCATGTTAGCCAGGATGGTCTCCATCTCCTGACCTTGTGATCCACCTGCCTCAGCCTCCCAAAGTGCTGGGATTACAGGCGTGAGCCACTGCGCCCAGCCAGATGTCCACATCCTAATCCCCATGTGGTAGACAGAATAATGGCCCCAAAGATGTCCACATCCTAATCCCATGTGGGAGACAGAAAATGGCCCCCAAAGATGTCTACATTGCAATCCCATGTGGTAGAAGGAGTAATGGCCCCCAAAGATGTCCACATCCTAATCCCCACGTGGTGGACAGAATAATGACCCTAAAAATGTTATCAACACCCAAATCCCCATGTGATAGACAGAATAATGGCCCCAAAGATTTATACATCCCACTCCCCATATGGTAGAGGAATAATATCCCCCAAAGCTGTCCACATCCCAGTCTCTAGAACCTGTGAATATGTGACCTCACCTGGAAAAACACACTTGGCAACTGTGGTTTAATTAGTGATCCTAAGAGGGGGGCTGTCCTGGATTCTCTGGGTTGGCCATCTGTCATCAGAAGGCTCCTTATGAGAGGGAGGCAAGAGGATCAAAGTTATAGAAGAGGTGACAATGGAAGCAGAGCCCGGAGTGATGTGGGTGTGGGTTTTGCAAGTGGAGGAAGGGACCATGAGCCAAGGAAAGCAGGCAGCTTCTGGAAGCTGGCAAGGCAAGAAAATGCATTCACCTCCAAAGCCTCTAGAATAAAGCAGTCCTGCCAACACTTTTATGTTAGCCTAGGGAAACTGACTTCAGCCTTCTGTTCTTCATAACTGCAAGACAGTTAATTTGTGTTGTTTTCAGCTACCACATTTGTGATAACTTGTTACAGCAGCTACAGGTCACTAATAGCTACAGGTCACTACCCAGCCAAATACAACCACCCAATGAAACTGTCTGCAAGAAGAAAAAGCAGTGACAAATGCTCACGTTTTTTCTTCTTTTTACGACTTAGAGCATTAGATAGATAGAAAATCAGAAAGGGGAAAGAAAGAAAGAAAGGAAGAAAAGAAAGAAAGGAAAGAAAGGAAGAAAGAAAGAAAGAGAGAAATGAAAGGGAAGAAAGGAAGAAAAAGAAGAAAGAGGTAAAGGAGGAAAGAGAAACAAGGAAAGAAAGGAGAGAACAAAAGAGAGAAGAAAGAAGAAAGAAAGAAAGAAGAAAGAGAAAGAAAGAAAGAAAAAGAAAGAAAGAAAGAAAGAAAGAGTGAATCTGGGCGTGATGGCTCATGCCTGTATTCCCAGCACTTTGGGAGGCTGAGGCAGGTGGATCACGAGGTCAGGAGATTGAGACCATCCTGGCTAACATGGTGAAACCCCGTCTCTACTAAAAATGCAAAAAATTAGCCGGGCATGGTGGCAGGTGCCTGTAGTCCCAGCTACTCAGGAGGCTGAGACAGGAGAAAGGCGTGAACCTGGGAGGCGGAGCTTGCAGTGAGCCGAGATCACACCACTGCACTCCAGCTTGGGAGACAGCGAGACTCTGTTAAAAAAAAAAAAAAAGAAAGAAAGAAAGAAAGAGAGAGAGAAAGAAAGAGGGAAGGAAGGAAGGAAGGGAGGAAGGAAGGAGAGGAAGAAATAGGAGGAAAAAATAGATTTTGGTACATTATGTCCTCAATTAACTCACCAGGACTTGGAATTTAAGGACAAAAGGGAAAAAAAATCCCAAATATATACACCTTCCCACTCCCAGTAACCCCAGCCCAGTGGCATAAGTGACAAAAAACTTTGGGTGGGTGGGAAGGAATTAGCATCTGTCTGAATGCTCTGCCTCAGGAAAGAGAAGCTGGGGTCTCCTCCCAGACAAGAGAAAGAAATCCCAGAAAACCACTCATAAAGATTGAGGGGAGCCTACAAGAAGACAAGAGGAGCTGTCTTTCTCTGCTAAGTTTCTGGTTAGGAAGAAAACTCCCTGTGCCTACTTGACCTGGGGCAAAGAGGGTCCAATGGGGAGTGATGGTATAATGGGCACCTTCTAGAACCCCCTGGCTCCTGAACTTGGAAGAGGAGCCCATGAGGTTCTCATGGTGAATGGAGAGGCAGGACAGTGGTGCTGATGAGGTGGCTCCCAGCCAAGCACAAGGCATGCCCACCCCAGAAATTCTAATGGAGACTCCTTGGCTGTCTCTAAGAGGATCTCTGAATACAAAGGAAGACAGGATGGCAATGAACAATGCCCACCATAGCCATGTCTACCACATGGATGGGGACTTGGAAAACCAGCCAGGCTCCAGCATCAAAAGGGTCAGCCTGGACAGAGACCATTGCCCACCTCCAACCCCTTCAGTAGGGATGGAAGACCCTGCCTGCTCTGGTCCTCCTCTCTGCCCAGAAGGGGAGGCAGTTCCCAAGTCAGACCCTAGCCCTTCCTCCATGGAGCAGCCATCAGGGAGGAATGTCTCAGCACTCACCATGCAGGAAAGTCAGGATCTTAGTTTTAAAAACTGAAGTTTTCTTTAAAGCTGATAGGGGCTTGGGGCTGGGTGCAGTGGCTCACGCCTGTAATCCCAGCACTTTGGGAGGCTGAGGTGGGCAGATCATGAGGTCAGGAGATCGAGACCACAATGAAACCCTGTCTCTACTAAAAATACAAAAAAATTAGCCAGGCGTGGTGGTGGGCACCTGTAGTCCCAGCTACTTGGGAGGCTGAGGCAGGAGAATGGCATGAACCCAAAGGTGGAGCTTGCAGTGACCCGAGATCATGCCACTGCACTCCAGCCTGGGTGACAGAGCGAGATTCTGTCTCAAAAAAAAAAAACACAAAAAAAACCTGATGGGGCTTGGGAACTCCATTCGATCAGATAATTATGGTAATTAATAAAGTTCTGTTACTTGGGTGAAGAAAATTTGACAGGGCATTGATGGGGCAAGAATTAGAAAGATCAAATAGGCCAGGTGCAGTGACTCATGCCAGTAATTCCAGCATTTTGGGAGGCTGAGGCAGGAGACTCACTTGAGACCAGGAGTTTGAGAACAGCCTGGGCAACATAGCAAGATCCTGTCTCTAAAAAAAAAAAAAAAAAAAATCGATTAGTTGAGCCTGTAGTCCCAGCTACTAGGGAGGCTGAGGCAGGAGAATCGCTTGAGCCCATGAGTTGGAGGCTGCAGTGAGCTATCACTGTACCACTGTACTCCAGCCTGGGAAACAGAGCAAGACTTCATCTCTGAAAAATAAATAAGAAGATAAAATCTTCATTCCTTATTAAATAAGCGTTCCCCTATAATTAGTTGCCTGTGCATCACTGAATACCCAGGAAAAGGTCCTATTTGCAGCAGGGCACACAGGGCACTCTGAGGGACTGGACTCCACTACTCTTGGCATGAATAAGGCCTCCATGGACTTGTGGTGAATGCATGTTCTCGGGGATGACCACCAGCTGCAACTCCCAGCAACTGACATAAGCATGTTTTTCGAAAGAGTTCATTTCCAAACTTCAGCTTGAACATTTTGAAATTAGACCGTTTAGTTTATGAGAACTCCTCAACAGAGAATTAAGATGTCCCTGAGTCTCTTTTCTTCCTGTTTAATCTAATTTTAAAAGGTGTCATGCAACTCTGCAAATATTCCCAAATCACACTCTCTGTGAAAGATGCCTTTTAAACAGATTAGACATTGCAAAAAGAAGCAGATTCTCTTGTGCTTTTTCAAACTTAAAATTTGAAATGTGCACACCATTCCTTACCTTTCTTGTAGATGAGTTTGTTAGGACCACCTAACATGGTGAAACCGTGTCTTTACTAAAAATACAAAAAATTAGCTGGGTGTGGTGGCGGGCACCTGTAGTCCCAGCTACTCAGGAGGCTGAGGCAGAATGGCGTGAACCTGGGAGGTGGCGCTTGCAGCGAGCCGAGATCATGCCACTGCACTCCAGCCTGGGCAACAGAGCAAGACTCCATCTCAAAATAATAATAATAATAATAATAATAATAATAATAATAATAATAAACTTGCCCAGTGCTGCAAACTAGAATTCTGAGATCAAGATGTTGCAGAGCTACATTCCCTCCAGAGGCTCTAGGGGAGGACTCTTCCTGCCTCTCCCAGTTCCTGGGGGCTCCAGGTGTCCCTGGGCTTGTGGCCGCATCACTCTAGTCTCTGCCTCTGTCTCCATGTGGCCTTCTCACCTGTGTCTGTGTCCTCATGTGGCATTCTCCCCTCTCTTCTGTGCGTTTCTGTGTCTCTTGTTTTCTTATAAGCACATCAGTCATATTGGATTTAGCGCTCATCCTAATGACCTCATCTGAACTTGATTTCATCAGCAAAGATCTTACTTCTAAATAAGATACCATTCACAGGTTCCAGGGGCCACAGCCTGGACATATCTTTTGGGGAACAGAATTCAACCCACAACAACTTGCTTTGACGATTATTCCATTTTGTTTTGTTTTCTCATCTTTTTAGTTGAAAAAAACAATGTTTAGACTGAGAGTAAAGAAAGTACCAAAATAATCTAAAATGTACACTAGAGGAAAACAAGAAGTAGAAAACCTTGTTGACATTGCGGAAGAGGTCCAGGGAGAAATGGGTATGAGATTGGTAGGAGGGAAATATTTTCCTCTTCTGTAGCATCTGCTGATTTCTCTGTATCCACAGATGTGGCGTGATCTAATCTGGCGGCAAATGCCCGCACTCTCATGGTGGCTACATGAAGAGATTTGAGTACAGATCCATACAGGAGAGACAGATGGGACTGTCTGAGGCAGAGAGAGAGAGACAGAAAGCCTCACCTTTCTCACGGTTGAAATGGCATCACTAATAAGTCACAGAGCTGTGCAAGGCAGCCTGAAAGGAGAACCTCATATTTCATAGACACCTATAGTTGCTACATCCATCACTGGTGCCAAAGTTCTGTTCAGGGTGAAGCTTCTAACAGACACCCCTCAAGGTGAACACTGGAGTCCCACTTTACAGCATGAAGAGGACCAAAACTTTGCTTACAGTCAATATCAAAGCTGAGCTCACACCCCCATCAGCGTGGTCCTCAGTAAAGCCTGGGAAATAATCTACAAAGTAGAAGCAGTCCAACCCTGTCCACAGAAGCCTCCAGTCACTTATCATGTGAACACCAAGAACAAGAAGCCACTGGAGGTACATGTCTTTATTATTATGTCTTGTGTGCTTTGACGTTAGTTCCAGGTCACAAGAAACAGTTATTTCCTGGCTAAAATGGCATCATAAATGGCTCCTGTTTTCTTAAACTGGAAGTCTCTGAAGCCAGCAGAAGAGAGGAGCATGTGGTAGTGGGTGGGGGTCCTCTCCTGCCCTTCCGTCTGCACAAGCATGTTCAGAGAGTAGAGCTGCGTGAGCAGAGGACCTCGCCTGTCTTCATCCAGGAGGCTTTCAATTACCAGAATGCCACCACCTAGAAAGGGAGGGGCACAGTCCACATCACACACAAACACACAGACAGACTGTGCCAAAGTCCCAGTGAACCATAAGGACAGCCAGACCTCAGAGGACAGTCAGGGCACCGTCCCCATCACACACTCAGAGGCTGTGCCCACGTCCTCATCGATCATCAGGATGGGTGAACCTCACAGGACGCTGGGACACTGTCCCCATCACACACATAGAGGCTGTGCCCATGTCCTCATGAACCATCAGGATGGATGGACCTCACAGGAGAACTGGGACACCGTCCCCATCACACACACACAGAGGCTGTGCCCACATCCTCATGGGCCATCAGGATCGATGGACCTCTCAGGACACTGGGACACTGTCCTCATTACACACAGAGGCTGAGCCCACGTCCTCATGAACCATCAGGATGGGTGGACCTCACAGGACACTGGGACACTGTCCCCATTATACACACAGAGGTTGTGCCCATGTCCTCATGGACCATCAGGATGTATGGACCTCACAGGACACTGGGACACTGTCCCCATCACACACACAGAGGCTGTGCCCAAGTCCTCATGAACCATCAAGATGGGTGGACCTCACAGGAGAGCTGGAACACTGTCCTTATCACACACAGAGAGGCTGTGCCCATGTCCTCATGGACCATCAGGATGGGTGGACCTCACAGGAGAACTGGGACACCGTCCCCATCACACACACACACACAGAGGCTGTGCCCACATCCTCATGGGCCATCAGGATGGATGGACCTCACAGGACACTGGGATGCTATCCCCATTACACACAGAGGCTGTGCCCACGTCCTCATGAACCATCGGATGGGTGGACCTCACAGACACTGGGACACTGTCCCCATCACACACAAAGAGGTTGTGCCCACATCCTCATGGACCATCAGGATGGGTGGACCTCACAGGACACTGGGACACTGTCCCCATCACACACATAGAGGCCATGCCCAAGTCCTCATGAACCATCAAGATGGGTGGACCTCACAGGAGAGCTGGAACACTGTCCTTATCACACACAGAGAGGCTGTGTCCATGTACTCATGGACCACCAGGATGGGTGGACCTCACAGGAGAACTGGGACACTGTCCCCATCTCACACAGAGAGGCTGTGTCCATGTACTCATGGACCACCAGGATGGGTGGACCTCACAGGACACTGGGACACTGTCCCCATCACACACACAGAGGCTGTGCCCACATCCTCATGAACCATCAGGATGGGTGGACCTCACAGGAGAACTGGGACACTGTCCCCAACACACACACAGAGGCTGTGCTCACGTCCCCATGAACCATCAGGATGGATGGACCTCACAGGAGAGCTGGGACACTGTCCCCATCACACACAGAGCGGCTGTGTCCACATCCTCATGGACCATCAGGATAGGTGGACCTCACAGGACACTGGGACATGGTCCCTATCACACACACAGAGGCTGTGTCCACATCCTAATGGATCATCAGGATGGGTGGACCTCACAGGAGAGCTGGGACATGGTCCCTATCTCACACACAGAGGCTGTGCCCACATCCTCATGAACCATCAGGAGGGATGGATCTCACAGGACACTGGGACACTGTCCCCATCACACACACAGAGGCTGTGTCCACATCCTCATGGATCATCAGGATGGGTGGACCTCACAGGAGAGCTGGGACATGGTCCCTATCTCACACACAGAGGCTGTGCCCACATCCTCATGAACCATCAGGAGGGATGGACCTCACAGGACACTGGGACACTGTCCCCATCACACACACAGAGGCTGTGTCCACATCCTCATGGATCATCAGGATGGGTGGACCTCACAGGAGAGCTGGGACATGGTCCCTATCTCACACACAGAGGCTGTGCCCACATCCTCATGTGCCATCAGGATGGATGGATCTCACAGGACACTGGGACACTGTCCCCATCACACACACAGAGGCTGTGTCCACATCCTCATGGATCATCAGGATGGGTGGACCTCACAGGAGAGCTGGGACATGGTCCCTATCTCACACACAGAGGCTGTGCCCACATCCTCATGAACCATCAGGAGGGATGGATCTCACAGGACACTGGGACACTGTCCCCATCACACACACAGAGGCTGTGTCCACATCCTCATGGATCATCAGGATGGATGGACCTCACAGGAGAGCTGGGACATGGTCCCTATCTCACACACAGAGGCTGTGCCCACATCCTCATGTGCCATCAGGATGGATGGATCTCACAGGACACTGGGACACTGTCCCCATCATACACAGAGGCTGTGCCCACGTCCTCATGAAGCATCAGGATGGGTGGACCTCACAGGAGAGCTGGGACATGGTCCCTATCTCACACACAGAGGCTGTGCCCACATCCTCATGAACCATCAGGAGGGATGGATCTCACAGGACACTGGGACACTGTCCCCATCACACACACAGAGGCTGTGTCCACATCCTCATGGATCATCAGGATGGGTGGACCTCACAGGAGAGCTGGGACATGGTCCCTATCTCACACACAGAGGCTGTGCCCACATCCTCATGAACCATCAGGAGGGATGGACCTCACAGGACACTGGGACACTGTCCCCATCACACACACAGAGGCTGTGTCCACATCCTCATGGATCATCAGGATGGGTGGACCTCACAGGAGAGCTGGGACATGGTCCCTATCTCACACACAGAGGCTGTGCCCACATCCTCATGTGCCATCAGGATGGATGGATCTCACAGGACACTGGGACACTGTCCCCATCACACACACAGAGGCTGTGTCCACATCCTCATGGATCATCAGGATGGGTGGACCTCACAGGAGAGCTGGGACATGGTCCCTATCTCACACACAGAGGCTGTGCCCACATCCTCATGAACCATCAGGAGGGATGGATCTCACAGGACACTGGGACACTGTCCCCATCACACACACAGAGGCTGTGTCCACATCCTCATGGATCATCAGGATGGATGGACCTCACAGGAGAGCTGGGACATGGTCCCTATCTCACACACAGAGGCTGTGCCCACATCCTCATGTGCCATCAGGATGGATGGATCTCACAGGACACTGGGACACTGTCCCCATCACACACACAGAGGCTGTGTCCACATCCTCATGGATCATCAGGATGGGTGGACCTCACAGGAGAGCTGGGACATGGTCCCTATCTCACACACAGAGGCTGTGCCCACATCCTCATGAACCATCAGGAGGGATGGATCTCACAGGACACTGGGACACTGTCCCCATCACACACACAGAGGCTGTGTCCACATCCTCATGTGCCATCAGGATGGATGGACCTCACAGGACACTGGGACACTGTCCCCATCATACACAGAGGCTGTGCCCACGTCCTCGTGAAGCATCAGGATGGGTGGACCTCACAGGAGAGCTGGGACACAGTCCTTATCTCACACACAGAGGCTGTGCCCACATCCTCATGTGCCATCAGGATGGATGGACCTCACAGGAGAGCTGGGACATGGTCCCTATCTCACACACAGAGGCTGTGCCCACATCCTCATGAACCATCAGGATGGATGGATCTCACAGGACACTGGGACACTGTCCCCATCACACACACAGAGGCTGTGTCCACATCCTCATGGATCATCAGGATGGGTGGACCTCACAGGAGAGCTGGGACATGGTCCCTATCTCACACACAGAGGCTGTGCCCACATCCTCATGAACCATCAGGAGGGATGGATCTCACAGGACACTGGGACACTGTCCCCATCACACACACAGAGGCTGTGTCCACATCCTCATGGATCATCAGGATGGATGGACCTCACAGGAGAGCTGGGACATGGTCCCTATCTCACACACAGAGGCTGTGCCCACATCCTCATGTGCCATCAGGATGGATGGATCTCACAGGACACTGGGACACTGTCCCCATCACACACACAGAGGCTGTGTCCACATCCTCATGGATCATCAGGATGGGTGGACCTCACAGGAGAGCTGGGACATGGTCCCTATCTCACACACAGAGGCTGTGCCCACATCCTCATGAACCATCAGGAGGGATGGATCTCACAGGACACTGGGACACTGTCCCCATCACACACACAGAGGCTGTGTCCACATCCTCATGTGCCATCAGGATGGATGGACCTCACAGGACACTGGGACACTGTCCCCATCATACACAGAGGCTGTGCCCACGTCCTCGTGAAGCATCAGGATGGGTGGACCTCACAGGAGAGCTGGGACATGGTCCCTATCTCACACACAGAGGCTGTGCCCACATCCTCATGTGCCATCAGGATGGATGGACCTCACAGGAGAGCTGGGACATGGTCCCTATCTCACACACAGAGGCTGTGCCCACATCCTCATGAACCATCAGGAGGGATGGATCTCACAGGACACTGGGACACTGTCCCCATCACACACACAGAGGCTGTGTCCACATCCTCATGGATCATCAGGATGGATGGACCTCACAGGAGAGCTGGGACATGGTCCCTATCTCACACACAGAGGCTGTGCCCACATCCTCATGAACCATCAGGAGGGATGGATCTCACAGGACACTGGGACACTGTCCCCATCACACACACAGAGGCTGTGTCCACATCCTCATGGATCATCAGGATGGATGGACCTCACAGGAGAGCTGGGACATGGTCCCTATCTCACACACAGAGGCTGTGCCCACATCCTCATGTGCCATCAGGATGGATGGACCTCACAGGAGAGCTGGGACATGGTCCCTATCTCACACACAGAGGCTGTGCCCACATCCTCATGAACCATCAGGAGGGATGGATCTCACAGGACACTGGGACACTGTCCCCATCACACACACAGAGGCTGTGTCCACATCCTCATGGATCATCAGGATGGATGGACCTCACAGGAGAGCTGGGACATGGTCCCTATCTCACACACAGAGGCTGTGCCCACATCCTCATGTGCCATCAGGATGGATGGACCTCACAGGAGAGCTGGGACATGGTCCCTATCTCACACACAGAGGCTGTGCCCACATCCTCATGAACCATCAGGAGGGATGGATCTCACAGGACACTGGGACACTGTCCCCATCACACACACAGAGGCTGTGTCCACATCCTCATGGATCATCAGGATGGATGGACCTCACAGGAGAGCTGGGACATGGTCCCTATCTCACACACAGAGGCTGTGCCCACATCCTCATGAACCATCAGGAGGGATGGATCTCACAGGACACTGGGACACTGTCCCCATCACACACACAGAGGCTGTGTCCACATCCTCATGGATCATCAGGATGGATGGACCTCACAGGAGAGCTGGGACATGGTCCCTATCTCACACACAGAGGCTGTGCCCACATCCTCATGTGCCATCAGGATGGGTGGACCTCACAGGACACTGGGACACTGTCCCCATCATACACAGAGGCTGTGCCCACGTCCTCGTGAAGCATCAGGAGGGATGGATCTCACAGGACACTGGGACACTGTCCCCATCATACACAGAGGCTGTGCCCACATCCTCATGAACCATCAGGAGGGATGGATCTCACAGGACACTGGGACACTGTCCCCATCACACACACAGAGGCTGTGTCCACATCCTCATGTGCCATCAGGATGGATGGACCTCACAGGACACTGGGACACTGTCCCCATCATACACAGAGGCTGTGCCCACGTCCTCGTGAAGCATCAGGATGGGTGGACCTCACAGGAGAGCTGGGACACAGTCCTTATCTCACACACAGAGGCTGTGCCCACATCCTCATGTGCCATCAGGATGGATGGACCTCACAGGAGAGCTGGGACACTGTCCCCATCACACACAGAGGCTGTGCCCACATCCTCATGTGCCATCAGGATGGATGGACCTCACAGGAGAGCTGGGACACTGTCCCCATCACACACAGAGGCTGTGCCCACATCCTCATGAACCATCAGGATGGGTGGACCTCAGAAGTCAGTGGGGCACTGTCCTCATCACACACACAAATACTAGCCTAATTCTGAAAGAATTTCACCAAAGTGAGGCCACTGAAGTTTCAGAGGGCCTTTCACTTTTTCCATCTTTATGTGGTTTTATCAATAGAATAGAAATTAGGACCCTATTTATTTCAGGTCGTTATCTAAAAGGAAAGCCATATTGGGCAGGATGTCTACCCTTACCTGTGGGATGATTTCAGTGCCTGCCTTCTAAATGTGACTCGTACAATTCTGCCCCGTGTCACAAGCACACGCTGAAATGCAAACCCCACAACTTACCTGGCTTGCAAGTGTGGTAGATCCTCTCCAGCAGGTGTGAGCACTTTCCGTCTGCCCAGTCATGGAGGACCCTGGCCAGGATGTACAGATCAGCTTCCGGAAGAGGGTCTTTGAAGAAATCCCCTGGAACACAGGGCAGGCACACCGAGGTCAGCCTGCAATCCAATCCCATTTGACTAAACCTATTCTGGGCACAAAAGGTCACCTGGATGGGTCACGCCTTTCCCAGGTCTTCCAGGCTAGTCACCTGCAGACCTAGCCTCAGAAAACAAAAAGGCTTAGGAGAAAGATAAGAAAATACTGAGGTCGGGCGCGGTGGCTCACGCCTGTAATCCTAGCACTTTGGGAGGCGGAGGTGGGCAGATCACGAGGTCAGGAGATCAAGACCATCCTGGCTAACACGGTGAAACCCTGTCTCTACTAAAAATACAAAAAAAATTAGCCGGGCGTGATGGCGGGTGCCTGTGGTCCCAGCTACTCGGGAGGCTGAGGCAGGAGAATGGCATGAACCCGGGAGGCGGAGCTTGCAGTGAGCCGAGATTGCACCATTGCACTCCAGCCTGGGCGACAGCGAGACTGTCTCCAAAAAAAAAAAAAGAAAGAAAATACTGAATAAGTGTGGCCTCTTTCTCTCCTCCTCCTTTAAAAAAAAATCATAATATGGTTTCTTTTTTGTTTTTTTGTTTGTTTGTTTGTTTGAGATGGAGTTTTGCTCTTGTTGCCCAGGCTGGAGTGCAAGGGCCTGATCTCAGCTCACCGCAACCTCCACCTCCTGGTTTCAAGCGATTCTCCTGCCTCAGCCTCCTGAGTAGCTGGGATTACAGGCACCCGCCACCACGCCCGGCTAATTTTTGTATTTTTAGTAGAGATGGGATTTCTCCATGTTGCTGAGGCTGGTCTCGAACCCCCAACCTGAGGTGATCCGCCCGCCTCGGCCTCCCAAAGTGCTGGGATTACAGGCATGAGCTGCTGTGCCCGGCCCATGTTCTTTCTTTCTTTCTTTCTGATGTCCCCTGCAAAAGCACTGCTGCTGATATCACCCAAAGCCGTGGATTCCAGGAGTCCCTGGGAATTCGGTCAGCAGCTCCTAACTGATGAGCTGAACTGAACCTACAGTCAAGACCTGTTCTCCAGATTTAAAGTAAATACGCAAGACTGACCCTTTATGTGTGTGCGATGTGAAACGCTCAAGTCTTGTCATAGTTTTCCCGCAAAATGATAAGGTGCCAATCTTGGGAGAGATCTTGGTGAGCTCTGTGCAGTGAAGAGTTAATTCAGGCCAGGCGCGGTGGCTCACGCCTGTAATCCCAGCACTTTGGGAGTCTGAGCGGGGCAGATCACGAGATCAGGAGATTGAGACCATCCTGGCTAACACGGTGAAACCCCATCTCTACCAAAAATACAAAAAAAAAAAAAAAATTAGCTGGGCGTGGTGGTGGGCGCCTGTAGTCCCAGCTACTCGGGAGGCTGAGGCAGGAGAATGGTGTGAACCCGGGAGGTGGAGCTTGCAGTGAGCCGAGATCCCACCACTGCACTCCAGCCTGGGTGACAGAGCGAGACTCCATCTCAAAAAAAAAAAAAAAAGAGTTAACTCAGGCCAGGCGCGGTGGCTCACTCCTGTAATCCCCAGCACTTTGGGAGGCCGAGGCAGGTGGATCACGAGGTCAGGAATTCAAAACCAGCCTGGCCGAGATAGTGAAACCCTGTCTCTACTAAAAATACAAAAAATTAGCCAGGCATGGTGATAGGCACCTGTAAAATCTCAGCTACTTAGGAGGCTGAGGCAAAAAATTGCTTGAACCTGGGAGGCAGAGGTTGCAGTGAGCTTGGATCACGCCACTGCACTCCAGCCTGGGTGACAGAGTGAGACTCCGTCTCAAAAAAACAAGAAAAAAAAAGGGGGGGGGTTAACTCAGCAGGCCTGTGTTGTCCAAACCCTCCACATTCTAAAGAGAGGATTGGCACTTAATTGGCAACTGTAATCTCTAAGAATGTCCTACCTCACAAGGGTATCTTTGTTCAGCTGGGTCTCTGGGCCACCCAGGATAGTTTGTACTAACAGTGGGATTTACTATAGGATCACCTTGGGAACTCTGGAAGAGGTGAAGATTGGAGTCAGCCATGCAGGGTGTCTGCCATGTCTATGTAACCAGTCTCCAAGAAAATCCTTGGATGTCAGGGATTGCGGAGGCTCTCCAGGCTGGCAGTGAGTGGTGTGTGTTGTCAAACCTTGTTGTTGGGGGAATTGATTGCTGTCCACAGCTCCACTGGGAGAAGACAACAAGAAGCTCACATGTGGTTTCTCCCGAACTCTATCCCATGCTCCTTTCTCCTTCGCTGATATGCATCTGTATTCTTTCATTGTTGTAAATATAACTATGTGTATGATGGCTCTTCTGAGCTCGGTGTGTCCTTCTAGTGAATTATTGAACCTGAAGGTAGTCGTGGAGACCCTGGCCACACCCTTCACTGCAGAAATGATATGACTGGCTGGGTGCGGTGGCTCACGCCTGTAATCCCAGCACTTTGGGAGGCCGAGGCGGGTGGATCTCCTGAGGTCAGGAGTTTGAGACCAGCCTGGTCAACACGGTGAAACCCCATCTCTACTAAAAATACAAAAAGAGGCCGGGTGTGATGGTTCACACCTGTAATCCCAGCACTTTGGGAGGCCAAGGTGGGCGGATCACGCGGTCAGGAGATCGAGACCATCCTGGCTAACACAGTGAAACTCCACCTCTACTAAAAATATAAAAGATTAGCCAGGTGTGGTGGTGGGTGCCTGTAGTCCCAGCTACTTGGGAGGCTGAGGCAGGAGAATGGTGTGAACCCGGGAGGCGGAGCTTGAAGGGAGCCGAGATCTGTCACCACACTCCAGCCCGGGCAAGAGAGTGAGACTCCATCTCAAAAAAAAAAAAAAATTAGCTGGATGTGGTGGCGCATGCCTGTAATCCCAGCTACTTGGGAGGCTGAGGCAGGAGAATTGCTTGAACCCAGGAGGTGGAGGTTGCAGTGAGCCGAGACTGCACCACTGCACTCCAGCCTGGGCGACAAAGCAAGACTCTGTATCAATAATAATAATAATAATTGTAAGAAAACTGTATATCTACACCCAGCTTTCCATCCATCATGAATAACAGACAGTGTTGAGTTGAGGGTGTTTCCGGGAGTGAGAGGAAAACCACATCACATCTTCTTCATTTCCCAGAAACATCCAGTCCCCCTGGAGAAGCCGTGAGACACATCTCTGCTTCCCCACGGACACAAACACACCTTCCTGGAAGTCAATCTGTTCTTCCTCCTGGAATGAGAAGTGCTGCTTTGCCGTCCACACCACTTCTGGGATGTCAAAAACGGTGATCTTACATCCAGGGTACAGAGACATGCATTCCTTAGCCAGAGCTCCAGCCCCACCTGGAAGGGGACACAGCCCGTTTGACCCTCAGAGATGAACCTGAGAGACATCGCTCACCCTCCACACACCATGGACTCATGAAGGGTCCAACCCAGGAACTTGGGTCCTTCCGCCATGTCTGGTCTTTTTTTTCTTTTTATTATACTTTAAGTTCTAGGGTACATGTGCAGAACATGCGGTTTTGTTACATAGGTATCCATGTGCCATGGTGGTTTGCTGCACCCATCGACTCGTCATTTACATTAGGTATTTGTCCTAGTGCTCTCCCTCCCCCAGCCTCCCAGCCCCCCAGGCCCTGACAGGCCCCAGTGTGTGACGTTCCCCTCCCTGTGTCCATGTGGTCTCATTGTTCAGTTCCCACCTATGAGTGAGAACACGCGGTGTTTGGTTTTCTGTCCTTGCGATAGTTTGCTGAGAATGATGGTTTCCAGCTTTATCCATGTCCCTGCAAAGGACATGAACGCATCCTTTTATTTATTAATTTATTTATTTTTGAGACAGAGTCTGGCTCTGTCGCCCAGGCTGGAGTGCAGTGGCACGATTTCCGCTCACTGCAAGCTCTGCCTCCCGGGTTCACGCCATTCTCCTGCCTCAGCCTCCCCAGTAGCTGGGACTACAGGCGCCCGCCACCACGCCCAGCTAATTTTTTTATTGTATTTTTAGTAGAGACAGGGTTTCTCCGTGTTAGCCAGGATGGTCTCGATCTCCTGACCTCGTGATCCGCCCATCTCGGCCTCCCAAAGTGCTGGGATGACAGGCGTGAGCCACCGCGCCCGGCCGAACTCATCCTTTTTTATCCACCATGTCTAATCTTGACGGTGACGTGATTGTCTACAGGCCCCTGAGTTCAGGTGGTCTTTCTGGCTGGGCTGACCCAAGCTCCAAACTTCCATATGGCCACGCACTTAACTGTGTGTTCTTGAAGCCGGCGCACCTGTCCAGCCAAGGGCGGCCAACAGCTAAGAGAAGGATGTAATAACAAGCCCCATTCAGAGGCCCCGGTAAGTCGTGCACACAAAATCCATCATGGGCCACAGAGACTTCCAGCCCCATGCTCCTTGTCCATTATTTCTGTAGAAAGTCAGTCTTTTTATTTATTTTGAGATGGAGTCTCACTCTGTCACCAGGCTGGAGTGCAGTGGCGCGATCTCAGCTCACTGCAACCTTCACTTCCCGGGTACAAGCGATTCTCCTGCCTCAGCCTCCTGAGTACCTGGGATGACAGGCACCTACTGTCATGCCTGGCTAAGTTTTTGTATTTTTAGTAGAGACCGGGTTTCACCCCGTTGGTCAGGCTGGTCTCAAACTCCTGACCTTGGGATCCGCCCGCCTCAGCCTCCCAAAGTGCTGGGATTACAGGCATGAGCCACCGCACCCAGCCTTTTTTTGTATTTTTAGTAGAGACGGGATTTCACCATGTTGACCAGGCTGATCTCGAACTCCTGACCTCAGGAGATCCACCCGCCTCGGCCTCCCAAAGTGCTGGGATTACAGGAGTGAGCCACCGCGCCCGGTCTGCTTGTTCATTATTTTCTTCCCAAGCTGCTCCCCAGGCAGGGGGATCCTGAACTCTATCTATCCCTGCTCACAGTGACTAAAAGTAATAAACTTGGAGAAGCTCCTCACTCTGCAAAGGGCCTTCTACCAGCCAGGAGCTGTTCTGAGTGATCCACTGAGTCACAGGAGGGAGATAGGGTGGGTGGATCACGGCCTGGAGTGTGACAGCCCTATGGGGTAGAGGAGGTGCTTAAGGGGTGAGCTCGGGGTTGGGGATTTGTATTCAAAAAGCAAGCTCAGCCTGGGTGCAGTGGCTCATGCCTGTAATCCCATCACTCACTCTGGGAGGCCGAGGCAGGAGGACTGCATGAAACTGGAGTCTGAGACCAGCCAGGGCAACATAGGGAGACTCGTTCTCTACAAAAAAGTTTGAAAATGAGCTCGGCGCAGTGGCTCATGCCTGCAATCCTGGCACTTTGGGAGGCGGAGGCGGGTGGATCACGAGGTCAGGAGATCGAGACCATCCTGGCTAACACGGAGAAACCCCGTCTCTACTAAAAAAAAAAACAAAAAATTAGCTGGGCGTGGTGGCGGGCGCCTGTAGTCCCAGCTACTCAGGAGGCTGAGGCAGGAGAATGGCGTGAACCCGGGAGGCAGAGCTTGCAGTGAGTGGAGATTGCACCACTGCATTCCAGCCTGGGTGACAGAGCAAGACTCCATCTCAAAAAAAAAAATAAATAAATAAATACAAGTAAATAAATAAATAAATAAATAAATAAAACAAGCTCAGCTCAGCCTGGGTGTGGTGGCGGGCGCCTGTAATCCCAGCACTTTTGGAGGCTGAGGCAGCAGGATTGCATGAGCCCAGGAGTCTGAGACCAGCCAGGGCAACGTAGAGAGACTCAGGCTCTACAGAAAAGTTTTTAAATGAGCTAGGTGTGGCGGCAGTCATCTGTAATCCCAGCTACTTGGGAGGCTGAGGTGGGAGGACCACTTGAGCCTGAGAGTCTGAGGCTGCAGTGAGCTATCAACACACCATTGCACTCGAGCCTGGGTGACAAACAGGACCCTCTCTCAAAAACTAAAAACAAGACCGAGGCGGGTGGATCATGAGGTCAGGAGTTCGAGACCAGCCTGGCCAACATGGCAAAACCCCGTCTCTATTAAAAAATACAAAAATTAGCCTGACAGAGTGGTGCGCACCCATAATCCCACCTACTCGGGAGGCTGGGGCAGGAGAATCGCTTGAACCCAGGAGGCGGAGGTTGCGGTGAGCCGAGATCGTGCCACTGCACTCCAGCCTGGGCGACAGAGCGACACTTCATCTCAAAAAAAAAAAAAAAAAAAAAAATTAGCCTGGTGTGGTGGCAGGTGCCTGTAATCCCAGCTACTCGGGAGGCTGAGGCAGGAGAATCGCTTGAACCCAGGAGGCAAAGGTTGCAGTGAGCCGAGATCATGCCACTGCACTGCAGCCTGGGCGATGGAGCAAGCTTCCATCTTAAAAAAAGAAAAGAAAAAGAAACGTGTGCTCGCAGAGGAGATGTTTGCTGACTCTAGGAAGTGCCCAGTGCTGGGAGGAATGATTCCTCTAAGACCAGTAAGGCCGCACATGTCAAAGCATCAGAATGCAGAAAATAAAAGACATGAATAACACATTCCCCATACAGAACAGAAGCCACACCTCCGAGGTATTAGTGGTGAGGGGTACTTACCACCAAGGTCACACATAAGTGGGAACACTGACAGGTCAAAGGCGGTCAGCACGCTTCTCCCGTTGACGCTCCAGACCTCCTGCAGAGCTTGCATGAACTGTAGCCGCTCGCCCTCGGACCTGGCATGCAAAACCACGCTTGTCAAGATGGTGAGGATCTGGGGACGTGCCCAGAGCAAGGGTGTACATAACCCCCTGTTGAGAACGGAGCTATACCCCACAGGTGCACCTGGAAGGCTTGCATTTGTGAAATGGAACAGGAAGTCATTCGGGATGGGGGAACCATAGGTCAGCCAGCAAAGTGTACCCAGCTCCGGGAAACCTGGAGTTGATTCAGAACGGACGATTGTTCTCTGGATGGGAAGGGATTTCTATCTGAAGAGGAGTTTAGATGTTTTCTAAGAGGAAAGTCAATAATACGTTCCCCCATCCACAGAGCTCAGCCCCAGAGGACAAATCCAGGAAGCGGGTGGGAGGTCCACACATCCTGGGGAAGAGGCTAGAGAAAAGGCAGGAACTAGGAAGGGAGGCAGGTGAGATGGAGCCAAGAAGGATAGGTGGACACAGAGGCGGACAGGGCTCTGGTGTTGGAAGCATTTCCTGCTCCTCCCCCCCCACAGCTCCCTCTCTCCTCCTGTCCTCTCTGCAGAGCCTGCTGTAGGGGTTTGCCTCAGAGTAGCGAGGGCTGAAAAATTGCCTCTTAGGTACCACGGTCACTATTCAGGTGATGGGCACACTAAAAGCCTAGGCTGCAAGGTGCAACATGTAAGCATGGAAGACATGGGTACTTGTGCCCCCTAAACAGATACATATATTCACATACACATACACATGTATACACACATATATATATATATAAAGAAAGGAAAGAAGGAAGAAGGAAGAAAGAAAAAGAAAGAAAGGAGGGAGGGAGGGAAGGAAGGAAGGCAGGCAGAAGGAAAGAGGAAGGAACGAAGGAAGGAAGGAGAAAGAAGGAAAGAAAGAAGGAAAGAAAGAAAGAGAGAGAGAAAGAAAGAGAGAAACGGGGGAAAGGAAAGCAGACCGAGGAGAAGAGAGGAGGAGAAAAGGAGGTGAAATACGGGGCATGAAAACAGAGAAGATGAGAGAAAGAAGACGGGAGAGGAGAAGGAGAGAGGCAGGTGAAGGGAGGGGAAGGGAGGCGAGAGGAAAGGAGAGAGGGAAGAAGAGAGAGGAGACAAGAGAGGGAAGATGGGAGAGAGGAGGGGGAAGATGGAGAGGAAAAGAGAGGAGAGAAGAGAAGAGAAGGAAAAGGAGAGAAAGAGAGGAGGATGGAAGAGGAAAAGAGAGGGAACAGGACAGAAGGAGAAGAGAGGGGAGGGGAGAGCAGGGGAGGAGAGGAGAGGTTGGGGGGCAGGCGAACCACTCAGGCATCCCCTTGTCCTTCATACCCTTCCCTACTCCATGCCTCAGCCAGCTGGAACACTGGACGGGCCCATCAATTCACCTCCATCTGGGAATTCTAGGTAAGAGCTTCGGGCAAAGGCCAAAGCTGTGTCCACATCGCAAAGCAAAGTGAAGAGCTGAGGTCTCACCTGGCCTCACCTTCACCTCTGACCAAATCAAAAACTGGGCCTCTATATTCTTTTCTTTTCTTTTTTGAGATGGAGTTTCACTCTTGTTGCCCAGGCTGGAGTGCAGTGGTGCGATCTCAGATCACCGCAACCTCCGCCTCCCGGGTTCAAGCAGTTCTCCTGCCTCAGCCTCCCGACTAGCTGGGATTACAGGCGTCCGCCACCACGCCCGGCTAATTTTTGTATTTTTAGTAGAGACGGGGTTTCACCCTGTTGGCCAGGCTGGTCTCGAACTCCTGACCTCAGGTGATCCACCTGCCTCGGCCTCCCAAAGTTCTGGGATGACAGGCGTGAGCCACCGCGCCCGGCGCGTGCCTCCATTTTCTACATAAACACTGAGTTTGTGAGTAGTCCTTTCGAAGGAAGGGTCACGTTGCACCTCCTCAGGAATTTGATCAATTTAAACATCAGATGAGCAAAATCTGGGGTAGTAGTGGGGATAGGGGATGTTATTTTAAATTAAATGGCAGCTTCCTCCTGGGTTGTGCCATTTGAGTAAATGGATTGGGTTTCCTAAGTCCTTTAAAAATAAACAGAATCTTATCTGAGTTGTTGGTTTCAAAGTGATGGGTGTTACCTGTAGATGGCCGTAAAAAGCTCTTCAGCGGGAACGCCAAACGTCTCCAGGTACTGGTTCCTTCCTTCTCTAAGAAAAGAGAGAGAAGGCTGATTTTCATTTCATTTCATTTCATTTCATTTCATTTCATTTCATTTCGTTTCATTTCGTTTCATTTCATTTCAGCTCTGTAGCCCAGGCTGGAGTGCAATGGCACGATCTCGGCTCACTGCAACCTCTGCCTTCTGGGTTCACGCCATTCTCCTGCCTCAGCCTCCCGAGTAGCTGGGACTATAGGCGCCCGCCACCACGCCCAGCTAATTTTTGTATTTTTAGTGGAGACAGGTTTCACCATGTTGGTCAGGCTGGTCTCAAACTCGTGACCTCAGGTGATCCACCCGCCTCGGCCTCCCAAAGTGGTGGGGTTACAGGTGTGAGCCACCACACCTGGCCTTATTTTATTTTAGGAGATGGAGTCTCGCTGTGTCGCCCAGGCTGGAGTGCAATGGCACGATCTTGGCTCACTGTAATCTCCGCCTCCCGGGTTCAAGCGATTTTCCTACCTCAGCCTCCCGAGTAGCTGGGATTACAGGCACCTGCCACCGTGCCTGGCTAATTTTTGTACTTTTTAGTACAGATGGGGTTTCATCATGTTGGTCAGGCTGGTCTCGAACTCCTGACCTCAGGTGATCTGCCCGCCTTGGCCTCCCAAAGTGCTGGGATTACAGGCGTGAGCCACCGCACCTGGCCTTATTTTATTTTATGAGACGGAGTCTCGCTGTGTCGCCCAGGCTGGAGTGCAATGGCGCGATCTTGGCTCACTGCAATCTCCACCTCCTCGGTTCAAGCGATTCTCCTGCCTCAACCTCCCGAGTAGCTGGGATGACAGGCACCCGCCACCATGCCTGGCTCATTTTTGTATTTTTTAGTAGAGATGGGGTTTCACTATGTTGGTCAGGCTGGTCTCGAACTCGTGACCTCAGGTGATCCACCCGCCTCGGCCTCTCAAAGTGCTGGGATTACAGGCGTGAGCCACCGCGCCTGGCCAGCTGTTGCTTAATTGTTTAAACCTGAGGACTTAATTGTTACACGTGACCTTTTTCTTCCTTGCCCAAATTCTTATCTAAGGGGCCTAGGGAGTTATGCTCTATAACTATAAAGTCTCGTGAGATGGGTTTTATTTAACCCTATATTACGTGGCTCACTTTCCAACCTGACTCTGGCATAACAACCCATCACAGATAAAGAAGAAAATCAAAGGCTGGGCGTGGTGGCTCACACCTATAATCCTAACACTCTGGGAGGCCAAGACGGGGGCAGATAGCCTGAGCTCAGGAGTTGGAGACCAGCCTCAAAGACAGGGTGAAACCCCGTCTCTACTAAAACACAAACAATCAGCCAGGTGTGGTGGATGCCTATACTCCCAGCTACTGGGGAGGCTGAGGCAGGTGAATCACTTAAACCCAGGAGGCGGAGGTTGCAGTGAGTCGAGATCATACCACTGCACTCCAGCCTGGGCAACAAAACAAAACTCTGTCTCAAAAAAAAAAAAAAAAAAGGAAATAAAAATATTTTAGCCCCAAACATGTTCTCTTTACCATAGCTTGAAATACTCCTGTAAAGCTACCTGTTGTGGAGAAAATCTACGTTCTGGAGAGAATCACCTTCCTTTTCCTTCCTTTTTTCTGATCCAGGAGAGAACCAAGTCAGATAGGAAACAGTAACAGTCTATTCTTTCTGAAGCCTGCTACCTGGAGATTTCATCTACATAATAAGAATTTGGTCTCCACAACCCCCTATGTTAACCCAGACACCCCTATTTTTTTTTTTTTTTTTTTGAGATGGAGTCTCGCTCTGTCGCCCAGGCTGGAGTGCAGTGGTGCGATCTTGGCTCACTGCAACCTCCGCCTCCCGGGTTCACACCATTTTCCTGCCTCAGCCTCTCCGAGTAGCTGGGACTACAGGCGCCCGCCACCACGCCCGGCTAATTTTTTGTATTTTTAATAGAGACGGGGTTTCACCGTGTTAGCCAGGATGGTCTCGATCTCCTGACCTCGTGATCCGCCCGCCTCAGCCTCCCAAAGTGCTGGGATTACCGGCATGGGCTACTGCGTCCGGCCACCCAGACACTCCTTTCTATTGAGTCCAGGTCTTCTCTCTCTCTCTCTCTTTCTTTCCTTCCTTCTCTTTCTTTCTCTTACTTTCCATTATTTCCCTTCTTTCCCTCCCTCCCTCCCTCCCTCCCTCCCTTCCTTCCTTCCTTCTCCCCTCTCTCTCTCTTTCTGTTTCCTTCTTTCTGAGACAGAGTTTTTGCTCTGTTGCCCAGGCTGCAGTGCAGTGGCACAATCAGCTCATTGCAGCCTCTGCCTTCTGGGTTCAAGCAGTTCTCCCACCTTAGCCTCCTGAGTAGCTGGGACTACAGGTGCCTGCCACCATGTAGGCAGGCAGATCACGAGGTCAGGAGATGGAGACCATCCTGGCTAACATGGTGAAACCCCGTCTCTACCAAAAACACAAA
Organism: Homo sapiens; assembly: GCF_000001405.40. Lineage (NCBI taxonomy): Eukaryota > Metazoa > Chordata > Mammalia > Primates > Hominidae > Homo > Homo sapiens. Next base: position 1,625,274 of record NC_000023.11, on the reverse strand, counting down.
AAATTAGTCGGGTGTGGTGGCGGGTTCCTGTAGTCCCAGCTACTTGGGAGGCTGAGGCAGGAGAATGGCGTGAACCCGGGAGGCATAGCTTGCAATGAGCCGAGATGGCGCCACTGCGCTCCACCCTGGGTGACAGAGCAAGACTCCATCTCAAAAAAAAAAAAAAGAAAGAAAAGAAAAGAAAAAACAAAGAAAAAGAAACCTTCCCTTTCACCTCCTCCACTGCCACTTCACCAGCCCCTGGCGGTAGTCCTGAGACTTGGTCACTGCCTGGATGCAGCCCCCACCTCCCAGCATCTGCCTGGGGTCAGCCCCCACCTCCCAGCATCTGCCTGGGTGCAGCGCCCACCTCCCAGCATCTGCCTGGGGTCAGCCCCCACCTCCCAGCATCTGCCTGGGTGCAGCCCCCACCTCCCAGCATCTGCCTGGGTGCAGCCCCCACCTCCCAGCATCTGCCTGGGTGCAGCCCCCACCTCCCAGCATCTGCCTGGGGTCAGCCCCCACCTCCCAGCATCTGCCTGTGGTCAGCCACCACCTCCCAGCATCTGCCTGGGGTCAGCCCCCACCTCCCAGCATCTGCCTGTGGTCAGCCACCACCTCCCAGCATCTGCCTGGGGGCAGCCCCCACCTCCCAGCATCTGCCTGGGTGCAGCCACCACCTCCCAGCATCTGCCTGGGGGCAGCCCCCACCTCCCAGCATCTGCCTGGGTGCAGCCCCCACCTCCCAGCATCTGCCTGGGGTCAGCCCCCACCTCCCAGCATCTGCCTGGGGTCAGCCACCACCTCCCAGCATCTGCCTGGGGGCAGCCCCCACCTCCCAGCATCTGCCTGGGTGCAGCCACCACCTCCCAGCATCTGCCTGGGGGCAGCCCCCACCTCACGGCGTCTGCCAGGTGGCCCCAGCACCGGTAGCTGGTCCTGCCCATGTACTTCAGCATGCTGCATTGTGACGTCGGGCTGACCGTGGTCAGGTAGTCGCTGGACAGCTCTGTGTTTCGATAGAAAGCTGAAACACACACAAAAAAACAGGGAAAAAGCAGTGAGATTCCGAGTTCCTGCCGGCGGACGCTCCCCAGCTCGACAACATCGTGATTTCAACATGATTACAAGCCCATCTCTTCTTTAGAGATGGGGTCTTCCTCTTGCCTTGTACAGCTGGAGCCTTCTGTGGAAGGCGCAAAGGTGACCTGGGGCGGCTAGCACCCCCGTCGGGTTCGGTTTGTACAAATCCCCATCGGGAGTTTGGGTGCAGCAAGTACAAAGGCAGATGAGCCACGAGAGGAAACGTACGTTACATTCCACAGAATGTCTAAAATAACTTATTGAGGCCGGGCGTGGTGGCTCACACCTGTAATCTCAGCGCTTAGGGAGGCCGAGGCGGGTGGATCACCTGAGGTCAGGAGCTCGAGACCGGCCTGGCCAACGTGACGAAATCCTGTCTCTACTAAAAATAAGTGGCCCAGGCTGGTGGATCACCTGAGGTCAGGAGCTCGAGACCAGCCTGGCCAACGTGATGAAATCCTGTCTCTATTAAAAATACGTGGCCCAGGCTGGTCTCGAACTCCTGGGCTCAAGGAATCCCCCAGCCTGGGTCTCACACTCTGGCAGCTTTGACGTCCCCAGGGCAGAGGTCGGTAGCTGCCACAAAAACCACACGACCCCCAAACCTGCAAATACAGATGGAGTCTCGCTCTGTCGCCCAGACTGGAGTGCAGTGGCACGATCTCGGCTCACTGCAACCTCTGCCTCCCGGGTTCATGCCATTCTCCTGCCTCAGCCTCCTGAGTAGCTGGGATGACAGGTGCACGCCACCACACCCGGCTAATTTTTTGTATTTTTTTTAGTAGAGACGGGGTTTCACTGTGTGAGCCAGGATGGAGACTGTTTCACTTTTTACAGAACACGTGGGCTGCAGAGGGTGTCTATGTAAAATGCCTCCTTCAAAACGCCCGTGTCCTCACCTTTTCCTCCCCTCGTCTCCACTTTCAGCAGCTTCAGGGACACACAGATGTCCAGCAGGAGCTCTGTCCCATGGGCGCTGGCCCTCACACCTGCAGCCACTGCCGCCACGTCCAGGGGCCCTGGGGCCTCGGCGAGAAGGTCAAACACGCCCAGCTCGCAGGCGGCGAAGAGAACCTTGGAGCAGGAGCGGAAATAAAAGGTCAGGGCTCAGCCTCCTGGGAACCACAGTCTTAGAAACACCCCATACCATGGCAGGCTAGGGAGGAAAGCATTGTTTTATTTATATTCTTATTCATTTATTTATTTTTTTTTTTGAGACAGAGTCAAATGAGATTGCACCACTATGGAAAACAGTCATATTTATTTATTTATTTTTATTAATTAATTAATTTATTTATTTTGAGTTGAAGTCTCACTGTATCACCCAGGCTGGAGGGCAGTGGTGCGGTCTCGGCTCACTGCAACCTCTGCCTCCCGGCTTCACACCATTCTCCTGCCTCAGCCTCCCGAGTAGCTGGGATTACAGGCCTGTTCCACCATGCCTGTCTAATTTTTGTGTTTTTAGTAAAGATGGGGTTTCACCATGTTGGCCAGGCTGGTCTCGAACTTCTGACCTCGTGATCTGCCAGCCTCGGCCTCCCAAAGTGCTGGGATGACAGGCGTGAGCCATTGCGCCTGGCCCCACCCTGTTTTCCATAGCCGTGCAACCTCATTTAAAAATGTCTCCTGGCTGGGTGCTTTAACTCATACCTATAATCCCTGCGCTTTGGGAGGTGGGTGGATCACCTGAGGTCAGGAGTTTGAGACCAGCCTGGCCAACATGGTGAAACCCCATCTCTACTAAAAATACAAAAATTAGCCGGGCGTGGTGGCTCATGCCTGTAATCCCAACTACTTGGGAGGCTGAGGCAGGAGAATCGCTTGAACCTGCTAAGCGGAGGTTGCAGTGAGCCGAGATCTCACCACTGCACTCCAAGCCTGGGTGACAGAGTAAGACTCTGTCTCAAAAACAGAGACAGAGGACCGGGCGTGGTGGCTCACGCCTGTAATCCCAGCACTTTGGGAGGCCTAGGAGGGTAGATCACTTGAGGTCAGGGGTTCGAGACCAGCCTGGCCAACATGGTGAAACTCCGTCTCTACTAAAAATACAAAAATTAGCCAGGCATGGTGGTGCGCACCTGTATCCCAGCTACTCGGGAGGCTGAGGCAGGAGAATGGCGTAAACCCGGGAGGCAGAGGTTGCAGTGAGCCAAGATCGCATCACTGCACTCCAGCCTGGGCTGGACAGAGTGAGACTCCGTCTCAAAAAAAATAAATAGGCCGGGTGCGGTGGCTCACGCCTGTCATCCCAGCACTTTGGGAGGCCGAGGCAGGTGGAGCAACTGAGGTTGTGAGTTCGTGACCAGCCTGACCAACGTGCAGAAACCCCATCTCTACTAAAAATACAAAATTAGCCTGGTGTGGTGGTGCATGCCTGTAATCCCAGCTACTCGGGAGGCTGAGGCAGGAGAATCACTTGCACCCGGGAGGCAGAGGTTGTGGTGAGCCGAGATCGTGCCATTGCACTCCAGCCTGGGCAACAAGAGCGAAACTCCGTCTCAATAGATAAATAAATAAATACATATAAAAATAAAATAAAGCAGTAATCAGGTAATGCCTTCAAATAATACACAAACTATAAAAAATGAATAAATCAGCCAGGCGTGGTAGCTCACGCCTGTAATCCCAACATTCTGGGAGGCCGAGGTGGGCGGATCACCTGAGGTCAGGAGTTCAGGGCTAACCTGGCCAACATGGTGAAACCCCATCTCTACTAAAAGTATAAAAATTAGCTGGGCATGGTGGTGTGAGCCTGTAGTCCCAGCTACTGGGGAGGGTGAGGCAGGAGAATTGCTTGAATCCTGGAGGTGGAGATTGCAGTGAGCCAAGATCGCGCCACTGCACTCCAGCCTGGGCAACAGAGCGAGACTCCATCTCAAAAAAAAAATAAAACAAGAATAAATCATCCATGCATTTCTTTTCTTGCACACATCGTTTTGGATGGGTGCCAAGGCTCAGGCAACCTTAGTGACAGGAAGTCATAAACAAACCACAGGGAAAGATGGTTTCTTCAGGCCACGTGTCTTCCAGGATACTTACAGTTAGCTTTATTTCAACAGCATGGGGAAAGAAACACAGATTACACCTACCACTATCTTTTTGTTTGTTCTTTTTTTTGAGACGGAGTCTCGCTCTGTCACCCAGGCTGGAGTGCAGCGGTGCAATCTCGGCTCACGGCAACCTACGCCTCCCGCGTTCAAGTGATTCTCTTGCCCCAGCCTCCCGAGTAGCTGTGATTACAGGCACGTGCCACCACACCCGGCTAAATTTTTGTATTTTTTTTTTGGTATCTTTATTTGTTTATTATTATTATCATTATTTTTTTGAGACAGAGTCTCGCTCTGTCGCCAGGCTGGAGTGCAGTGGCACGATCACGCCTCACGGCAACCTCCACCTCCCAGGTTCAAGCCATTCTCCTGCCTCAGCCTCCCGACTAGCTGGGACTACAGGTGCCCGCCACCATGCCAGGCTAATTTTTTTGTATTTTTAGTAGAGGCGGGGTTTCACCATGGTCTCGATCTCCTGACCTCGTGATCTGCCTGCCTCGGTCTCCCAAAGTGTATTAGTTGTTTTTCTTATGAAGGTTGTAGTAAGATATATTCTATTCAAGTGGTATTAGCTTTTTTATTAAACTGTTATCAATTCCTGTTTGGTTAAGGTTGCATTGACTGTTTGTTTCAGTAAGTCTGCATAAAGTTTATTATTCTAAGCTTGTATTAGCTCCTTTTCTATTAAAGCTATATTAGGCCAGGTGCAGTGGCTCACACCTGTCATCCCAGCACTTTGGGAGGCCAAGGCAGGCAGATCACTTGAGGTCAAGAGTTCGACACCAGCCTGGCCAACATAGTGAAACCCCGTCTCTACTAAAAATACAAAAAGTAGGCATGGTGGTGCACGCCTGTAATCCCACCTATTCGGGAGGCTGAGGCAGGAGAATCGCCTGAACCCGGGAGGCGGAGGTTGCAGTGAGCTGAGATCATGCCACTGCCCTCCAGCCTGGGCAACAGAGTGAGACTAGGTCTCAAAAAAAAAAAAAAAAAAAAAAAGCTATATTAATTCTTGTTCTTTAATGTTGTATTAACCTTTTTCTTTTTTATTTATTTATTTATTTATTTATTTTGAGACGGAGTCTGGCTCTGTCACCCAGGCTGGAGTGCAGTGGTGCGATCTCGGCTCACAGCAAGCTCCGCCTCCCGGGTTCAAGGGATTCTCCTGCCTCAGTCTCCCGAGTAGCTGAAACTACAGGCGCCCACCACCACGCCCGGCTAATTTTTAAAATATTTTTAGTAGAGACGGGGTTTCACCGTGTTAGCCAGGATGGTCTCAATCTCCTGACCTCCTGATCCACCTTCCTCGGCCTCCCAAAGTGCTCAGATTACAGGCATGAGCCACCACGCCCGGCCCGTATTAACCTTTTTAAATTAGCGTTCTGTTTTGTTTTATTCATTAAAGTTGTATTCATTCCTTTTGGGGTTGTCTCAATTAATTGTTCTTTTAAGGGCATATATTAAATGTTACCTTCTTATGGCTGAGTTCACCCTTGGTCTATGAAAGGTGCATTAACTGTTTCTGTTAAGGGTACGCTAACTTTGATCTTTTTTTTTTTCTGCTCCCAAAGACTTTTTATTATTATTATTATTATTATTATTATTATTATTATTATACTTTAAGTTCTGGGGTACATGTGCAGAACGTGCAGGTTTGTTGCACAGGTATACATGTGCCATGGTGGTTTGCTGCACCTGTCAACCCGTCACCTACATTAGGTATTTGTCCTAGTGCTCTCCCTCCCCAGCCCCCACTTTTTTTTTTTTTTTTTGAGACAGGGTCCCGCTCTGCCCCCAAGGCTGGAGTGCAGTGGCGTGATCTCGGCTCACTGCAACCTCCACCTCCCGGGTTCACGCCATTCTCGTGCCTCAGCCTCCCAAGTAGCTGGTACTACAGGTGCCCGCCACCACGCCCAGGTAATTTTTGTATTTTTAGTAGAGATGGGATTTCACCATATTGGCCAGGCTGGTCTCGAACTCCTGACCTTGTGATCCGCCCGCCTCGGCCTCCCAAAGTGCTGGGATTACAGGCGTGAGCCACTGTGCCTGGCCAAGGGTATACTAAATGTTATCTTCTTAAGGCGATATTCACTCTTGGTCTATGAAAGCTGCATTAGCTAATTGTTTCTGTTAAGGGTGTACTAAGTTTGATCCTCTTAAGGTGGTATTAACTCTGCATTAACTCTGGTTCTGTGAAACTTCTGACAACTCCCATGACATGGTATCATGTGCCTTAAAGTGACTGCTCTTCCAAGATTTAGAACCCACCAGACCACCTCCCTGAACACCGCTGTGAACCAGCGACAGTCTTTGAATGAGCAGTCAATAGCCCCAGCAGGAGGCCTGCGGTCAAAGGAGGCAAAGGTAGCAAGTTACTGTTGTCTGGGACAGTAACAGAAATCCCACCTTTACTAAAAAATAGAAAAATTAGCCAGACATGTTGGCTCATGCCTATAATCCTAGCACTTTGGGAGGCTGAGGCAGGCAGATCACCCGAGGTCAGGAGTTCGAGACCAGCCTGGACAACATGATGAAACCCCGTCTCTACCAAAAATACAAAAAATTAGCTGGATGTCAGTGGCTCACGCCCGTCATCCTAGCACTTTGGGAGGCTGAGGCAGGCAGATTGCCCAAGGTCAGGAGTTCAAGACCAGCCTGGCCAACATGATGAAACCTCATCTCTACCAAAACTACAAAAAATTAGCCAGAGGCAGTAGCTCACACCTGTAATCCTAGCACTTTGGAAGGCCGAGGCAGGCAGATCGCCCGAGGTCAGGAGTTCGACACCAGCCTGGCCAACATGATGAAACCCCGTCTCTGCCAAAAATACAAAAATTAGCCGGGCGTGGTGGTGGACGCCTGAAATCCCAGCTACTCAGGAGGCTAAGGCAGGGGAATTGCTTGAACCTGGGAGGGAGAGGTTGCAGTGAGCTGAGATCATGCCACTGCACTCCAGCCTGGGCAACAACAGTGAAACTCCATATCAGAAAAATAAATAAAAATAAAAATAAAAATAAAAGTTAGCCAGGCTTGGTGGCAGGCACCTGTAATCCCAGGTACTCAGGAGGCTGAGGCAGGAGAATCGCTTGAACCCCGTAGGCGGAGGCCGCTCTGCGTATCAGTGGCTGGGGAATAGGTATTTTTAACCCTTGGGGGCCTAGAGGTAAAATTCACGGGCTCTACAAACCAGGAAGGAGAAGAGACTTCACTCTAATTTTCACTACCTCTTCCTAAGATGTGGTGTTCCCTTCAACCATGAGCGTACTGGCAAACCACAGCCATGATAGAAGAAAGTGTGGGGGCCAGGAGGATCACCTGAGGTTGGGAGTTCGAGACCAGCCTGACCAACATAGAGAAACCCCATCTCTACTAAAAATACAAAATTATCTGGGCGTGTTGGAACGCGCCTGTACTCCCAGCTACTCGGGAGGCTGAGGCAGGAGAATCGCTTGAACCCGGGAGGCAGAGGTTGCAGTGAGCCGAGATAGCGCCACTGCGCTCCAGCCTGGGCGACAAGAGGGAAACTCTGTCTGAAAAAAAAAAAGGAAAAAAACAAACAAAAAAAACCGGTGGCTTGCTGACGGAGAGAAACCACAGATATTTTCAAGTCACACGAGAGCTGCTGCAGACATCTCAAAATATCGTCAGCACACGACCCCCTTTCACGATGATGCTGGTTTTTGGTTTTTGTTCTGAGACAGAGTCTCACTGCGACACCCAGGCTGGAGTGCAGTGGCATAATCTCGGCTCACTGCAACCTCTACCTCCTCCGGGTTCAAGCAATTCTCCTGCCTCAGCCTCCCGAGTAAATGGGATGACAGGTGCCCACCATCATGCCTGGCTAATTTTTATACTTCTAGTAGAGACGGGGTTTCACCATGTTGGCCAGGCTGGTCTTGAACTCCTGACCTCAAGTGATCCGCCCACCTTGGACCCCAAAAAGTGCTGGGATGACAGGCATGAGCCACCGCGCCCTGCCGTTTATTTTTTAAAGAGACTCAGTATTGCTCTGTCATCCAGGCTGGAGTGCAGTGGTGCAATCATAGCTCACTGCAGCCTTCATCTCCTAGGCTTAAGCGATCCTCCCGCCTCAGCCTCCTGAGTAGCTGGGACTACAGGTGTGCACCACCCCACCTGGCTAATTTTTAAAATATTTTTGGCCAGGCACAGTGGCTCACGCCTGTAATCCCAGCACTTTGGGAGGCCGAGGCGGGCGGATCATGAGGTCAGGAGATCGAGACCATCCTGGCTAACACGGTGAAACCCCGTCTCTACTAAAAATACAAAAAATTAGCCGGGCGTGGTGGCGGGTGCCTGTAATCCCAGCTACTCGGGAGGCTGAGGCAGGAGAATGGCGTGAACCTGGGAGGTGGAGCTTGCAGTGAGCCGAGATCGTGCCATTGCACTCCAGCCTGGGCGACAGAGCGAGACTCTGTCTCAAAAAGAAAAAAGAATTTGTAGAAATGGGGGGTCTCACTATGTTGCCCAGACTGGTCTCGAATTCCTGGGCTAAAGCGATTCCCTCGTTTCGGACCCCCAAACCGTTGGGATGACAGGTGTCACCGCTGAGCCCGGCCATCATTAACCCTTTTCAAGCATAATTCAGGGGCACTTAGTACATTCGTGATGTTGTATAGCCAGCACTTCCGCCGGGTTCCAGAACATTTGCATCACCCCAAAAAGGGACACTGTCTCCGTTAAACACTCCCTCCGCAGTCCTGCCCAGCCTCTGCAAACCACCAGTCCACTTTCCACCTCGAAGGATTTGCCTGCTCTGCACATTTCATATAAATGAAGTCATACCATATGGGGCCTTTCACGTCAGCCTTCCTTCACTGAGCACGATGTTATTCTGTGAGAAGAAGAAATGAGGCCTTGGGAGGCCGAGGCAGGTGAATCACTTGAGGTCAGGAGTTCGAGACCAGCCTGGCCAACATGGTGAAACCCCATCTCTACTAAAAATACAAAAATTAGCCGGGCGTGGTGGTGGGTGCCTGTAATCCCAGATACTCGGGAGGCTGAAGCAGGAGAATAGCCTGAACCCTGGAGGCGGAGGTTGCAGTGAGCCAAGACCGTGCCACTGCACTCCAGCCTGGGTTACAGAGTGAGACTCCAGCTCAAAAAAATAAAAAAAAGGAATGAGGTGTTGCTCCTCTACGGGTGAACCCTCAAAACTCACCTCTATGATAAACGCACAGTGTAATTATTTACTGGGTTAATAAACAACCACATATACTACTCTATCATGAAATGTTTTAAAAATTTCAACACTTGCAGTTCAATAAACATTGTCTTGTTTCTAATCCTATGTATTTCATCTTAAGCTTTGTTTCTTTTTTTTTGTTGTTTGTTTGGTTTTTTTTTGACACAGAGTCTTGCTGTGTCCCCCAGGCGGGAGTGCAGTGGTGCGATCTCGGCTCACTGCAACCTCCGCCTCCCAGGTTCAAGCGATTCTCCTGCCTCAGCCTCCCAAGTAGCTGGGATTATAGGCATGTACCACCAAGCCTGGCTAATTTTGTATTTTTAGTAGAGATGGGGTTTCTCTGTGTGGGTCAGGCTGGTCTCGAACTCCCGACCTCAGGTGATCCGCCCGCCTCAGCCTCCCAAAGTGCTGGGATCACAGGTGTGAGCCACCACGACTGGCCCAATGTACTTACATACATTGATTGATGACTCATGTCTCTGTAAAATGTATCAAACCAAGCTGTCCCCAGACCACCCTGGGCACATGTCCTCAGGAACTCCTGAGGCTACATCGTGGGTGTACGTCTTTCACGGTGGAAAATAAACCTCCTAAAATGATGGAGACTCATCATTTTTCTCGACTGACACAACAATGGAACGTGAGTGTGATGAACGGAAGTCTATTCCCCCTTGTCCCACAGAGCGTATCCTACCTGGGACACCATGAAGCCGTTGGCGTAGTCATTAAGGAGGCGATAGGCCTGGTCCTCTGAGGATCCCATCTTGTCTCCAATCCAGCCGTGGCTTCCGGAGCCTCTGGAGCGCTTGCTTCAAGGAGCACAGAGCCTGCTGGCAAGGTGGGGAAGAGCCACCCGCTCACAGCTGCTGCCTGACTCTCCCTGCTGCCTGCCCAGTACTCAAACAAAGACGGATCACTCTAGAAATTTGCATTAACCGTATTAGGGGATCACAAAGCGTGTGGCGATTCCCTGGCTTTCTGGGCGCCCCTCCGCAGCCCTAAAATAGTCTGCATCAGGCCCCCCCGAGCCCTTGACTCATCAGCTGTAGAACTGATCCCAAACCAATATGCTCACCCATCATTAGCACTCATTAATCGTCTTATGGATTGAGCAGGTCCTGCATTCATTTCTGGGGGTCGTGCGAATTTCTGCAAACTGGGTGGCTCAAGAAACCAGTTCTCTCACACTTCTGGAGGCTGGAAGTTCAACATCAAGATGCCAGCAGGCCAGCCTGGGCAACATAGTGAGACCCCTTTTTTTTTTTTTTAGATGGAGTCTCGCTCTGTCGTCAGGCTGGAGTGCGGTGGCACCATCTCAGCTCACTGCAACCTCTGCCTCCTGGGTTCAAGCGATTCTCCTGCCTCAGCCTCTCGAGTGGCTGGGACTATAGGCACACACCACCACACCTGGCTAATTTTTGTATTTGTAGTAGAGACAGGGTTTCACCATGTTGGCCAGGCTGGTCTCCAACTCCTGACCTAAGGTGATCCACCCACCTCGGCCTCCCAAAGTGCTGGGAAGACAGGCATGAGCCAATGTGCCTGACTAATTTTTTAATTCTTTGTAGAGATCGGGGTGGGGGGGGGGTGTCTCACTATGTTGCCCAGGCTGGTCTTGAACTCCTGACTTCAAGAGATCCTCCCACTTCAGCCTAGATATCTTGCAACGTTTATTTGGACAATCTAAATGCCTGCACATAATTAAAATGTGACCGTGCCAGGGCTGGGCGTGGTAGCCTGTCATCCCAGCACTTTGGGAGGCCGGGGCAGGCGGATCACAAGGTCAGGAGATCGAGACCATCCTGGCTAACACAGTGAAACCCAGTCTCTACTAAAAATACAAAAAATTAGCTGGGCGTGGTGGCGGGTGCCTGTAGTCCCAGCTACTTGGGAGGCTGAGGCAAGAGAATGGGTGTGAACCCGGGAGGCTGAGGTTGCAGTGAGCCAAGATCGCGCCACTGCACTCCAGCCTGGGCGACAGAGCGAGAATCTGTCTCAAAAAAAAAAAAAAGTGACCGTGCCAGGTCTCTACCCCATTTCTGAGGATGCATGTCTCGCCGCAACCTCTGCCTCCCAGGTTCAAGTGATTCTTCTGTCTCAGGCTCCCAGTAGTTGAGATTACAGGCACCCACCACCACGCCCGGCTAATTTTGTATTTTTAGTAGATACGGGGTTTCTCCATGTTGGTCAGGCTGGTGTTGAACTCCTGATCTCAGCTGATCCGCCTACCTCGGCCTCCCAAATTGCTGGGATGACAGGCGTAAGCCACCACTCCCAGCCTCCAGAGTGATTTTCTAGGGGAAAAATATAAACACAGCCTGTCATCCCAGCAATGTGGGGCAGATCACATGAGGTCAGGAGATCGAGACCAGCCTGGCTAACACGGTGTAACCCCGACTCTACTAAAAATATAAAAATTAGCCAGGTAAGGTGGCTCATGTCTGTAATCCCAGCACTTTGGGAGGCTGAGGTGCGAGGATCACTTGAGGTCAGGAGTTCAAGATCAGCCTGGTCAACATGGTGAAACCCCGTCTCTACTAAAAATACAAAAATTAGCCGGGCATGGTGGCAGGTGCCTGTCATCCCAGCTACTTGGGAGGCTGAGGCAGGAGAATCACTTGAACCTGGAAGGGAGAGATTGCAGTGAGCCGAGATTGGGCCATTGCACTCCAGCCTGGGCAACACAGTGAGGTCTGTATCAAAAAGAAAGAAAGAAAGAGAGAAACAGAGAGAGAGAAAGAGGAGAGGAGAGAGAGAGAGAGAGAAAGAAAGAAAGAAAGAAAGAAGAGAAAAGAAAGAAGAGAGAGAGACAGAAATGGAAAGAAAGAAAGGAAAGAAAGAGAGAGAGAGATACAGAAAGAAAGAAAGAAGGAAGGGAGGGAGGAAGGAAGGAAGAAAAAGAAGGAAAGAAAGAAAGAAAAAGAAAGGAAGAAAGAAAGGAAGGAAGAAAAAGAAAAGAAGGAAGAAAGAAGGAAAGAAAGAAAGAAGGAAAGCAAGAAAGAAAAAGAAATCCTTGAAGTTCAGAGCGATGAAGGGTCCTTGGGGACACCTTACCTGGAGACAGAAGGGGCTGGCCCCCAATCATATTTGCTTAATGGAATCCCAAAGCTACTGTCAGGAGACCAAATCTCTGCCTGCTGTGGGGATTTCTCAGGGATCTGAGTTAAGGCGATTACCTTAGGAATTGAGAAGGGCAGGAACACGGTTACTAGAGAGTGGAGTCTTACAAAGGACATGAACGGACACTTTTTCTTTTTTCTTCTTTTTCCTTTTGAGACAGAGTCTCGCTTTGTCACCAGGCTGGAGTGCAGTGGTGTAATCTTGGCTCACTGTAACCTCCACCTTCCAGGTTCAAGCGATTCTTCTGCCTCAGCCTCCCGAGTAGCTGGGATTACAAGCACCTGCCACCATACCTGGCTAATTTTTGTATTTTTCGTAGAGACAGGGTTTCACTATATTGGCCAGGATGATCTCGAACTCCTGACCTCAGGTGATCCGTCTGCCTCAGCCTCCCAAAGTGCTGGGATAATAGGCATGAGCCACTGAACCCAGCCAACAGGCACTTTTCCAAAGATGACACACACGTGGCCAACAAGCATATTGTATTAGTCCGTTTTCATGCTGCTGATAAAGACATATCTGAGACTGCGTAATTTTGGGTAATTTTTTTTTTTTTTGAGATGGAATCTCGCTCTGTCACCAGGCTGGAGTGCAGTGGCACGATCTCAGCTCACTGCAAGCTCCGCTTCCCGGGTTCAAGAGATTCTCCTGCCTCAGCCTCCCCAGTAGCTGGGACTACAGGCGCCCACCACCACACCTGGCTAATTTTTTGTAATTTTAGTAGAGACGGGGTTTCACCGTGTTAGCCAGGATGGTCTCGATCTCTTGACCTCGTGATCCGCCCGCCTCGGCCTCCCAAAGTGCTGGGATGACAGGCGTGAGCCACCGCGCCCGGCCAACAGACACTTCTCCAAAAAAAGACACACACGTGACTGACAAGCATATTAGTCCATTTTCATGCTGCTGATAAGACATACCTGAGACTGGGTAATTTTGGGTAATTTTTTTTTTTTTTTTTTGAGATGGAGTCTCGCTCTGTCACCAGGCTGGAGTGCAGTGGCTCGATCTCAGCTCACTGCAAGCTCCGCCTCCCGGGTTCGTGTCATTCTCCTGCCTCAGCCTCCAGAGTAGCTGGAACTACAGGCACCAGCCACCACAGCCAGCTAATTTTTTGTATTTTCAGTAGAGACAGGGTTTCACCGTGTTAGCCAGGATGGTCTCGATCTCTTGACCTCGTGATCCACCCGCCTCGGCCTCCCAAAGTGCTGGGATGACAGGAGTGAGCCACCGCGCCCGGCCAACAGACACTTCTCAAAAAGAAGACACACGCGTGGCTGACAAGCATATTGTATTAGTCCATTTTCATGTTGCTGATAAATACATATCACACTCATGGCAGGAAAGCCAAGGAGAAGCAAAGGCATGTCTTACCTGGTGACAGGCCAGAGGGCGTGTGCAACAGGGGACCTCCCATTTATAAAACCATCAGATCTGGGCCAGGTGTGGTGGCTCACATGTGTCATCTGGGCAGTTTGGGAGGCGAAGACAGCTGGATCATTTGAGGTCAGCAGTTTGAGACCAGCCTACCAACATGGTGAAACCCCATCTCTTCTACAAATACAAAAAATTAGCTGGGCGTGGCAGTGCATGCCTGTTATCCTAGCAACTTGGGAGGCTGAGGCAGGAGAATCGCTTGAACCCGGGAGGTGGCGGTTGCAGTGAGCCGAGATCGCGCCGCTGCACTCCAGCCTGGGCGACAGAAGGAGACTCCATCTCAAAACAAAGAAAAAAAAAGATGAAGATGTTAGAAGGTGATTTGGGGGTGTGGACAGAAGGGGAGGGGAGGGAGAGCTGGATTTTGGGGTGAAGGTGGTTTTGGAAGTCTTTGAAATCCGAGGCAGGAGGGACCGGGTGGGTGCTCCCAGGAAAGACCGTCTCTGCCAGAGGGAACAGCAGGTGCGGAGGCCGTGGGGTAGCGGCAGTGCGTCCGGGCTGTTCAAAGAAGAGACAACAACCCTGCATGGGTGGAGCATCTGGAAAGACAGAGGGAGAGGAGGGGAGGGGGCCGATGGACAGGAGACAGGGTGGCTTTAAAAGCCCTCAGGGACATTGCACGGAACCCCTCACCACCTTGAGACAGCGTCTGGCAGGACGGTTTCAGGAGAGGCCTGCATGGTCTGGACACAGTCAGAAGCTGCCATTTTGGGGATGGGATGTTTGGGACACAGAGTTGGCCGGAAAGCCCAGGAGCTTTTGTATAACTTGGGTGAGTGGGACGGGCTGAAGTTTTGGCTGGAGTAGGGTCAGGGGTGGCCTGGAGTCTTAGCTGGAGTAGGGGCAGGGGAGGCCTGGAGGTTTGGCTGGAGCAGGGTCAGAGGCGGCCTGGAGGCTTGGCTGGAGTCGGGGTGGGGAGAGAGGCCATTTATTTTACTATCTCCTGTCTCTGAAGAGAAGGAGGAAGTAAAAGTTGAAAAACAACAGGAATGAAGTCAGTGGCAAGACCAGCCGGCACCCCTGACCAGGCCTGAGGTTAAAACATTAACCCCCGACTCTAACCACACGTGCTCTCAATCTATCAGAACCCTTTCACGTGGAACCCCTTAGAGTTGTAAGCCTTTCAAAGGGCCAGGAGCTCTGTCTTCGGAGAGCCCGGTTCTCGAGACGTGAGTCCGCCAACGCTTCCGGCCGAATAAAGCCAAAACCTTCCTAAACCTGGTGTCTGAGGGGTTTTATCCGCGGCTAGTCCTGCTACAGGGGCAGGAGTGGCCTGGAGGTTTGGCTGGAGTAGGAACGGGGGCGACCTGGACGCTTGGCTGGAACAGGGGCAGGGGCGGCCTGGAGGGTTGGCTGGAGCAGGGGCGGGGCGGCCTGGAGCTTTGGCTGGAGCAGGGGACAGGGGTGGCCTGGAGGCTTGGCTGGAGGAGGAGCAGGGGCGGCCTGGAGGCTTGGTTTGAGTAGGGGACAGCGGCGGCCTGGAGGTTTGGCTGCAGTAGGGACAGGGGTGGCCTGGAGGCTTGGCTGGAGTAAAGGAAGGACTGGCCTGGAGGCTTGGCTGGAGTAGGTGACAGGGCCTCCTGGAGGCTTGGGTGGAGTAGGGGACAGGGGTGGCCTGGAGCTTTGGCTGGAGTAGGGGCAGGGGCGGCCTGGAGCTTTGGCTGGAGTAGGGGACACGGGCAGCCTGGAGGCTTGGCTGGAGTAGAGGACAGGGGCGGCCTGGAGGCTTGGCTGGAGTAGAGGACAGGGGCGGTCTGGAGGCTTGGTTTGAGTAGGGGACAGGGGCGGCCTGGAGATTTGGCTGCAGTAGGAACAGGGGTGGCCTGGAGGCTTGGGTGGAGTAGGGGAAGGGCTGTACTGGAGGCTCAGGCACCTGAAGCTTCCTACAGGCCTCGGAGTCTCACCGCGGCAGCGGCAGCAGGAGAGGAGGGGCCCGAGAGAGATTGAGAAGAGCCTGGGACCCTACCGACCAGCGTGGTGTCCCCATGTCCCCAGAATGCAGAAGACCCAGGGCTGGGGTTTGGCGGGGATGTGTGGAGTCTGAGATGCCTGTGGGGTGACTGGCCCTGGATGGTCCAGTGTGCAGGTCCTGCCCTGGGGCAACTGTAAACAGCCGCCCCCTCCGTTCTCCCAGGGGAACATACTGTTGCTTTTTTTTTTTTTTTTTGAGACGGAGTCTCGCTCTGTCACCCAGGCTGGAGTGCAGTGGCGTGATCTTGGCTCACTGCAAGCTCCGCCTCCCGGGTTCACGCCATTCTCCTGCCTCAGCCTCCCCAGTAGCTGGGACTACAGGCACCTGCCACCACACTCGGCTAATTTTGTTTTTGTATTTTTAGTAGAGACGGCATTTCACCGTGTTAGCCAGGATGGTCTCGATCTCCTGACTTCGTGATCCGCCCAACTCGGAGTCCCAAAGTGCTGGGATTACAGGCGTGAGCCACCGCGCTCAGCCCCTGGAGTAGGGACAGGGGTGACCTGGAGGCTTGGCTGGAGTAGGGGCAGGGGTGACCTGGAGGCTTGGCTGGAGTAGGGTCAGGGGTGGCCTGGAGTCTTAGCTGGAGTAGGCGCAGGGGTGGCCTGGAGAGGTAAAGCCTGTTGCCTTTACCTCCCAATGACCCTGGCACAGATGGGCTTCCGGACTGAGTGCCTCGGTGGTCTCTGGCAGCCTGGACAGCCTGGACAAGAGTCATTTGCTGCAGAGAGGGGACGGGACGGAGTGATGGGAAAAGTTTTTCACCAGGAGCAGAGGCATGAGCTGAGTGAGGTGGGGTGCAGGGAAAAGCCCCTGCCATCTGGGACGGAGGCGGCAGCCCCTGTGCAGGCCGATCCAGTGGCCGGGTGCAAACTCGGGAGGTTTGCTGGGGCAGCGTACAGCGGGGAGGGTAGGGGGTCGAGCTCCCGCTCTGAGTCAGGCTGTGCAGGAGAGCAAGGCGGGAGACACAGGATGCCCCAGCTCCTGGGCAGGTGGACGGGGCTTGAGGACGCCACCAGGAGGGTGTGCGTGTCCTCCACCAGGTGGGAAGGAGGATGAGCTAGTGAGGAGGGGCAGGTGCCCAGGAAGGAGGCATGGGAGGAGGTCCCAGACGGGATGCCTGGGTGATGCAGCTCCGCTCACCCCTGCCCGAGCTGGCCGGTCCGGCCGCAGCTTCAGCATCCCCTGGGAAGCCGCTGTTGGAGATGCTGGAGGCCTGCGGGGCGGGCCAGGGCAACACATCACCACCTGGACATCCATGGCTACGGCTGAGGGCTGGGACCTCTCCTATACCCCCCATGCATGCATGTTTTTCTATACTCTTTATTGTTTTACTTTTTTTGAGATGGAGTCTCGCTCTGTCGCCCAGGCTGGAGTGCAGTGGCGCAATCGCCTCTCACTGCAAGCTCCGCCTCCCGGGTTCACACCGTTCTCCTGCCTCAGCCTCCGGAGTAGCTGGGACCACAGGCGCCCGTCACCACGCCCGGCTAGTTTTTTTTGTATTTTTAGTAGAGACGGGGTTTCACCGTGTTAGCCAGGATGGTCTCGATCTCCTGACCTCGTGATCCGCCCGCCTGGGCCTCCCGAAGTGCTGGGATTACAGGCGTGAGCCACCGCGCCCGGTCTGTTTTTCTTTTTAGAGACAGAGGGTCTCTCTTTTAGAGATGGGGTCTCACTCTGTCGCTCAGGCTGGAGTGCAGGGGCACCATCATTTCTCCCTGCAGCCTTGAACTCCTGGGGTCAAGCGATCCTCCTGCCTCAGCCTCCCGAGTAGCTGGGGCCACAGGCACCCACCACCACGCCCAGCTACTTTAAAAACTTTAAAGTTTCTGTATGTTTGCTAGAGACAAGCTCTCACCATGTTGCCCAGGCTGGTCTCGAATGCCTGGGCTCAGTCAATCCTCCTGCCTCAGCCTCCTGAGTAGCTGGGACTACAGGTGCCTGCCACCAAGCCTGATTAATTATCTTTGTAGAGATGGGGTCTTGCTATGTTGCCCAGGCTGTTCTCAAACTCCTGGGCTCAAGCTATCCTCCTGCCTCGGCCTCCCAGAGTGCTGGGATTACAGGCATGAGCCAACCTACGCATTTGTAATATTATCTAAAATTTTTCAAAAATGCAGATGGTGCCATTTTAGACATAGAATATGTAATTTTTCAAAAACTCTTTGCTTCATCCCGAAGGCTGCGGCCTATGGAATTTGAACATGATCACAATCTGGTAACCGTATTCACCCATTTTAACAATACAGGTGAACAAATTAACAGCAGTTCATGTCATATTGGCACTTTTGAAATACATTTTATTTATTTATTTATTTATTTGAGATGGAATCTCACTCTGTCATCCAGGCTGGTGTGCAGTGGGGTGATCTCGGCTCACTGCAACCTCCGCCTCCCGGGTTCAAGCGATTCTCCTGCCTCAGCCTCCCGAGTAGCTGGGACTACAGGCACGCACCTCCATGTCCAGGTAATTTTTGTATTTTTAGTAGAGATGGGGTTTCACCGTGTTGGCTGGGCTGGTCTGGAACTCCTGACCTCGGGTGATCTGCCTGCCTCAGCCTCCCAGAGTGCTGGGATGACAGGCGTCAGCCACTGCACCTGGCCCATTTTTTTTTTTTTTACCTTGATGTATTATTATAGATTTAGGGCATAGAAGTGCAGTTTCGTTACCCTGGAGGCCGTTACTTTAATTGAAATCACAGAGACACAGAAAGTCAAACGCAGCGTGTTCTCACTTCTGAGTGGGAGCTGAGTAATGTGTTCACGTGAGCACAGAGAGTGGAATCGTAGACACAGCGCTGCTTTATTCACACGTACCCGTATCCCCATCCTCCTTCCCTCTGGAATTCCAAGCTGCACTTTTGAACTTGAAAGTTTACCTGGTGAGGCTGGGTGCGGTGGTTGATGCCTATATTCCCAGCACTTTGGGAGGCAGGTGGATCACCTGAGGTCAGGAGCTTGAGACCAGCCTGGTCAACCTGGTGAAACCCCATCTCTACTAAAAATTAAAAAAAAAAAAAATAGCCAGGTGTGGTGGCAGACACCTGTAATCCCAGCTACTTGGGAGGCTGAGGCAGGAGAATCACTTGAACCCGGGAGGCGGAGGTTGTGGAGAGCCGAGATTGTGCCACTGCACTCCAGCCTGGGCGACGGAGCGAGACTGTCTTGAAAAAAAACAAAAAAACGGAAGGAGCCGAGGATGGTCACCGTGACACAGGCCATACTCAACAGGGAAGTTTGATTTTTTTGGCTGAAAGAGATCCTGAGATCCCAACTGAAGACACGAGGCAAATCGGTTCAGAACTAAGTGTCATAAAAGGGTATGAACGAGAGAATCACACTTTCTCACTCGTATTTTGCAATAAATCCATTCGTTTTCTGTTCTGCCACATGGAAGTGAAATTCCTTGTGGATTTTTATTTTTTATTTTTTATTTTTTGTGAGACAGAGTTTCACTCTTGTCGCCCAAGCTGGAGTGCAATGGTGCGATCTCAGCTCACCGCAATCTCCGCCCCCCAGGTTCAAGTAATTCTCCTGCCTCAGCCTGCTGAGTAGCTGCGACTATAGGCATGTGACAACACGCCTGGCTAATTTTTGTATTTTTAGTAGAGACAGGGTTTCTCCATGTTGGTCAGGCTGGTCTTGAACTTCTGACCTCAGGAGATCCACCAGCCTCGACCTCCCGACGTGCTGGGATTACAGGGATGAGCCACTGCACCCGGCCTATTGTGGATATTTTAAGTGGATAATAATCCCAATCACTAGAAAGGGACTGAACACAAAGTGCCCTAAATCACAAGACCGAGAGAGACAAAGAGAGACTAAAATAGAGATAGGGAGAGAGGGCAAGCAGAGGGGAAGCTGGGCGAGAGGAGAGAAGGAAGGATTAAGAGAGGAGGAGAGACAGGCCGGGAGCGGTGGCTCACGCCTATAATCCCAGCATTTTGGGAGGCCAAGACAGGTGGATCACGAGGTCAGGAGTTCAAGACCAGCCTGGCCAAGATGGTGAAACCTCGTCTCTACCAAAAATACAAAAAATTAGCCGGGCATGGCAGCAGGTGCCTGTAATCCCAGCTACTTGGGAGGCTGAGGCAGAGAATTGCTTGAACCCAGGAGGCGGAGGTTGCACTGGGCCGAGATCGCGCCACTGCACTCCAGCCTGGGCAACGGTGAGATTCCATCTCAAAAAAAAAAAAAAGAAAGAAAAAAAAGAAAGGAGGAGAGACAGAGACAAAAACAGAGATCAGAAGAGAGTACAAGCAGAGGGGAAGCTGGGCGAGAGAAGAGACAGCAGGGAAAAACAGGGGAGAGACTGACAGGGGTTGAGAGAGGGAGGAGGGCAGGGCACGCACACACCAATCTCCTATGCTCCCCCCAGAAATCTGTGGGGCAACATTCCTCGGGTCGAATGCTTCCATTTCTTCCTTCCAGGCTCAAGTGTAAAGACAAAATCTAATCAGTAACAGCGTTGCTTCAATTAATCTCCATTCTCACCTATCAGCCGCTACTTACTGCTACTGACCCCTACAGCAAAGAAGAGAAATTTCAGCCGGGCGCGGTGGCTCACGCCTGTAATCCCAGCACTTTGAGAGGCCGAGGCTGGTGGATCTCCTGAGGTCAGGAGTTCAAGACCAGCCTGGCCAACATGAAGAAACCCTGCCTCTACTTAAAAATTCAAAAATTTTAGAATTTTTGAATTCGTCTCAAAAAATAAAAGAGAAATAGGAAAGAGGGAAGGAAGGAAAGGAAAAAAGAAAGAGAAAAGGAAAGAAAAGGAAAAGAAAGGGAGGGAGGGAAGGAAGGAAGGAGAGAGAGAGAGAGCACGAGCGATAGACAAAAGAGAAAACAGAGAAAAGGAGTTCAGATTCCTAAATCTCTTCCATAGATACCCAATTCTATAGGCCTGGGGGTGGTGCTCTCCAGCTTTCCTAGACTGCCCACATCTAACATATCACAAGGCAACACGCATTCAATTTCTGCCACCTTCTCTCCCATCAACCCCTAGCCCAGTCCACCAGCACTTCAAGCCGCCACACTCATCACACTCCCAGCTTACAGCCCCTCTTGCTTCTCGTCCCAAAAGTCTGGAGTGGGTCAGCCTCATGAGTGCGATCAGCTCCATGTCCACCTTTCCTGCTTCTCTTCTGCCTACTCCTTCCCCCGGCCACATGCACTTCTTGACCTCAGACACACCACGTCCACCCTTCTGTCTTGCGCACACAGCTCTCTCGAGAAGCTATCACTGGGACTTCTCATCCCTGTATCTACACATTCCTCAGCGTTGCAGGGAGTGCTGTCTTTTCCAGCACCATATCCCAGGTGCCCAGAGCAACACCTGGTCCTAGCAACGTTGTTTGTTTGTTTGTTTGTTTTTGAGATGGAGTCTCGCTCTGTCGCCCAGGCTGGAGTGCAGTGGCGTGATCTCGGCTCACTGCAACCTCTGCCCCCCAGATTCAAGCGATTCTCCTACCTCAGCCTCCCGAGTAGCTGGGATTACAGGTGACCATCCCCACGCCCGGCTAGTTTTTTGTGTTTTTAGTAGAGACGGGGTTTCACCATGTTGGCCAGGCTGGTCTTGAACTCCTGACCTCAGGTGATCCACCTACCTCGGCCTCCCAAAGTGCTGGGATAACAGGTGTGAGCCACCATGCCCGGCCCTGGCAACGCTCTAATAACTACTGAACAGGCAAAAAGCTCAGTGCTGGGCTGGACAGACTGACACAGATACACAGCTTTTTTTTTTTTTTTTGACAGGAGTCTCGCTCTGTCGCCCAGGCTGGAGTGCAGTGGCGCGATCTCGGCTCACTGTAAGCTCCACCTCCCCGGTTCACGCCATTCTCCTGCCTCAGCCTCCCGAGTAGCTGGGACTACAGGCACCCGCCACCACGCCTGGCTAATTTGTATTTTTAGTAGAGACGGGGTTTTACTGTGTTAGCCAGGATGGTCTCGATCTCCTGATCTCGTGATCTGCCCGCCTCGGCCTCCCAAAGTGCTGGGATGACAGGCTTGAATTGCCGCGCCCGGCCAGATGCAGACTTCTGAGAGGTCCGTGTTTGCAAACACTCTGTGTCTGGACGCATCTTGTCAGTTGGTCTCAGGCCAGACAGAGCCGTTTGAGAGAAAGGTGTGTGTGTAGTGCTCATCTGTCTGCTAGTGATATGAGCTTGGGGGTGCAACAGGCACGTGTCCAGCCCTCCAGTCCCCAAGAACGTTTGTGTTTTAATTAAACAGAGGAACAGACTATTCCACCCTGGGTCAAGCAGGCAGTGCCTACGCTACCTGTGACCACTACTTTAGGCGGGGAAAAGAACCGTCTTTGGCCGGGCGCGGTGGCTCACGCCTGTAATCCCAACACTTTGGGAGGCCAAGGCAGGCGGATAACGAGGTCAGGAGATCGAGACCATCCTGGCTAACACCGTGAAACCCTGTCTCTACTAAAAAATACAAAAAAATTGGCTGGGCACGGTGGCGGGCGCCTATAGTCCCAGCTACTCGGGAGGCCGAGGCAGGAGAATGGTGTGAACCCGGGAGGCGGAGCTCGCAGTGAGCTGAGATCGTGCCACTGCACTCCAGCCTGGGTCACAGAGCGAGACTCCGGCTCAAAAAAAAAAAAAGAACGACCGTCTTTTAAATTTGCTTTAAAAACAGCTCCTTGGCTTTAAAAAAGATTGGTTTTGGGAATTTGGCTAAGTTTATGTTCTCAGCAAACAAATCAGATGCCTCTTAAGAGCCAGGATTCTCCTCTCAGAAGGTTACTACCGTACAGCTGCGGGAGAGCTGTGGGATATGTCATCGTTGAATCAGCAGTTCTAGGAAAAGCGAACGATCTCTACTGGTTTCACGCACACTTGGCTAGCCTCAGCTGAATAATGCAGTCCAAGGAACATAAAAACACAAAAATCGTAAGCGTGAAAAATTTTAGTTCATTGGAAAAGGATTTTATTTCACCATAAAAATGCAAACTGGAATAAACACCATCTTTCCTAACGCGAACGTTACAGCTATTTTTAGGTATTTCTGAGCTTCACTTGGAGAAGCAAACGATTATAAAACAAGTTTGCAGCCTGAAATCTGTTTGAAACATTCCAAGTAAAAATAATTTAGCAAAACAGCTTCTTAAAAAAACCACACACACTAACCTTTACTAGAAACCAAAGCTTTTAACCAATCTTTTTTATGCTTAATTCCTTGACGTTGTAAAAAGTGAATGTTTTTGAAGGAGCATCAGACCATTTTGTACCACTCCCCACATACCGACACCTTAGAAAGAACGGCCCGTTTGAGTTTTGATCTTAAAGGACTTGTACCTTCCTCATCCGTGACTCAATGTCAGCACGACGATTCGGCATCCCACCCAAACTGCACTTCCTGATCAGTTAACATTACAAACGGGGGGGAAAGAATCACCAGGGCAACGCTTTCTTTTCAGTGCCAGTGTGACTATGGTGGCCCGTGCACCTCCTAGGCCGTGCACGCAGGGAGGTCGCCAAGCAGACACAGAAATCCCCGTGTGGGGGAATGCAGCAGCTCTGCCATCCTCACGACTGTCGGTCTGTGCAATTTTCCTGACTGAGAGAGGACCGGCCGCATTAAAGCTATCGGATCAAGTTTTAAAGGACTACGTGTTTGAAACTGAAGTGCCAAGTACGCTGCGGTGAGTGGAGAAAGATGGATCTCTAAAGCATGGTGTCTTCCTTCCTGCCGGCGGGCTCCGTGGACATTCGTGGCTGCAGAAGGGTCTTGGCTTTGCAGGGGTGGACGGAGAGCGGCCAAGGAGCGGCCAGGAGGCTCGAGCAGGTCCTGGTCTTTCCCGGACAGGCCGTGGGGAGGCCGTGCCCGTCATTACCTGTTCCAGGTACTGCGGTGCCTGCTCGGGGACCGGGAGCGCGACCGCTCGCTTCGGCGGCGGTGGCGGCTGTGCTTCCTGCTGGCGCTGCCCCTCCGCTCCCGGCTCCGCTCCCTCCGGTGCCTGTCTTTGCTGTGGGACCTCCGGGACCGGGTGTGGTCCGGGCTCGTGCTGCGCCGGCGGGGGCTGTCATCCTTGTAGGCGTGCTTCTTGTGGGGCCGCCGCTCCTTGCGTGGCCTCCCGTCCTCCCTGCTGCTGGCCCGCCTGGCCCGGCTCCTCTCCCGCTTGTGCCGGTCAGCAAGCCCGTCTCCGGTGGCCCGGCCCCGGCCCTTGCTGGGCTCCCGGTTGCACTTGTCCTGTTCTGACCGGGTGTCCTTTCTGGAGACATTCTGCTCGCAGGCAGGGATGCCCTTGGGCTGTTGGTTGTTGTCAGGAATGCAGGAGAGGACGCCGCCCGGGCACCTCTTCTCTGGAGAGCCATCCTCGGGGACCACACGACAGGAGCTCTGAACCTCCTTGCATGGGGCCTCCTCGGCCACGCTCCCGTTCACGCTTTTGGGAGCGCCGTCGGCCTCTGGGTGGGCCGGGCTCTCCTTGGGGGCACCGGCCGGGGGCTGGCCCCCGAGGGGGTGCAGCGTGGTGGCGCTCACACAGCCGGACGACACGGTCTGCAGGATGTCCAGGACGGGCTGCAGCAGGTCGGCGTGTGCCACGCCCAGCTCGTCGTGTGTGTGGCTGTCGTCCGGCTTCTTGCTCAGCAGGATGCTCAGCAGCCGCTCGCGCAGCTCCCGCTCTTTCCGCTGCAGGCCCAGCGCGCGCTCCTTCTCCTCCTCCACGCGCCGCAGCTCGGCCTCCTGCAGCCGCCGCCGCTCCTCCTGCTGCTGGAGCCTCAGCTTCTCCTCCTTCTGCTCCTGTTCCCGTAGCTTCACAGCCTGCGGGGAAGAGGAAAGTGCAGCTGAGCCCGGTTCCTGAGCCTGGCCGGACACGTGGGACAGGAGCTGGGAAGGTGTTTGGAGGCCCCATGGTCTGGGGATGCAGGATCAGCGGCCTGGCTGGACTCCAGCCCAGGGGTGGGGGGCGTCTCCTACGGCGAGCCAGGTCCAGCCCGTCCATCCCTCGGCTCCCGCGGCCACACCTGGGGCCATCATGCGTCTGAGTGAGAAGGAAACCCCTTGGCAAAGCGGCTCGGCGCAGCCCCAGGGCGGGCCTCTTGGGCAGAGCCGAGCCCTGCCGGGAGCCCCACCACGTTGCACACAGGCGCCTGCGGTTAGGTCACAAGCGGCCGCCAGCAACAGGGAGCTGAGATGACGCCGCAGACGCATGCCACCGCCGTAGCTGCGGGGCGAGCCTGGCCTAGCCTGGGTTAGTGTCTTCAATATTCACCATGAGGTAAGGACTGGGCTGCCACATGTCTCAGCCTCTTGTCATGCTCCTTCCCGGGGACTTATCACAACTGTAATCAGACAACAGGTTATGGGGTCGCCCCGCGTTGGACTCCAGGGGGACGCAGCCCTCCTGAGGACAAGGAGCGTGCCGGGGACGTCTGTCCTGGGGAGGTCTGTCTGTCTGTGGGCCCTGGCCCCGGGCTCATGGGAGTTACCAGTCGCGCCTGCAGGAGGAGCAGGGAGGCTCTTGGTGCTGAGGGGGTCGTCAGTACCGGCGCTGGTGAGACCTGTCAGGTTCACGCTGCGGAGGAGGGACCCGGGCCCACGGCAGGCCCCCTCTGTGCGCTCAGCCCTCCCCCCAGCCCACCTTGCCCCTCTGCTCTGGGCCACTGGTGAGGTCACAGCCAGGCCAGCTGACCACACACAGAGGCGCGGGCCAGAGGGAGCGGCCCCCTGCACTCTCTGCCACTGCCCCGACCCAAAGGAAACAGAGAGCCTCTGCCCTGGCCCCCGGGAGGCTGCCAGCCTGCTCGGGGAACCTGAATGCACCAGCTTTGCAAAAGGAAACCGTCACAGCTCTGAAATCATCGGGAACGACAGACGAGCGCTACACCCTCCCGGGAAGGAGCCGTCATCCTCGGCATTAAAGCTGGTTTCGTAGCTACAGCTGCAGCCGGCGGGGAAACGGCGCCGTGACGCCGCCCGCATTTCAGGGGAGGGCACTGAGGGCAGCCCGGGCGCGGCTGGCGGCTGCAGAGGGAGCCCCCGGGTACCTTGGCTCTGCTGAGCAGCTCGGCGATGAGCCGGATGGACTGCAGGTTCCTCTGGGCCAGCAGCAGCTTGCGCTCCTCCAGCTTGATCTTCTCCTGCAGCTGCTTCTGCTCCTCCGCCTGCAGCTTCTCCAGCTTCTTCTGATTCCGGCGCAGCTCACGGTCCCTCTGCTTCTGCTCCCTCTTGCGAAGCTTCTCTTCTCTTTTCCTCTCTCGCTCCAGCTCTTCCAGCTCCTTTTGTTTCCTGTGTGGAACACACCGGGGGTGGTCACAGAGAGCGCCGCAGCCAACACACCACACACCATACAAGCGGCTTTCCAAACACGGCGGAACAGGCCACGGTCCAACGATTAAGCATTTAACTCTTTATCCCAAGGTGGACCTCGGTTGACTCAAAGCAGCCCGAGAGGTGGAAGGAGTGAGCCGGGCGAGGACCTCCGTGACCTTCCAACACACCGTCCTGCTAAGTGTGACCCAACCCTGAAACCACGAAGAAAACGACCACTGGACCGACCACATCAAAAGCCACGCCCCCAGTCAGGGGAAAGACGGATGGGCAGACGGACGGGTGAAAGAGGAACCCCAGCAGGCCCAACAAGGCCCCGGGATGCACAGCGGCGCGGAGGACGCCGGTTCTGCCCACCAGGAACCGCGCTGGGTGACTCCTTGTTGTGCAGGACTCCTGTGAGGGCACCACACAGCACTGGCACGGGGGGACCTCTCTCTAAACAAATCCAACCACAGCCACGCCACTCAGCTCCTTGCACTTTTCCTGTGGAGAGGGGTGTCCAGGAAGTGAGGATGAATGCGGCCGGGGAGGGGCGCGGTCCCCAGAGAGAGTCCACAAGAGACAGTGGGGAGTTCCCTAGCTCAGCCTCCCCCGCCCCGCAGCTCTCAAATGCATTTCAACCAACACCGGACATGGGAACAAGTCGCAGCTGTTCCTATGGAACACGACACGGAGGCGGAGACTTCTGAAGCCCGGGTGGGCGCCGCCAACCGCCTAGTGAGGCCACAAAGCCCGCCGGGGTGACACAGACCCACGCAGACACCAAGGGGAGAGGAGACACGGGGACAAGGAGGAGCAGGCCGGGAGAAAAGGCATCCCACGCTCTGCCACCCCAAGAAGGGGGCCGGGCCAGGTGCCGACGCCCAGACAGTGATCCACACGGTCTCCGGGCGGGGCATGCAGGTCCTCAGGCAGTTTCATGTGCTGAAGGTTTAACCGCCCTGTGAGCTGTCACCGCCCCACGAGCTCGGAGGGCGGCTCAGGGCAGCCCAGCACACAGCACGCCCTTAGGCGGGACCCACAGCGACGCCTCGAGGCTGGGCAGCTTTCAGAGGACAGCTCTCATCAAGCTCAAAGTTACACGTGAGGGCTGAACAAGCAAACATGCCTCATCTCCACCCACCAGAAAGAAATGCAGGAGGCTGCCCTGGGCCTCCCCTCATGCTCAGCCTCTGAGGAAGGACAGTGGGGGACAGCGGGGACAAGTACGGCCCTGCGTGTGGAGCCCTCCTGGCCAGCTCCCCCAGACAACAGGCCTGCCCCTCCCCGGGGCTCTGGACACCCCATCCTGCTCTCGAGAACCTCATGGCCCGGCCCCGCTTCCCCCAATCCCTCTGTGGTCTGGCCAGGCAGACGGGGTCCCTTCCCTGCAGAGACACACTCCACTACTCCAACGTCCATCTCTCCTCAGGGAAAGATCAAGGATGCAGCTTCTTCTCCGCACCCGCAAGCTGCTTTCTGAAATGTTGCGGGGACACTCCTGCGACACCGAGAGGTCCGAGGCTCTGAGTCCCACTCCACACTTCCAGAATGTGGACAGGCACATTCAGCCAGGCCTGGGCTGTGTCTGCAGCCTGGAAGAGTCCCTGTAACGCCCCAGGACTGTCTCCCACCCCAGCTGTCCTGCTCGGCCTGACAGTGGCTGACACAGGGGACCCGGACTCAACCCCACATCCGAACCGCCCCTCCCAGGGACCGCCTCCCAGGATGGCGACGCAGCAGCATGTCCCTCCCTCCCAGGGCGTCTGCCTCTCTGTGCTGCCTGCCTTAGGTCCTGGGAATCCTGACGGCTGACATGGGCCCCCCCAGCACATTCACGGCCACTCGCTTACACACTGCACCTGCCTCACCTAAGGAGCCCTCGGGGTTCAGATTCAGAGGCTGACAACCCGACTCTCCCCTGGGGAGGCAACGGGGGCTACGTAAAGAACACCACGGGCAGGATGGACCTGCTCCCAGGAGTTCAGTGCCGGGACTCTCGTGCAAACATCACCAGCCACACACATCAACACGCTGGCACCAGCGTCACATAAAGCAGTGAGAAATGGAAACAAAACGGACCAACTCGGTCCCACCAGAGGCTGTCCAGGAGCCCCCCAGCCAAGTCCAACACGTCCCAGACTTGATATCGGCGACATGAAGCGCAACAGACGTGCAGGACGCACCAAAGTCGTCAGAGGACACAGCGGGAGGGACGGAGGACGAAGAGGAGTAGGAGGAGGAGGATTCCGCCTCACTAGGAGGGTGGGAGGGACGGAGAAGGAGGAGGAGGAATCCACCTCACTAGGAGGACACGGCAGGAGGGATGGAGGAGGAAGAGGACGAATCCGCCTCACTAGGAGGGCACAGCGGGAGGGATGGAGGAGGAAGAGGAGGAGGAGGAGGAATCCACCTCACTAGGAGGGTGGGAGGGACGGAGAAGGAGGAGGAGGAATCCACCTCACTAGGAGGGTGGGAGGGATGGAGGAGGAGGAGGAGGAATCCACCTCACTAGGAGGGTGGGAGGGATGGAGGAGGAGGAGGAGGAATCCACCTCACTAGGAGGGTGGGAGGGATGGAGGAGGAGGAGGAGGAATCCACCTCACTAGGAGGGTGGGAGGGATGGAGGAGGAAGAGGAGGATTCCGCCTCACTAGGAGGGTGGGAGGGATGGAGGAGGAGGAGGAGGAATCCACCTCACTAGGAGGGTGGGAGGGATGGAGGAGGAGGAGGAGGAGGAGGATTCCGCCTCAGGGGATTCACAGAAAGTTGTTGGTTCCCTCCTGCAATGCTAAGAAGATAAAAGGGGCTACAAAGAGTGACCTGAGGTTGTCTCTGGTACCCCAACCACAGTGAACGACCCAGGCAATTGCTTTAAAGGCCTCTTATGTGAAACCGGGTTTTTGTCCTATCATTGGTTTTTTGTTTTTTTTTTTTTTTTTAAATCTGGCCATCACCATCAACCCTCTACTTCATTTTGTAAATGTAGCCTCAACCTAAATGCAAACTTGCAAACAGCCAAGGCATTCTGCTTGTTTCAGCGGGAGGTGTGAACAGCATGTGGAGGGAGAAGAGGTGGCTCTTCGGGCAAGGCGCGGTCCTGGGAGCCGGCAGAGATCGTGTCAGACCACGACGTGTGACAAGAAAAAGAGAAACATTCATATTCTGCTGCGTCTCAAACAGCCACTCACGCAGGTCCTCACGTGCACAGCTGAGCACCCACAGGCCTGCACACACACCCATACGTGCACACACAAGTACACACACGGGTTCACAGGCACACACGCATGCACACAGGCACATGTGTGCTATGTGCCGATACAGAAGCACACACATGTGGGCACACGTGCACATACACACACAGGTACACACACGAGCTCACACACATGCACGCACACACAGGCACACGTGCACACAGATGCTCAGGCACACACTCGGGCGCACATAGGGACATACAAAGTACACACACCGGTTCACAGGCACACGTGCGTCCATGCACACAGGTACACACACAAGCTCACAAGCATGCATGCACACACACACGCACAGGAATACATGCAGACACACGCACACGGGTCTGCGCACACTCCCAGGTGCCGGACACCAGCGCCGAGGGCCCGCTCCCGCAGAAGGTACCTTTCCTCCGCTCGCTGCCTCTCCTCCGCTTCCTTCTCTCTGCGCTTTTGTTCTTCTCTTTGCTGCTCCAGTTCCTGAAGCTTCTGCCTCTCCAGCTGCCGCTTCTTAATTGAGGCATCACTCAGGTGTTTGGTCGAATCAAAAGAAACCTTTAAAAGCAAAAACAGTGTCAGATGGCCTTCCCCCAAAACCCCCCAGACACACGGCCAGGCGCCCTCTCCTGGGCCGTAGGGCCGAGTGGCCTCAGAGCCTGAGCGCCCGCTCACCGCTCACCGCTCACCACTCATGTCCGGTGCAGACCCAGACAGTGGAGCCCAGAAGCCAAACCAATCCCTTCAAGTCACCATCAGTGGCTCAAGACTTAGCTCATCCCACGGAGTTACGACTCAGCGAGGAACACCAACTAGCCCTCGCCACTTACTGAACACAAGTGACACGCCACCGCTGCGAGACACAGCTCCCCTTCCGCTACCCGGCTCCACCATTCCCTGTGGCCACAGTCACTGAGCAGGCCGCCTGCCCACACCCACAGGGCACATCTTAAGGCCACAAAACCCCCTCCAGGAGGCTGGCTCATTTGTCACTGTGAAGCCAACACGGTCAAAACACGAGGCTAGGCTGAGCGCAGTGGCTCACGCCTGTAATCCCAGCACTTTGGGAGGGCGAGGCAGGCAGTTCATGAGGTCAGGAGTTCGAGACCAGCCTGGCCAATACGGCAAAACCCTGTTTCTACTAAAAATACAAAAATTAGCCAGGTGTGATGGCACGCGCCTGTAGTCCCAGCTACTCGGGAGGCTGAGGCAGAAGAATCGCTCGAACCCAGGAGGCGGAGGATGCACTGAGCAAAGATTGCGCCACTGCACTCCAGTCCAGGAAACAGATCGAGACTCTGCCTCGAAAAAAAAATAAAAATAAAAAAAATAAAAAAAATAAAAAAGCACATGAGGCTAAAGGGAACGTTCAGCCCTGGTTTCAAGGTGCATTCTGGGAAGGCCGGGTTCTCTTGGTTCTGACACGGTTCAAATCCCTGTCAGAGTTCCTGAGGCTCCATCCCTCACCTACTATATGACCTGTGTCTCCCCCACATCTTCCTTAAGATACCAAATTTCCAAAACCACAGCACGGGACCCCTACTCCACCTCACGCCTGTGCCTCTGAAATTGGACAGGCACAGGACTGTTGCTGCCATTTTACTTAGGGGAGGTCCCCACAGCCTCAGGGGTGTGGCTGGGAGCGTTCTGCTGACCCTGCTGGAAGGAAGTCGCCAGAGGGAGGAAGCGCGTGGCTCTCTCGGTGCCCAGGACTCACCTTGATGTTGCAGGCCACGGCCTTGCCGTCCTCGCCCTTGTACATGAGTTTCATCCCGCGCAGGGCGCTCATGGCCTGGATGAAGCCCATGTACTCGCGGTACTGCACATAGGCCTCGAAGTTCAAGTGCCCCCCGAAACTGAAGGTGTGGAAGTTGCGGCCCGTCATCTCCTCCCGGTAGGGGTCCAGCATGGGGATGTCCACATTCCGGATCTCCCCGAACTTCTCAAACACCTTGACCAGGACGTCCTCGCTGGGCTTCTCGGAGCCCGACTCCTTCAGGGCGAACCACTTGCAGGGCAGCCCCTCCAGGTGGATGGTGTCCGGCCGCTCCCCCGGCAGGGTCTCGTTCATGTCCTTGGCGTCGCGGAAGAAGGAGTCCCAGTCGTGGCGGGTGGGGAAGTCGATCTTGAACTCGGCCGCGCGCACCTTCAGGATGTCGGAGAAGCCGCTGAGCTTGATGGTCTTGCCGTCCAGGCAGGCCAGAAAAGACTTGACCAGGCTCTTGTTCTCCACCTCCCCCTCGAAGCGGATGAAGTCCATGGTGCTCTTGGAAATACGCAGCGTGGAGAACTGGTGGTTCTGCACCATGCCCTTCAGCCTCTCCATCACCTCCCAGTTGGAGATGGACTTCCCCGGCTGCTTCAGCTGCGGGAGTGCCACGCTGATGGTCATCTTGGTGATGGGCTTCAGGTACAAGCCGTAAGCAGGGCAGAGCTCCACGGCCTCAGACGTGTCGTGCACGATGGTAGCCGCTGCCATAGCCTCCGGGACCTTGGGCCTGAAACATAAGACGCAGACAGTCAGCACCAGCACCCCCCACCTCCCCCGCCAATGAGGAGGGGCCAAGCCAGCAGGCACTTTCTGGACCCGGAGAAGAGAAACAGCAGTGTCTCTCTGCCGTGTCAGAGACCGGTTTCCACTTTGTTAACAGCCATCTCAACGGAGTTCTTTACTTTTTGAAATCATTAAGAGTACACCAAAGGGGAAAGAGCCGAGCTGATAAAGAACAGGTTAGTGTCAAAGCCTCGGTCAGCACTGCCCGACACCCTACATCCAGCAGCCAGCAGCTCCCAAGGCCTGCAGAATAGGAAGCTGAGCACGACCAGGCCCCTCACACAGGTCAAGTAGGAACGGGGACGCTACAAACGCCTAGCTCCACGGGAAGGGGCAGAGAGACACTGGGGAAGGGAAGGGGCCAGGGAGAGCACAGCTGCAGGCATCTGGAAAGGTTTTGTGGAGGGGGCGGCGGCCCTGTACTTGCCCTGATAAAACAGGAAGTCTCGGGCTGCAACAACAATCCAGAACCATGAACCCTAGTAATCTCCACGAAGGCCAAACGTATCCCAGCTTTAACCCACTCAAAGCCAAAAAGTACAACGAACTTTCCACAAGTTAGGGGCCGGAGTCCCCCGTCTGCGCCTTCTTTCTCCGCCCACCTTCATTAACCCACCTCTTCCCTGCTGAGCTGACGGGCAGCCACTTCCTGACGGCCAAGTCCAAGTAGAGGAAGCTTCACTCGCAGAAACCCAACCATCTCAGGTGACCGCCTCCGGCCCGGCCGC
The DNA here is from genome assembly GCF_000001405.40 of Homo sapiens. Lineage (NCBI taxonomy): Eukaryota > Metazoa > Chordata > Mammalia > Primates > Hominidae > Homo > Homo sapiens. The sequence goes on along the minus strand of NC_000023.11, from coordinate 1,592,659 downwards.
CCACCCCATCAACCTGGAGGCTTCCTGCCAGGCCCAGGAGACGGCCTCCTCGCCCAAGCCCGAGGTGGGAGGTGCGAAAGAAGGGAGGGAGGGTGGAGAAGCGACCAGAAAAGGTCAGTGGGGCACCAGGGAGGGGCTCCAGTCTGGACAGAGACCAGTGAACCCTCCCCCAGAACCCAAGCGGCCCCAGCAACTTCACCACCGAGGAACCCTCCCCACTCTGGCCTCCAGCGCCCTCCGACCACCCCGGTACACCTGGCTGCCCAATCCCCAGTACGCGGCATTGCCCCTGGTATTCCCACCTACCGCAGCCCCCCAGCATGGCCTCAGGCTGCCGCTGGCACCCCTGGCAGGGCCCCACACATTCTCAGGCCCTTGGCCACTCGGTACCCTCAGCTCCTCAGTTCCCCGCTCCCCACCACCCTCCTGGATGAGCCCCAATACCCCAACCTACACAGCACCGCCCCAGCCTCCGAAAACCCCGGACAGCCCCTTGCTTCCCACTGTAGACCTAGGAGCGACCGCAGCGCCACGTCCCCTAGTCCCAGGCCTCCTAGTCTCCCGCCCATCCGATCCCCCGAGCTCCCAGCCCTCCGACACCGCTCCAGGCCTCAGCTCCTTCGGTGCAGTCCCAGGAACCGCTCCAGCCCCTACCCCTACTTCCAGGGACCCCCGGACCCCGACCGCAGACCTCCCCAGCCCCCGATTCCCCCGTACAGTTTCAGGCGCTCCCAGCCCCCCGGTGGCACCCCACGCCCCCCAACCCCAGCCCCGTCACCTCCGAGGCCCCTAGGCGCCGCCTCCCAAGCCCCGGCCCCCCGGGCCCGGCCCTAGGAGCGAAGCGTTCGCCGGCTGCAGCCAGGCCCGGGAGGCACGGGGGCGGCACTCACCTGCGCGGGGCTCCGCCTGCGTCCCAGGCCGCCGCCGCCGCTGGCCCAAGCTCCCGCCGTCCCTCGACGATCCCCGGACAGGCGCGGCCTCACCGCCGGGAGCCGCCACCGTCCCCCGGAGGCGCCTCCGACGCCGCCACCGCCGTCGCCGCCCGCCCTCTATGACGCATTTCCACTTCCGGCGCGCGGGCTCGCGGAAGAGGCCGCGCGGCAGCACCGGGTTTCTCCTTCTTGCCCTGGCTCCGCCCCCGGGAGGAGGGACTTCCGGGAGCCCGACCTTTTGCACTGCGCGTGCGCGAGTCCGCCCCGCCCCCATGGTGCCACCTGCCTGCGGGTAACCAGGGGAGGTACTTGGGCCAGGGTCTGTGGTCATAGCCCTTAAGCCAAACAGGAGGGGGGCCGGTGTGGGGTCTAAATTCCAATTGTAGAGTCAAATATATATAACAAAATTCTAAAATGTAATAGGATCCTATAACGGGATTCTATACTATACTTGCAAATTATGGGTAATATACTTGAATAATATAATTTATGTATAAATTAGATATCATATTCTATGACGTAATTATAGAATTACATATAAATTGCTAGTTAATTAACTATTAATTGAATGGTTAATAATTATTAATTGTATATTAATAATTATTAACGCATACCATTACATAATGTAATTATGAAATAATAAATGATAACTTACAATGGTATTATGAAATTAATAATAATTTATATTGCAATTATGAAATAAATGATCATTTCTAATTATAAGATAATTTATAATGTAATTATGAAATAAATATAATGTAATTTAAAAATAAATGATAATCTAATGTAATTATGAAGCAAATGCTATTGTATAATATAATCATAATTTATAATGTAATTTTGGAATAATAAATGATAATCTATAGTGTAATTATGAAATAAATGAAAATATATAATGTAATTCTGAAATGATCATTTATAATGTAATTATGAAATAATAAATGACAATTTATAATGTGATTACAAAATAATAAATGAGGCCAGGTGCGGTGGCTCACGTCTGTAATGCCAGCACTTTGGAGGGCCAAGGCGGGCAGATCACAAGGTCAGGAGTTCAAGACCAGCCTGGGGCCGGGCCCGGTGGCTCATGCCTGTAATCCCAGCACTTTGGGAGGCCGAGATGTGCGGATGATGAGGTCAGGAGATCGAGACCATCCTGGCTAACACGATGAAACCCCGTCTTTACTAAAATACAAAAAATAATCAGCCGGGCGTGGTGGTGGGCACCTGTAGTCCCAGCTACCAGCTACTCGGGAGGCTGTGGCAGGAGAATGGCGTGAACCTGGGAGGTGGGGCTTGCAGTGAGACCGTGCCACTGCACTCCAGCCTGGTTGACAGAGCGAGACTCCATGTCAAAACAAAACAAAAAAAAGACCAGCCTGGCCAGCATGGTGAAACCCCGTCTCTACTAAAAAGACAAAAAACTAGCCGGGTGTGGAGGTGGTTGCCTATAGTCCCAGCTACTCAGGAGGCTGAGGCAGGCCCGAGAATCACTTGAACCCAGGAGGCAGAGGTTGCAGTGAGCGAAGATGGCGCCACTGCACTCCATCCTGGGCAACAGAGCGAGACTCTGTCTCCAATAAATAAATAAATAAGTAATGATAATTTATAATGCATTATTCATTTTTTATTATAATTTATTGTTTATTAAGTATGCCATGCTCTATGTGAGAGGTACGTGCTTCTGACGTCCCAAATATGTCACAAGTCCCCAAACTGGATATCCAGGGTCAGATAATCAGAACAGAAATCTTGCATTGCTCAACATCAGCTATCAACAAAGGAGAAAGCCAACACACCAGGGGCCTGAGGAAGACGGAACATTCTGTGAACCCAGGCAGGCTTCAGAGGGGCCGGGCTGTGTAAGAGGGTTGCTATGCCTTCCATGTTTCTGTCCTTCCAAAACTCAAGTTCAAACTCAGTTCCCACTGCAAGAGTATTAGAGGTGGTGCTTTTAGGAGGTGGTTAGGTCATGAGTGGGATTTGTGCTCTTAGAAGACAGGCCCCAGAGAGCTCTCTCACCCCTTCCACCATGTGAGGACACAGCCAGAAGGAACCACCTGTGAACCAGCAAGCGGGTCCTCACTAGACACTGAACCTCCCACTCATTGATCTTGGACTCTCAGCCTCCAGAACCGTGAGACATAAAAGTCTGTGATTTAGGCCGGGTACAGTGGCTCATGCCTGTAATCCCAGCACTTTGGGAAGCCGAGGCGGGTGGATCACCTGAGGTCAGGAGTTTGAGACAATTGTGGCCAACATGGTGAAACCCTGTCTTTACTAAAAATACAAAAATTAGCTGGGCGTGGTGGTGCGCACCTGTAATCCCAGCTATTCAGGAGGCTGAGGCAGGAGAATTGCTTGAACCCGGGAGGTGGAGGTCGCAATGAGCCAAGATTGCGCCATTGCACTCCAGCCTGGATGACAAGAGGAAGACTCCATCTCAAAAGAAGGGGAGGGGAGGGGAAGGGAGGGGAATGGAGGGGAAGGGAGGGGAAGGGAGAGGAGGGGAGGGGAAGGGAGGGGAATGGAGGGGAAGGGAGGGGAATGGAGGGGAAGGGAGGGGAAGGGAGAGGAGGGGAGGGGAAGGGAGAGGAGGGGAGGGGAAGGGAAAGGAGGGGAGGGGAGGGGAAGGGAGGGGAGGGGAAGGGAGGGGAGGGGAGGAGGGGATGGGAGGAAAGAAGGGAAGGGAAGGGGAGGGGAAGGGGGGAGGAGAGGGGAGGGGAAGGGAGCGGAGGAAAGGGGAGGGGGGAGGGGAAGGGAGGGGAGGGGAGGAGGGGATAGGAGGAAAGAAGGGAAGGGAAGGGGAGGGGAAGGGGGGAGGAGAGGGGAGGGGAAGGGAGTGGAGGAAAGGGGAGGGGGAGGGGAAGGGAGGGGAGGGGAAGGGAAGGGAGGGGAGGGGAGGCGAAGGGGGAGGAGAGGGGAGGGGAAGGGAAGGGAGGGGAGGGGGAGGGGAAGGGAGAGGAGGGGAGGGGAAGGGAGAGGAGGGGAGGGGAAGGGAAAGGAGGGGAGGGGAGGGGAGGGGAAGGGAGGGGAAGGGAGAGGAGGGGAGGGGAAGGGAGAGGAGGGGAGGGGAAGGGAAAGGAGGGGAGGGGAGGAGAGGGGAAAGGAGGGGAGGGGAGGGGAAGGGAGGGGAGGGGAAGGGAGGGGAGGGGAGGAGGGGATGGGAGGAAAGAAGGGAAGGGAAGGGGAGGGGAAGGGGGGAGGAGAGGGGAGGGGAAGGGAGTGGAGGAAAGGGGAGGGGGGAGGGGAAGGGAGGGGAGGGGGGAGGGGAAGGGAGGGGAGGGGAGGGGAGGGGAAGCGAAGGGAGGGGAGGGGGGGAGGGGAAGGGAGAGGAGGGGAGGGGAAGGGAAAGGAGGGGAGGGGAGGGGAAGGGAGGGGAAGGGAGAGGAGGGGAGGGGAAGGGAGAGGAGGGGAGGGGGAGGGAAAGGAGGGGAGGGGAGGAGAGGGGAAAGGAGGGGAGGGGAAGGGAGGGGAGGGGAAGGGAGGGGAGGAGGGGATGGGAGGAAAGAAGGGAAGGGAAGGGGCGGGGAAGGGGGGAGGAGAGGGGAGGGGAAGGGAGCAGAGGAAAGGGGAGGGGGGAGGGGAAGGGAGGGGAGGGGAGGAGAAGGAAGGGGAGGGGAGGGGAGGGCAGGGGAAGGGAGGGGAAGGGAGGGGAAGGGAGGGGAAGGGAGGAGGGGATGGGAGGAAAGAAGGGAATGGAAGAGGAGGGGAAAGGAAGGGAGGAGAGGGGAGGGGAAGGGGGGGAGGAGAGGGCAGGGGAAGAGGGGGAGGAGAGGGCAGGGGAAGGGGGGAGGAGAGGGGAGGGGAAGGGGGGAGGAGAGGGGAGGGGAAGTGGGGAGGAGAGGGGAGGGGAAGGGGGGAGGGGAGGGGAAGGGGGAGGGGAGGGGAGGGGAAGGGGGGAGGAGAGGGGAGGGGAAGGGAGGGGAGGAGAGGGGAAGGGAAGGGAGGGGAGGAGAGGGGAGGGGAAGGGAGGGGAAGGGAGGGGAGAGGAGGGGAGGGGAAGGGAGGGGAAGGGAGGGGAGGGGAGGGGAGGGGAAGGGAAGGGAGAGGAGGGGAAGGGAGGGGAGGGGAGGGGAGGGGAAGGGAAGGTAGAGGAGGGGAAGGGAGGGGAGGGGAAGGAAGAAGAGGGCTTGTGGGTATTTGGGGGGGCGTTTGCATTGTGTGAGCCATGATGTCCATAAAGGCTAATATTAATATGATTATGAGTCTCTACTTGACCAAGGAGAAAACAAACACACCAGGGTCCCCAGGACGGGGACCATTCTGTGAACCCAAGCAGGCTTCTCAGTGAGACACACCCCTTTGCTGCCTGCATGTACATTCTTCTTCTTCTTAGGGACACGAAAGCGTTTGGGGTTCTCTTTAAAATTCTTCTCGCTGCTGCTGCTTTACATACCATTGGTGTGTGTTTCCCGGGGGGAGCTGTTAAATTGGGAAACCACTTTGCCACTCAGCTAGTTCCCTGAAGGTATTTGCAAAGCAAATTCAGAAGGAGATATTCACTCCTTCAGAACCAGCAAGCACCAAAGGATGGTTATAATAATCTGGAAAACCTTTAAGGAAAATGCTTGGCCTCCTAAAGCATTTTGGAGCAAAACATCCCTCTCCTGAATGTACCCCAGAAATAAAAAAACAAAGTTCTCGGATATCTGCAGCCGTAATCCTTTGTCATGGGGAGGTAGCCATGAGTCTTTGTTGTGTACCCAGTCTGTATCATTTCCATGAATTGAGCATGAAAGGCAAATAAAAAGATTCTGAGATATCAGTCTCATGATGCTGCAGCAAAGGTGCTGGAACTTTCCAGATGCAATAAGCTCTCTAGTCAACAGACTTCAAGATCATCAAACAGGAGAGTATTCTAGGTAGGCCCGACCTAATCAGGTGAGCACTTTAAAAGAAGGTCTGGGGCTGGGCACGGTGGCTCACGCCTGTAATCCCAGCACTTGGGGAGGCCGAGGCAGGTGGATCACGAGGTCAGGAGTTCGAGACCAGCCTGGCCAAGATGGTGAAACCCCATGTCTACTAAAAATACAAAAAATTAGCTGGGCGTGGTGGCACACGCCTGTAATCCCAGCTACTCCGGAGGCTGAGGCAGAGAATTGCTTAAACCTGGAGGGGCGGAGCTTGCAGTGAGCCGAGATCGCACCACTGCACTCCAGCCTGGGCAACAGAGCGAGACTCTGTCTCAAAAAAAATAAATACATTAAAAAAAATAAATAAACAAGAAAGGCTGGGTGCGGTGGCTCAGGCCTGTAATCCCAGCACTTGCGGAGGCCAAGGCGGGTGGATCATGAGGTCAGGAGTTCGAGACTAGCCTGGCCAACGTGATGAAACCCCGTCTCTACTAAAAATACATTAACCTGGAGGGGCGGAGCTTGTAGTGAGCCGAGATCTGGCCACTGCACTCCAGCCTGGGCGACAGAGCGAGACTCTGTCTCAAAACAAACAAACAAACAAACAAACAGGCTCATGCCTGTAATCCCAGCACTTGGGGAGGCCAAGGCAGGTGGATCACGAGGTCAGGAGTTCGAGACCAGCCTGGCCAACATGGTGAAACCCCGTTTCTACTAAAAATATGAAAATTAGCTGGGCGTGGTGGCGTGCACCTGTAATCCCAGTTACTCGGGAGGCTGAGGCGGGAGAATCGCTTGAACGTGGGAGGCCGAGGTTGCAGTGAGCCGAGATCATGCCACTGCACTCCAGTCTGGCAACAGGGCAAGACTCTGTCTCAAAAACAAACAAACAAACAAAAACAAACAAAAAACAAAAAACACAACAACAACAAAAACAAAAAACAAAAAACACAACAAAAACAAAAAAAACAAAAATAAAAAAACGAGAAGAGTCCACAGCACATTCCTCGGACATTCAGCCTCATTGCCTCTGCTCTAGCTCTTCTGGGAGCATCTGGAAGATCTGGAAGCATCTGGAAGATCTGCGTGCATCATCCTGCTTGTCTATTCTTGGGTGACTTGATGTCTCTTGAGGAGCTGGTTTCTGTGAACTCTGTGAAATCCTCTTGGACCCTCTGCATCTCTTCACCTGAAAAATGGAGAAAAAGGTTTTCAGCTGTTTTGGGTTGACCTGGATGAATGGGAGGAATTTCTGCATGATGCTTCTGAGGTGGGCTGTTTCCCTGAAATATCTTTTTTGTTTTGTTTTGTTTTTTTGAGACGGACTCTCGCTCTGTTGCCCAGGCTAGGGTGCAGAGATGCAATCTCAGCTGACTGCAAACTCGGCCTCCTGGGTTCAAGGGATTCTCCTGCCTCAAGCCGCCGAGTAGCTATGATTACAGGTACACCAACATGCCTGGCTAATTTTTTTTTTTTTTTTTTTTTGACAGAGTCTCGCTCTGTCTCCCAGGCTGGAGTGCAGTGGCGCGATCTTGGCTCACTGCAACCTCCGCCTCCCGGGTTCACGCCATTCTCCTGCCTCAGCCTCCCGAGTAGCTGGGACTACAGGCGCCTGCCACCACGTCCGGCTAATTTTTTTTTTGTTTTTAGTAGAGACGGGGTTTCACCGTGTCAGCCAGGATGGTCTTGATCTCCTGACTTCGAGATCTGCCCGCCTTGGCCTCCCAAAGTGCTGGGATTACAGGCGTGAGCCACCACGCCCGGCCCATGCCTGGCTAATTTTTGTATTTTTAGTAGAGATGGGGTTTCACCATGTTGGCCAGGCTGGTCTTGAACTCCTGACCTCAAGTGATCCACCTGCCTTGGCCCCCCTAATAGCTAGGATTACAGGCGTGAGCCATGGCACCCGCCCTGAAAAATCTGTTTCTTTCTTTACTTTTCTTTTTTTTTTTTTTTTATAAAGATGGGGTCTTGCTATGTTGCCCAGGCTGGTCTGAAACTCATAGGCTCAAACGATCCTTCCACCTTGACCTCCCCAAGTGCTGGGATTGCAGGCGTGGAGCCACCGTGCCCAGCCGGCAAAGTCTGTTTCTGACTCTGTCCACCTGTTCAGAAGTATGCAATAGAAATGGCTCTTTTTGCCATTGAAAGTAATTCATTGGCATTACTTTCAATGGCAAAACCCACAGTTACTTTTGGATGGACCCAAGAGAAACAGGAGAGCAGGTGCAAGGAGCCTATTCCTTCATGGTTTAACTGCTTGCTTCTGACTCTGCCCTTTGAAAGGAGAGATTCAGTGGTGGTTATTGTACAACACACTGGACAGTGATGAACTCACAGACAACCACATACACCTCTCTGTCTGCACCTTCCATCCGTAATACTTTGCCAAGATGGGGTGCCCAGGCCTGTACCCCCACTGCTTTCAGAGGCTGAGGCCAGAGGATCACCTCATCCCAGGAGTTCAAGACCAGCCTGGGCAACCTAGCAAGACCCCATCTCTGCAAACATAATTAGTCGAGTATGCTGGTGCATGCCTGTAATCCCAGCTATTTGGGAGGCTGATTTAGAAGGATTGCTTGAGCCCAGGAATTCAGGATCAGCCTCTGCAGCACAGCAAGACTCCATCTCTACAAAAAAAAAAAATAATAATAATAATACAAAAAGTTAGCCAGGTGTGGTTGCATGTGCTTGTAGTCTCAGCTACTTAGGAGGCTGAGGTGGGAGGACTACTTCAGCCCGGTAGGTCAAGGCTGCAATGAGTTATGATCGCAACACTGCCCTCCAACCCGGGCAAAGGAGCGAGACCTTTTTTCAAAATAATAATGACAATAATCATAATAAGCACAATAATAATCATGCATTTTCTTCCACAGACTTATACAGGGGACGCTGGTACACTTCAAAAGAAAATTCCAGCTGGGCACAGTGGCTCACGCCTGTAATCCCAGCACTTTGGGAGGCCGAGGTGGGTAGATCACGAGGTCAGGAGATCAAGACCATCCTAGCGAACACTGTGAAATCCCATCTCTAATAAAATACAAAAAACTTAGCTGGGCGTGGTGGCACGTGGCTGTAGTCCCAGCTGCTCAGGAGGCTGAGGCAGAGGAATCGTCTGAACCCGGGAGGTGGAGGTTGCAGTGAGCCAAAATCACACCACTGCACTCCAGCCTGGCGACAGAGCAAGACTCCATCTCACAAAAAAAAAAAAGAGAGAAAGAAAAGGAAAGAGAAAGAAAGAAAGAAAGGAAAGAAAGAAAGAAGGAAGGAAGGAAGGAAGAAAGAAAGAAAGAAAGAAAGAAAGAAAGAAAGAAAGAAAGAAAGAAAGAAAGAAAGAAAAGAAAAGAAAAGAAAAGAAATATAGGAAGAAAATTCCAGTCCTCATCTTGCTAAATGTTGGAAGAAAGATGGAGATTTAAGGAATACTGTCCAGAAGTCCCAGAGGAGATTTTAAGGCGTGAGGACACTGACCCATTTGCCCAAAGAAACAGCAAACCACGCTGAAAATGCAGAGTCCGTGTTTGAACCAGAGGAGGGCACTCAGTAAACAAACATTCCACTCCGGGAAACGGGGTAATTCTCTCCACCATCGCGTGAGAGGCCGTGCGGGCCAGAGGAAGTGACAGATAAAAACAGATTTCTAACTCAGCACAACACAACCACAGGCTCTACCTGGACGCTATGAGCTCATGTATGACTCAGACACTCATCTAGACCCACGGCCATTCCATCCTTCTGCAGCACGGACGGTTCCTACAATCTCTCCTGTGAAAAATACATCCGCCCCCCGCTTAATATCCCTTCTCTGTCCTCCTCGGCAGACCACACCCTAGCCCAAGTCATTTTTTTTTTTTAATATCAGCGTTTTGTATTCTTCTGCAAAGTGCTTATCATCAGCTGAAGCCATTTGTGCTTTGCTTTTCTGCAGTGAAGATTTCAGCATGCCGTTGGCCAGGTGCAGTGTCTCATGCCTGTGATCCCAGCACTTTGGGAGGCCGAGGGGGGAGGATTACTTGAGGCCGGAAGTTCAAGGCCAGCCTGCGCAACATGGCGAGACCCTCCCGTCTGTAAAAAGAAGAAAAAGAAAAAAATGAGCTGGGCGTGGTGGCACACACCTGTAGTCTCAGCCACTCGGGAGGGGCTGAGGCACAAGGATCGCTTGAGCCCAGGAGTTCCAGCCCGCAGTGAACTACGATTTTGCCACTGCACTCCAGCGTGGGCAACAGAGCTGGACTCTGTCTCAAAAAAAAAAAAAAAAAAAAAGAATTGTAATGATTTCCAAACAGACGTCTACCTCTTTTCTTGGAAGGATTGCTGGAGCCCGGGAATTCAGGACCGGCCTGGGCAATATAGCAAGACTCCATCCCTACAAAATAAATAAATAAATAAATAAATAAATAAATAAATAAATGAAATATAAAAAGTTAGCCAGGTGTGGTCATCTTAAGCGGGCTTTGGCCCCTGGAGGGTCTAACAATGTAATTTATCAGTCAAGAAAAGAGATGCATAAAACATAGACTCTACCTCAAAATCTGTCAATCAATCAATTACATTAAATAATATCAGCCAAGAAAAAATATATGAGAGTAAGACCCTGCCTCAAAATCAATCAATTAATTAATAACAGCCAAGAAAAGAGATGCCTAAGGCAGAGCGAGACTGTGCCTCAAAATCAATCAATTAAAGTAAATAATATCAGCCAAGAAAAGAGATGTGAAAACAGAGACCCTACCTCAAAATCAATCAATTAATTAAAGTAAATAATATCAGCCAAGAAAAAATATGTAAGAGAGACGCTGCCTCAAAATCAATCAATTAATTAATAACAGCCAAGAAAAGAGATGCCTAAGACAGAGCGAGGCTGTGCCTCAAAATCAATCAATTAATTAAAGTAAATAATATCAGCCACGAAAAAATATGTAAGAGAGACTATGCCTCAAAATCAATCAATCAATTAATTAATATCAGCCAAGAAAAGAGATGCCTAAGACAGAGCGAGACTGTGCCTCAAAATCAATCAATTAATTAAAGTAAATAATATCAGCCAAGAAAAGAGATGTGAAAACAGAGACCCTACCTCAAAATCAATCAATTAATTAAAGTAAATAATATCAGCCAAGAAAAAATATGTAAGAGAGACCCTGCCTCAAAATCAATCAATCAATTAATTAATAACAGCCAAGAAAAGAGATGCCTAAGACAGAGCGAGACTGTGCCTCAAAATCAATCAATTAATTAAAGTAAATAATATCAGCCAAGAAAAAATATGTAAGAGAGACTATGCCTCAAAATCAATGAATTAATTAATATCAGCCAAGAAAAGAGATGCCTAAGACAGAGCGAGACTGTGCCTCAAAATCAATTAATTAAAGTAAATAATATCAGCCAAGAAAAGAGATGTGAAAACAGAGACCCTACCTCAAAATCAATCAATCAATTCATTAAATAATAAGAGGCAAGAAAAGAGATGTCTAAGAGGTGGGCATATTGGGACATGCAGTATCAGTTTCAACCTCCAGGAGGGGCTGGAGAGTAAAGCTCAGTGGCAGAGACAGAAGGTGGTGGTGGCCCCGGTAAAAACTCCAGACACTGAGGTTCTGATCAGCTTCCCTGGTGGGCTGACTTGACGTCTGTCATCACACATTGATGCTAAGAGGAGGGAACAGCACCCGTGAGTCCTTGGGGAGAGGACAATGGAAGCTGTGGGTCTCAGCTCCTCCTTGACTCTCTCTTGTACATCTCTTTGCTTGGCTGATGTTACTTAATTAAATTAATTCATTGATTGATTTTCAGGCAGGGTCTCACTCTGTCTTAGGCATGTCTTTTCTTCGCTGATATTATTTAACTTAATAATTGATTGATTGATTGATTTTGAGGTAGGGTCTCTGTTTTATGCATCTCTTTCCTTGACTGATATTATTTGTTTAATTGATTAATTGTTTGGTTTCGAGCAGGGTCTCACTCTCTTATACATCTCTTTTCTTGCCTGATATTATTTAATTTAATTAATTGATTGATTGATTTTGAGGTAGGGTCTCTGTTTTACGCATCTCTTTTCTTGGCTGATATTACTTACTTTAATTGATTGATTTTGAGGCACAGTCTCCCTCTGTCTTAGGCATCTCTTTTCTTGGCTGATATTATTTAATTTAATTAATTGATTGATTTTGAGGTAGGGTCTGTTTTATGCATCTCTTTCCTTGACTGATATTATTTATTTAAGTGATTAATCGGTTGGTTTCGAACAGGGTTTCACTCTCTTATACATCTCTTTTCTTGCCTGATATTTAATTTAATTAATTGATTGATTGATTTTGAGGTAGGGTCTCTGTTTTACGCATCTCTTTTCTTGGCTGATATTTTTACTTGAATTGATTGATTTTGAGGCACACTCTCGCTCTGTCTTAGGCATCTCTTTTCTTGGCTGATATTATTTAATTTAATTAATTGATTGATTGATTTTGAGGTAGGGTCTCTGTTTTATGAATCTCTTTCCTTGACTGATATTATTTGTTTAATTGATTAATCGGTTGGTTTCGAGCAGGGTTTTGCTCTCTTATACATCTCTTTTCTTGCCTGATATTTAATTTAATTTAATTAATTGATTGATTGATTTTGAGGTAGGGTCTCTGTTTTCACATCTCTTTTCTTGGCTGATATTATTTACTTTAATTGATTGATTTTGAGGCACAGTCTCGCTCTGTCTTAGGCATCTCTTTTCTTGGCTGATATTAATTAATTGATTGATTTTGAGGCAGGGTCTCTCTTACATATTTTTTCTTGGCTGATATTAGTTAATTAATTGATTGATTGATTTTGAGGTAGGGTCTCTGTTTTACACATCTCTTTTCTTGGCTGATATTATTTACTTTAATTAATTGATTGATTTTGAGGCACAGTCTCGCTCTGTCTTAGGCATCTCTTTTCTTGGCTGTTATTAATTAATTGATTGATTGATTTTGAGGCAGGGTCTCACTCTCATATATTTTTTCTTGGCTGATATTATTTACTTTAATTGATTGATAGATTTTGAGGTAGAGTCTGTTTTATGCATCTCTTTTCTTGGCTGATATTATTTAATTAATTAATTAATTAATTGATTTTGAGTAGGGTCTCACTCTCTTATCCACCTCTTTTCTTGACTGATATTATTTAATTCAATTAATTGCTTGATTGTGAGGTAAGGTCTCACTCTGTCTTAGGCATCCTTTTTCTTGGCTGATATTGATTGATTGATTTTGAGCAAGGTCTCACTCTGTCTTAGGCATCATTTTTCTTGGCTGACATTATTTAATATAATTAATTAATTGATTTTCAGGCGGGGTCTCACTCATACTTCACTTTCCTTAGCTAATATTATTTAATTTAATTAATTAATTGACTTTAAGGTAGGGTCTCTGTTTTATGCATCTCTTTTCTTCCTGATATTAATTAATTGATTGATTGATTTTTGAGTCAAGGTCTCACTCTGTTACCCAGGCTTGAGTGCAGTGACGCAATTACAGCTCACTACAGTCTCGACCTCTGGGGCTCAAGCAGTCTTCCTAACTCGGCCTCCTGAGTAGCTGGGATGACAGACGTGCACCACCGTCCCTGGCTAATTTTTTATTTTTTGTAGAGATGAGGTCTCGCTCTGTTGGCCAGGCTGGTCTCAAACTCCTGGGCTCAAGCGGTCCTCCCACCTCGACCTTCCAACGTGTTGGGATTACAGGCATGAGCCACTGTGCCCAGCTTGGCTGATTTTAATTTGTATCTATTCGGTATAATAAGACTTTAATCAGAAGCACAGTGTTTTTCTGAGTTCTTGTGAGTCATTCTAGGAAATTATTCACCCTGAATGTGGTCACTGGGACCCTACAAGTTTTAGCCAGCTGGTCCAAAGTGAGAGTGCTTCCCGGGACCCCTGAATTTGAATTTGCAGCTGATGACCAAAGTAAAGGGAATTGGTGGGGACCGCAGAAATATAGAATCATGCATTTAATGGGTGCTTGAATGCCCTGGGGCTGCCCTAACAATTTGCCTAAAACTCAAGGGTTTAAAACAACAGATGTGATTTAGCTCATGGTTCTGGAGACCAGAAGTCTGAGGTCAAGATGTGGGCAGGATTGTGCTCACTCTGAAAGATCCAGGGAAGGATCCTTCCTGCCTCTCCCAGCTCCTGGGGGCTCCAGGAGTACCTGAACTTGTGGCTGCATCACTCCAGTCTCTGCCCCCATCTCCACGTGGCCTTCTCCTCTGTGTCTGTGTCTCCTCTTCCGTCTCTTAGAAGGACACCTGTCACTGGATTAAGGACCCACCCTACTCCAGGATGATCTCATCTCCAGATTCTTAATCACATCTGCAAAGACCCGATTTCCAAATAAGGTCTCATTCACCAGGGGGCAGGACTTAGATATGTCTTTTGGGGGACAAAATTCAAGCTATTATGGTGAGTAACTGGAGACTGTGGAAACAAGTTTTAAAAAAAGCATTGGCCTTAATCAAACAAAGATCTTAGAACCAAGTATGGGACTTTCATTTTGAGATACAGAGTCCTAGGGGTGGTAGACAGGAGAGAGAAGCCATCCCATCACTGCAGATGACCTGGATGTCTTACTCATGTGTCTTTCACTTTATTCATCCATTCATCTATCCACCCATTCGGCCAGTCATTAATCTGTCAATCTGTTCATCCATTTGTCCACCCATCCACTCATCTATCCATCCATCCATCCACCCACCCACCCATTCTGCCAGTCATTAATCTGTCAATCTATTTATCCATTTGTCCACCCATTCATTCATCCGTTCATCCATCCATTCATCCATCTAACCACTCACCCACCCATTCAGCCAGTCATCAGTCTATCAATCTGTTCATCCATTTGTCCATCCATCCATCCATCCATCTATCCATCCATCCATCCATCCATTTATCTATCCACCCACCCACCCATTCAGCCAGTCATCAATCTACCTGTTAATCTGTTCATCCATTTGTCCACCCATCCACCCATCCATTCATCCATCCATCCATCCATCCATCTAGCCAAGCATCCATTTATTCACCCATCCATCCATTAATGTACCCACCTATCCATCCATTTGCCCACCCATCTATCCATTCATCCATCCATCCATCCATCCATCCATCCATCCATCCAGTCACCCATCCATCTATTCACTCATCCATCCATTAATGTACCCACCCATCCATCCATTCATGCACCCATCATCCATCCATCCATCCATCCATCCATACAGTCACCCATCCATTTATTTACCCATCCATCCATCCATTCACCTGCCCATCTATCCATCCATCCATCCATCCATCCATCCATCCATCCATCCATCTATCCATCCATTTATTCACCCATCCATCCATTAAAGTACCCACCCATCCATCCATTCACCCACCCATCTATCCGTTCATCCATCCATCCATCTATCCATCAAGTGACTCATCCATTTATTTACCCATCCATCCATTAATGTACTCACCCATCCATCCATTCATCCATCCATCCATCCATCCATCCATCCATCCATCCATCCATCCATCCAGTCACCCATCCATTTATTCACCCATCCATCCATTAATGTACCCACCCAACCATCCATTCACCCACCCACCCATCTATCCATCCATCCATCCATCCAGTCACCCATCCATTTATTCACCCATGCATCCATTAATGTACCCACCCATCCATCCATTTACCCACCCATCTATCCATTCATCCATCCATCCATCCATCCATCTATCCATCCATCCGTCTAGTCACCCATCCATTTATTCACCCATCCATCCAGTAATGTACCCACCTATCCGTCCATTCATCCACCCATCTATCTATACTTTCCCCATTCAGCCATTCACAAATCTACCTATCAATCTATTCATCCCTCACTGCAAATGGCTGGATGACTTCTCTCTCCTGTCTACCACCCCTTGGCCACAAGCAAGAAAGGGGAATTCCGAGTCCAGCCTCATTCATAACATCATAAGAATCAAATACCTTCCAAAAGAAGGAACAGAGGTTACTACTCAGGTTTATCTGTGATAACCAGTGAGGTTGATACTCAGTTATTGGGCAGAAAATTTCATTGAAAACATAGCCTGCTGAGAAAATGCTGCTTTGTGGTGTGGGATGCATTTATTAAATGTTGATGTGAAACTGATATTTCAAGGAGATATACCACTGCAGATCAGCATGTTATCTCCCATGTGAAGACTAGAGAAACAGACGTTGTAAAGATCAGATAAAACGGCAGCCTCAAACAGGAAATAAAGATACAAAACAAAGATATGGGAGTGGGCCTTCCCCTTGAGGAAAATTACTTCCTTGCATTTCTTCTCATGCAACGGTCTTCCCTTTTCTCCTTAAAGTAATTGAGGTATAATTCAGAAAAGTGTGTACGATGCCAGGACAGGGTGAGCCACTCTATGCAGAGCAGGCCATGCAGGGAACAAATCATCTGGAAGGTCCTAGCAGCAGGTGACAATGAGGGAGGCCCAGGACTGTGGTCCTTATCAAGATGCTTCCAAGGAGTGGGGTCTTCCTTCGAGAGACTCCCAGGCAGGGTCCAGCACTGTGAGGTCAGTGAGCAAAGGCCTGACCCTCAAGCATGGGGACTCTTCTCCTAGAGCTGCACCTTGAGGTAGGAGGTGGAGGGTTTTGCAAAGATTGAGAATCCCAGGGACCAGTTCACTAAACTAGAATCCAGTGTCAGAGATCTTAATTCTCCCGCGTTTATCATATCCATCCATCCATCCACCCATCCATCCATCCATGCTTCCATCAGTCGATTCTTCTGTTCATGCATCTATGCACCCACCCACCCATTCAGCCAGTCATTAATCTGTCAATCTATTCATCCATCCACCCAGTCATGTATCCATCTACCTACTCATTCATTCATTCACCCATCTATCCATCCATCTACCCATCCATCCACCCTCCATCCATTAAACCATCTACCCGTGTATCTATCTATCCATCCTCTATCCACCCTCTGTTTATTAACCCAGCTATCAACCCACCCACTTTCTACTTACCCATCCACTCATTAATCCATTAATTTATCCTCTATTCATTAACCCATGTATCCATCCACCTATCCAGCCATCCATCCATTCAGTCAGCCAAGCCTTCATCCATTAACCCATCCATTCATTAATCCATTCATTAATCCTCTATTCATTAATCCATATATCCATCCACCTATTCAGCCATCCATCCCTCCAGCCAGCCAAATCTTCATCCATTAACCCATCCATTCATTAGTCCATTCATTCATCCTCTATTCATTAACCCATGTATCCATCCACCTATCCAGCCATCCAGCCAGCCAGCCAGCCAACCCTTCATCCATTAACCCATATATCCATATATCCATCCATCATCTGTTCATTCATCCTTTCATCTCTCCACCCATGCACCCACTCAACCGACCACCAACCCATCCATCCATTAACCTACTCATCGACCTATTCACTCATTCACTCATCCATCCATCTACCCTCAATCCATTAACCTATCTATCTATCCATCATCTATCCACCCTCCATTCATTAACCCACCCATTTAACCACCCACCCATCCATCCATTCATCCATCCCTCCATATATTCTGTATCCATTAATCCATCTATCCTTCCAGCATCTACCATCCATTAACCCACTCATCCATCTATTTATCCACCCTCTATCCATAACCCCTATAATCCATATTATAAAATCAAATTC
Organism: Homo sapiens; assembly: GCF_000001405.40. Taxonomy (NCBI): domain Eukaryota; kingdom Metazoa; phylum Chordata; class Mammalia; order Primates; family Hominidae; genus Homo; species Homo sapiens. Next base: position 1,575,140 of record NC_000023.11, on the reverse strand, counting down.
ACTCAATATTTTAAAATCAAAATTAATTCAAATAAACAACCATGAATAAATCATCAATACTGTGAACAAATACAGGATTCAGCAGTGCTCTGATATTTTTGATTGGAGCCTGAAGCAAAACATATGGAAAAGGAAAAATTCATGCCCCTCTGGACATATTTCATGTGTTTTTTTCCAGAACATTAAAATGGTTGGAAAATATTACAAGGATACACGGGTATATGAAAATTCAGAGCATTACTTTAACTTTTAAATTTTTTTTTATCAAAACCAGACTTTTTGGGGAGTAATTCTACTTTCCTGGCTTGAATGAAAGCATGCTTACCAAAATACTCTCAAACTTTCATTTTTGCTTGTATCATTGTCAATGGATAGGATTGTCATGTTTGTCAACTTCTCTTGACCAAGTGACCATCAAGCTTTCATGTTTAATTACCATCAGCATACTAGTCCCATCCTTATTTAAAATTTTAATGGTTTGTTTCTCATGGCATTTTTGCCTTAATATTTATGCCTATTTTATTTATGTATTTATTTGTTTGTTTTTTGTTTTTTGAGACAGAGTTTCACTCTTGTTGCCCAGGCTGGAGTGCAATGGCGCCATCTCGGCTCATTGCAACCTGCGCCTCCTGGGCTCAAGCGATTCTCCTGCCTCAGCCTCCGGAGTAGCTGGGATTACAGGCACGTGCCACCACGCCCAGCTAATTTCGTGTTTTTAGTAGAGACGCGGTTTCTCAATGTTGGTCAGGCTGGTCTCAAACTCTCCACCTCCGGTGATCTGCCCGCCTGGGCCTCCCAAAGTGCTGGGATGACAGGTGTGAGCCACCGCGCCTGGCCTTTATTGCTGTTTAAATATTGCATGAGGTTCGGGCACGGTGGCTCACGTCTGTCATCCCAGCACTTTGGGAGGCCGAGGTGGGTGGATCACTTGAGGTCAGGAGTTCGAGACCAGCCTGGGCAACATGATGAAACGCTGTCTCTATAAAAAAAAAAAATAAAATAAATATTGCATGACATGATGAGTTATGTTGGTTGCTGGGTTTGGGGAACCCCCTCAGGTTTTGTATCATAAGCATATCCCTCAATTCTCTCACGCTGCTCCCTCCCCGGTGTGTCTCACCTTCCTGGAGTTCCTTGTTGTAATCCTCAGACATATTTCTTTGCCAGGGATGCCAGAGATTCCAGAGCTTGACCCCAAGGGTGACACCTTTTTTTTTTTTTGAGACGGAGTCTCGCTCTGTTGCCCAGGCTGGAGCACAGTGGCACGATCTCAGCTCACTGCAACCTCCACCTCCCAGGTTCAAGCGATTTTCCTGCCTCAGCCTCCCGAGTAGCTGGGATTACAGGCGCCCGCCACCACGCCTGGCTATTCTTTGTATTTTTAGCAGAGATGGGGTTTCACCATGTTGGCCAGGCTGGTCTCGAACTCCTGACCTCAGGTGATCCACCCACCTCGGCCTCCTAAAGTGCTGGGATGACAGACGTGAGCCTCCACATCTGACCCAAATGCCATTTTTGAGTTACAAGACAGAGAGACAGTGGAGAGATTTATTTTTTTCCGTTTTTTTTTTTTTTTTTTTTTTTTGAGACGGAGTCTCGCTCTGTCACCCAGGCTGCAGTGCAGTGGTGCGATTTCGGCTCACTGCAACCTCTGCCTCCCGGGTTCACACCATTCTCCTGCCTCAGCCTCCCGAGTAGCTGGGATTACAGGCGCCTGCCACCAAGCCTGGCTATTCTTTGTATTTTTAGCAGAGATGGGGTTTCACCATGTTGGCCAGGCTGGTCTCGAACTCCTGACCTCAGGTGATCCGCCCACCTCGGCCTCCTAAAGTGCTGGGATGACAGACGTGAGCTTCCACATCTGACCCAAAATGCCATTTGTGCGTTACAAGACAGAGAGACAGTGGAGAGATTTACTTTTTTCCTTTTTTTTTTTTTTTTCTTTGAGACGGAGTCTCGCTCCGTCGCCCAGGCTGCAGTGCAGTGGCGCGATCTGGGCTCCCTGCAACCTCCGCCTCCTGGGTTCATGCCATTCTCCTGCCTCAGCCTCCCAAGTAGCTGGGACCACAGGTGCCCGCCACCACGCCGAGCTAATTTTTTGTATTTTTAGTAGAGACAGGGTTTCACCGTGTTAGCCAGGATGGTCTCGATCTCTTGACCTCGTGATCCAGCCCCTTCAGTCTCCCAAAGTGCTGGGATTACAGGTGTGAGCCACCGCGCCCCGCCCCAAGGCGACATATTCTTACGGCTTCCCCAAGGAGAGGCAATTGGAAAAAAAGGAGAAATTCTCACCCAGTGTTTCTGGATTTGGGGTTTTTCAGCAATTGCATGTCCGTCCTTCTCTGCCACCTGGCTTTTCATGACTGCCGCTATCCGATTTTCTCCAAGCTCAAAGGCAGTGATTCCAGGTGTGCAGCTCCTCCGAGGTGAAACACTTATGTCTGTTTTGCAGGTGAATGAAATGGAAATGCATGTGTGTATCCTGGGTCATCCTATGTATGCATTCGTCACTCTAGGATGAGGTTAGAAAACAAGTTGGAAGGCCAGGCGCAGTGTCTCACATGTCTGTAATCCCAGCACTTTCGGAGGCCGAGGCGGGTGGATCACGAGGTCAGGAGTTCAAGACCAGCCTGGGCGGTGTAGCAAGTCCCCGTCTTTAAAAAAGCCACAAAAATTAACCGGGAGAGGTAGTACATGCCTGTGGTCCCAGCTACTCAGGAGGCTGAGGCAGGAGAATGGCTTGAACCCAGGAGGCAGAGGTTGCGGTAAGCTGAGATCATGTCACTGCACTCCAGCCTGGGTGACAGAGCGAGACTCCGTCTCAAAAAAAAAAAAAAAAACAAACAACAGGCATGGTGGCTCATGCCTGTAATCCCAGCACTTTGGGAGGCTATGGGTGGATCATGAGGTCAGGTGTTCGAGACCAGCCTGGGTGATGTAGCAAGGCCCCGTCTTTAAAAAAGACACAAAAGTTAACTGGGAGACGTAGTACACGCCTGTGGTCCCAGCTACTCAGGAGGCTGAGGCAGGAGAATGGCTTGAATCCAGGAGGCAGAGGTTGCAGTAGGCTGAGATCATGCCACTGCACTCCAGCCTGGGCAACAGAGCGAGACTCCGTCTCAAAAAAAAAAACAAACAACAGGCACGGTGGCTCATGCCTGCAATCCCAGCACTTTGGGAGGCTGAGATGGGTGGATCACGAGGTCAGGTTCGAGACCAGCCTGGGCGATGTAGTAAGGCCCCGTCTCTAAAAGAGACACAAAAATTAACCAGGAGAGGTAGTACACACCTGTGGTCCCAGCTACTCAGGAGGCTGAGGCAGGGAATTGCTTGAACCCGGGAGGTAGAGGTTGCAGTGAGCTGAGATTGTGCCACTGTACTCCAGCCTGGGTGACAGAGCGAGCCTCCATCTCAAAAAAAAAAGGCCAGACACGGTGGCTCACGCCTGTAAACCCAGCACTCTGGGAGGCCAAGGCAGGTGGATCACGAGGTCAAGAGATCGAGACTATCCTGGCCAACATGGTGAAACCCCCTCTCTACTAAAATTACAAAAATTAGCCAGGCATGGTGGTGCATGCCTTTAGTCCCAGCTACTTGGGAGGCTGAGGCAGGAGAATCCCTTGAACCCGGGAGGCAGAGGTTGCAGTGAGCCGAGATTGCACCACTGCACTCCAGCCTGGTGACAGAGCAAGACTCCGTCTCAAAAAAAAAAAAAAAAAAAAACAAGTTAGAAAGCCAGCAGCCCACAGGACAAGCTGTAAACTTACCTGTGAATTCTCATTATTTTATCAAGGAGTTTACTTTTCCATGGCTACATGTGGCACCACGATGCAAGGATTACGTTGAATGGAGCCTGGCTTTTTTTTCTGGTTAAGCAGTGCACATAATACTGAACATTCAACAGGGGAAAATGAGCTTCCTATCGTGTGTGTGTGTGTGGTGTTCCCGGCGGTACCCACTGTACTGCTATGTTGCTATCTTGGGTTCACAGGTTGTGTTTCTCATCTGTCATCCTGCTGTCATCCCTCTCCCTTGACAAATGACGAAGCTGAAATCCCCCTGCGGACTGGGCATTTGGGTACATGGTGTCAGTCGGAGTCAGAGGTCTGGGCTCCGGACCCTTCCCTGCAGGCTCAGGTGCAAGAGCTCAGGGGCTTCTGTGAAGGCCCAGGTGTCAGGCTGGGGTAGCTGAGCAGGTCCTTATGGGGAGGGAGTTTCTTCAGAGGTGCCTGTGCCACGAGGCAGGAGTATGAGAAGACTAGGAAACTGGCTGGTGTCACGACTCAGGCACGGTAAGCATTGACTCTTTTTACGGGAAGAACACGGGAAGGTAGGATGTGGCCCCCAACGCCTCGTTACAGCTGTAAACGTCTCTGCAATTCTGCCTGCCCATCTCAACACAGAGGCCGCAGGATGCCTGCAGAATGATTCGGTAGAAATAGGACAGGAAGGAGTCAGGAAATGGTTGGCAAGCAGCCATCCTCCCCTACCGTATTGCTTACCCCGTCCTCCAAAACTTTTTTTTTATTGTGGTAAAATATACATAACACAAAAACGATCATCTTGTCCTTTTTGTGTGTGTGTGTGTGTGAGACGGAGTCTCACTCTGTCACCCAGGCTGGAGTGCAGTGGCGTGATCTCAGCTCACTGCAACCTCCGCCTCCTAGGTTCAAACAATTCTACTGCCTCAGCCTCCCGAGTAGCTGGGATGACAGGTGCTCGCCACCACACCCTGACTAATTTTTTTTATTTTTTGTACATACGGGGTTTCACCATCTTGGCCAGGCTGGTCTTGAACTCTGACCTCGTGATCCATCCACCTCAGCCTCCCAAAGTGCTGGGATTACAGCCGAGAGCCGCTGTACCCAGCCATCATCTTGTCCATTTTTTTGTGAGTCTTGTCAGGTTTCTACAATTTTTTTTTTTTTTTTTGAGACAGAGTCTCACTCTGTCACCCAGGCTGGAGTGCATCAGTGCAAACTTGGCTCACTGCAGCCTCCGCCTCCCGGGTTCAAGTGATTCTCCTGCCTCAGCCTCCTGAGTGGCTGGGATTACAGGGGTGCACCACCATGCCCCACTAATTTCTGTATTTTTAATAGAGATGGGGTTTCACTATGTTCGTCAGGCTGGTCTCGAACTCCCAACCTCAGGTGATTTACCCACCTCGGCCTCCCAAAGTGCTGGGATTACAGGCACGAGCCACCATGTCCAACCCAATTTTTTTTTATTGTGGTAAAATACACGTAACTTTAAAACCATCATCCTGCCCACTTTTGGAGAGTCTTGTGACGCGTCCGCATTTTTAATAAACTTCAAACTGTATCATTTCAAGTTAGCTCTTTTTCCTTTTTGATGTTTTAACTTTTATTTTAGGTTCGGGAGGTACGTGAGATGGGGGATTTTGCTACCGATCATTTCATCACCGAGGTACTTAGCCTAGTGCCGAATAGGTATTTTTCCTGCTCCTCTCCCTCTTCCCACCTTCTACCCTCACATAGCCCCCAGAGTCTGTTGTTTTTTAATTTGTGTTCAAGTGTCATCATTATTTAGCTCCCACTTATAAGAGAGAACATGTATTATTTAGCTTTCTGATCCTGTGTTAGTTTGTTAAAGATAATGGCCTCCAGCTCCATCCATGTCCCTGCAAAGGACATGATCTCATTTCATTATTATTATTATTATTATTATTTTTATTTTTATTTTTAGACGGAGTCTCTCTCTGTCGCCCAGGCTGGCATGCAGTGGCGCGATCTCGGCTCACTGCAAGATCCGCCTCCCGGATTCACGCCATTCTCCTTCCTCAGCCTCCCCAGCAGCTGGGACTACAGTCGCCCACCACCACACCTGGCTAATTTTTTTCTATTTTTAGTAGAGATGAGGGTTTCATCATGTTAGTCAGGATGGTCTTGATCTCCTGATCTTGTGATCCACCCGCCTCAGCCTCCCAAAGTGCTGGGATTACAGGCATGAGCCACTACTCCCAGCCCACACATATATACTATTTACAGTACAAATGCTTCTCACAGAAACATATATTCTATCCTCTATACATATCTAGCGTATATACATATATATGCTATTTATAATACAAATGCATCTCATATATACACTTTTTTTTTTAAGACAGAGTCTCTTTCTGTTTCCCAGGCTGGAGTGCAGTCGTGTGATTTCACGGCTCACAGCAACCTCAACCTCCTGGGCTCAAGTGATCCTCCCACCTCAGCCTCCCAAGCAGCTGTGACTACAGGTGCATGCCATCGTGCCCGGCTAATTTATATATATATATTTTTTAGTAGAGATGGGGTCTCATCATGTTGCCCAGGCTGGTCTCAAACTCCTGGGCTCAAGCTATCCACCCACCCTGGCTTCCAAAGTGCTAGGATTACAGGCATGAGCCACCTGGCACATATGGAGTTGTTTTAACCAGAGAAGGGACCTCACTTATATATTCTATCCTATGCATTCAGCTCTCCATATCCACAGTTTCCACATCTGCAGATGCAACCAACCTCAGATCAGAAATGTTTGAAAAACATAAAACTATGAATAAAAAACACAGTATAACAACTATATATACACACATATATATACATATATACACACATATACATATATACATATATATACACACATATATATTACATATATATATATATATATATATATATATATATATATATTTTTTTTTTTTTTTTTTTAGACAGAGTCTCACTCTGTTGCCCAGCCTGGAGTGCAGTGGTGCAATCTCAGCTCACTGCAACCTCCACCTCCCAGGTTCAAGCGATTCTCCTGCCTCAGCCTCCTGAGTAGCTGGGATTACAGGTGCACGCCACCACACGTGGCTAATTTTTGTTTTTTGTTTTTGTTTTTGTTTTTGTTTGGAGACAGAACCTCACTCTGTCACCAGGCTGGAGTGCAGTGGTGCAATCTTGGCTCACTGCAACATCCACCTTCCTGGTTCAAGCAATTCTCCTGCCTCAGCTTCCCAAGTAGCTGGGACTACAGGTGCACGCCACCATGCCCAGCTAATTCTTATATTTTTAGTAGAGATGGGGTTTCACCATGTTGGCCAGGATGGTATCGATCTCCTGACCTTGTGATCCACCCACCTTGGCCTCCCAAAGTGCTGGGATTACAGGCGTGAGCCCCTGCACCCACCCTATAACAACTATTTACATTATATTAGGTGTTATAAATAATTTACAGATGACTTTAAGCATATGGAAGGATGTGGGTAGGTTATATGCAAATACCACACCATTTTATATCAGGCGCCTCAGCATACCTGGATTTTCCTGTCCTCAGATGGGTTCCAGAACCAATTTCCCAATGTTACTGAGGGATGACTGTATTCATAGCTAATATATATATATATATATATATATATATATATATAAAATATTTGAAACATAAATTTGTCTCATGTATACATGTATCATATTAGATATATACATCTACCATATAGGCAAATATATTTGCAACATTAATTCATGTCATGTATACATATATCAGATATAGTATCTACCATATATAGTATATTTACAACATAAATTTATACCATGTATACATGTATTATAGCATATATACATGTCTACCATATATGTTATATTTGCAACATAAATTCATCTGATATATACATATATCATATATAATGTCTACCATATGTAGTATATTTACAACATAAATGTATCCCATATATATACATATCTACCATATCTGTCACATTTGCAATATAAACTCATCCCATATATATTATATCATATGTATCTACCATATATATTTGCAATATAAATTCATCTCATATATAAGATTATATCATATATATCTACCATATATGTTACATTTGTGTTATAAATTCATCTCATATATAAGTGTTTCATACATAATGTTTACCATATATGTTATATTTGCAACATAAATTCATCTGATATATATATATATATATACACACATATATCATATATAATATCTGCCATATCTGGTATATTTACAACAAAAATTTATCCCATGTATAGAAATATTATAGCATATATAATATCTACCATATATGTTATATTTGCAACATAAATTCATCTCATGTACACATATATTATATACATACATATCATGTATCATATGTAATATCTACCATATATGTTATATTTGCAACATAAATTCATCTATATATAAATATATCATATCATGTATAATATCTACCATATATGTTATATTTGCAACATAAATTCATCTCATATATAAATATATCATATCGTGTATAATATCTACCATATATGTTATATTTGCAACATAAATTCATCTCACATATACGTATATATACATATCTCCCATATATGGTATATTTTCAACATAAATTCCACAAAGAGAATAGAGCAGAAAGAATAATCAAAGAAATAACAGAGAAAAATATCTCCGCACTGAATAACACCATACAAACAAAAAGCCCTTTAAGTATCTTAATGAAAAGATACACATGGAAATTCCTGGAAATTTGTTTAAATATTCAAGATAAATCATATCCTGTAATGCCCAGGAGAAATAAGCAGATTATTTTACAAAGCAACACATCATCAGCCATCTACAGAACAAAATAACCAAAGGCCTGAAGCAATAAAAAACAAAATAGCTGTACTGAGGCTTGTTTAACATACAAAAAGCTGTATATATTTAAAGTATACAACCTGATAACTTGGGAGAAAAAGACACATCCTTGAAAGTCATATGTCACCTATGTCATAAACATATCTATGTCATAAACATATCTATCACCTCCAAAAGATTCCTCTTCCCTCTCGATATGATGATGATGTTTTTTTTTCTTGTTGTGATAAGAACGCTTCACATGTGATCTACTCTTTTAGCAAATTTTTATGTATACAATACAGTATCTTTGACTCTGGACACTATGTTCTATCCAGTAGATCATTTTGATAGAGAAAAGTTCCCCTCCCCAAAATCCTGCACTGAAAAAATCTGTCATCTTAGAGGCATGTATTTTCAAGGATGCAAATATGTTTTTTATATCCCCCAACTCCTTTTTTTTTTTTTTCAGAGAGGGAGTCTCCCTCTGTCTCCCAGGCTGGAGTGCAGTGGTGCAGTCCTAGCTCACTGCAGCCTGGGACTCCTGGGCTCAAGCGATCCTCCCACCTCAGCCTCCTGAGTAGCTGGGACCACAGGCGTGTACCACCAGGCCTAGGTCCCCTTTTGGGGGGGAAAAAAACAAGTGTTTTTAAAAGCAACAACAGGTTGGGCACGGTGGCTCACACCTGTAATCCCAGCACTTTGGGAGGCCGAGACGGGTGGATCACCTGAGGTCAGGAGTTTGAGACCAGCCTGACCAACATAGTGAGACCCTGTCTCTACTAAAAATACAAAAATTAGCCAGGCGTGGTGGTGCATGCCTGTCATCCCAGCTACTTGGGAGACTGAGGCAGGAGAATTGCTTCAACCCAGGAGAAGGAGGTTGCAGTGGGCTGAGATTATGTCATTGCACTCCAGCCTGGGCAACAAAGAGTGAATCTCCATCTTAAAAAAAAAAAACAAAAACCAACAACAACAGCCAAAGTAACTCCAGCCAAACCAGAAATGAATGAAATTAAGAATTTTAAAATGGGGAAGCTGTGGTACAAAATGATTGGCAGTTAACCATAAAACAGAAGAAGATTCATAAAAAATGTTTTCAAGGCACAATGTATGAAAATATACAGTATAGTAATAGTATATGTATTAATTAGTATCAGTACAACACATTCTAAGATGAAAAATATTTTTAGAGAATAGAGTTTGGAAATAAAAGATGTGAAATGCTTAAATAAATACAGACTCTGGCAGCATCGGAGAGAAGGAGGGGGGAGGAAGCAACCCACACCATCGTAAATCCTTATCTCAACCAATGCAAATAAAGAGTTTCAGTTTTCACCATAATGTTTAGAAAAAAAAGAGTTTTATACAGTTATTTTTGCTGCATATGTAACTATTAGAAAAGAAATGTTGCTATTTGCAGAATGCTGCTATAGTAATTACTGAAAAACAATTGAAGCAAATGTAGCATTATCCATAGACAGCGTGCAACAATGTAACAATTCTCACGATTAAATGCAAGGTTGTCTTAGTCCTTTCGTGTTGCTGTCACAGAACACCATACCCTGGGCAGCCTATCAAGACAGACCTTTACGTCTCTCGGTGCTGGAGGCTGGAAGTCCAAGATGAAGGTGTGGCTGATTCAGTGTCTGGTGAGGACCCGTCTCCTAGTTCATAGATGGCGCCTTCTCTCTGTGTCTCACATGGTGGAAGGGGCCAGGGAGGTCTCTGGGGTTCCTTTTATGAGAGCATGATTCCCATTCATGAGACTCCAACCTCACAACCTCGTCACCTCCCAAAGCCTCTTAACATCATCTTGTTGGTGGTTACATCAATGTGGGAATTCGGGGAGGACATTGACCTTCTGCCCACAGCAAAGCTCCACTGGAAGAGCTGAGGCTGTTCATGAGCTTCCCCACCCACACCCTCAGCCCCAGTTTTTAAAAATTTTTTTAAATTTTTATCCTTTAAGTTCTAGGGTACGTGTGCACAACGTGCAGGTTTGTTACATACGTATACATGTGCCATGGTGGTTTGCTGCACCCATTAACTCGTCATTTACACTAGGTATATCTCCTAATGCTCTCCCTCCCCCCTCTCCCAACGCCCCACGACAGGCCCTGGTGTGTGATGTTCCCCACCCTGTGTCCAAGTCTTCTCATTGTTCAATTCCCACGTATGAGTGAGAACATGCGGTGTTTGGTTTTCTGTCCTTGCGATAGTTTGCTCAGAATGATGGTTTCCAGCTTCATCCATGTCCCTACGAAGGACATGAACTCATCCTTTTTCATGGCTGCATAGTATTCCATGGTGTCTATGTGCCATATTTTCTTAATCCAGTCTATTATTGATGGGCATTTGGGTTGGTTCCAAGTCTTTGTTATTGTGAATAGTGCTGCAATAAACATGCGTGTGCATGTGTCTTTATAGCAGGATGATTTATAATCCTTTGGGTATATACCCAGTAATGGGATGGCCTCAGTCCCAGTTTTTGTCCACGTGCATTCTTGTTACAATCTAAAGAAAGGTGGAAAAAAAAAAAAAAAAAGAACCAGAGCAAAACAAGCAGACAAAAGGGAGATGCTGAGGCAGAGGAAGTGATTGTGGCAAAGCGTAATCACCATCAAAACCCTATACAATTGCAAATATTACTATAAACACTTTGTGTTTTGTTTTGTTTTGGAGTCGGGGTCTTGCTCCATTGCCCAGGCTGAAGTGCAGTGGTGCAGTCTCAGCTCACTGCAGCCTCCACCTCCTGGGCTCAAGCAATCCTCCTGCATCAGGCTCCTGAGGACCTGGGACTACAGGCATATACCACCATGTAGGGCTAATGTTTTTTAATTTTTTTGTAGAGGTGGGCTCTTGCTATCTTGCCCAGGCTGGTCTGAAACTCCTGGCCTCCAGCTATCTTTCTACACTGACCTCCCAAAGCACTGTGATTACAGGCATGAACCACTGCACCCGGCACTATAAACGTTTATTCTTTTCTTTTATTTTCTTTCTTTCCTTTCTTTCTTTCTTCCTTTCTCTTTTTTCTTTTTCTTTTTCTTTTTTTTTTTTTTTTGAGATGGAGTTTCACTCTTGGTGCCCAGGTTGGAGTGCAATGGCACGATCTTGGCTCACTGCAACCTCTGCCTCCTGGGTTCAAGCAATTCTCCTTCCTCAGCCTCCTGAGTCGCTGGGATTACAGGCGCCCACCACCACACCCAGCTAATTTTGTATGTTTAGTAGAGACGGGGTTTCTCCATGTTGGCCAGGCTGGTCTCGAACTCCTGACTTCAGGTGATCCACCCGCCTCAGCCTCCCAAAGTGCTGGGATTACAGGCATGAGCCACTGCACCTGGCACTATAAACATTTTTCCTCTCCTCTCTTCTCCTCTCCTCTCCTCTCTTCTTCTCTCCTCTCTCTCCCTCCCTCCCTCCCTCTTTCTTTCTTTTCTTTCTTTCTTTCTTTCTTTCTTTCTTTCTTTCTTTCTTTCTTTCTTTTTTTTCTTTCTTTCTTTCTTCTTCCTTTCTCTCTCTTCTTTCTTTCTTTCTCTCTTTCTTCTTTCTTTCTTTTTTTTTTTTTTTGACAGAGTTTCGCTCTTGTTACCCAGGCTGGAGTTCAATAGCGCAATCTCAGCTCACTGCTACCTCCGCCTCCCAGGTTCAAGGGATTCTCTTGCCTCAGCCTCCTAAGTAGCTGGGATTACAGGCATGTGCCACCACGCCCAGCTAATTTTGTATGTTTAGTAGAGATGGGGTTTCAGCATATGGGCCAGGCTGGTCTCAAACTCCTGACCTCAGGTGATTCACCCGTCTCGGGCTCCCAAAGTGCCGGCATTACAGGCGTGAGCCAATGCCCCTGACCATATTCTTTTCATTCATTCCTCCAAAGCTTACTTTGGAGATGTCACAAATCAAAACCTCATATAACTTTTAGTGTAAAATAACTTAGATCTTTCATCATAGTTATAGTAAACAAATATAACTCTTCTTCTATTTCACTCTGATGAAGTAAAAAAAATACCCAACTCCGTGGATCACGAGGTCAGGAGATCGAGACCATCCTGGCTAACACGGTGAAACCCCGTCTCTACTAAAAATACAAAAAATTAGCCGGGTGTGGTGGCGGGCACCTGTAGTCCCAGCTACTCAGGAGGCTGAGGCAGGAGAATGGCGTGAACCAGGGAGGCAGAGGTTGCAGTGAGCTGAGATTGCGCCATGGCACTCCAGCCTGGGCGACAGAGCGAGACTCCGTCTCAAAAAACAAAAAAATACCCAACTCCTAAGGACTTTTTTTAAAAAAGCAACGGAATTCAGAAAGGCTTCGAGAAGGATGTTTTGAAGTCAGCCTCTCATGGGCTCCCCCGGGACAGGGTCACCTGGCCAGGGAAAGTAGAGATGAGAAGGGCAATCCCAATTCACAGGCTATGAATAGACGTCAAAACTCCTCTGTACCTTATATCTCCTGCACCAGGCCTGAAAAAACAATTGGTCTTTAATGACCTTTGAAAAATCTGTTTGCCCCACAGCTTTGAGGAATGCACCTGGTACTCTTGTTATAACTGCATTATCTCCTCATTTTTTTTAAAGTGTGTGGTGGCGGGCACCTGTAATCCCAGCTCCTCGGGAGGCTGAGGCAGGAGAATCGCTTGAACCTGGGAGGCAGAGGTTGCAGTGAGCCGAGATCGTGCCATTGCACTCCAGCTTCGGCAACAAGAGCGAAACCCTCTCTCAAAAAACAAACAAACAAAAACTGTTTGCCCCACAGCATTGAGGAATGCACCCTGTCCTCTTGTTATAATTGGATTATCTCCTCATTTTTTTTTTTTTTAAGTGTATGGCAACTGAGCACAGCGACTTACCCCTGTAATCCCAGCACTCTGGGAAGCTAAGGCAGGTGGATCACCTATGGTCAGGGGTTCGAGACTAGCCTGGCCAACGTGGTGAAACCCCATCTCTACTAAAAATACAAAAATGAGCCAGGTTTGATGGTGGGTGCCTGTAATCCCAGCTACTTGGGAGGCTGAATTGCTTGAGCCCAGGAGGCAGAGCTGAGATCATGTCATTGCACTCCAGCCTAGGAGACAGGAGCAAAACCCTGTCAAGGAAGGAAGGAAGGAAGGAAGGAAGGAAGGAAGGAAGAAAGAAAGAAAGAAAGAAGGAGAGAGAGAAAGGAAGGAACAGAGAGACGGAGGTAGGGAGGAAGGAAGGAGAGAGAGAGAGAGAAAGGAAGGAAGGAACAGAGAGAGAGAGACGGAGGGAGGGAGGAAGGAAGGAGAGAGAGAGAGAAAGAGAGAAAGATAGAGAGAGAAGGAAAGAACAAAGAGAGAGAGAAAGAAAGAAGGAAAAGAAAGAAAGACAGAGAGAGGGAGGGAGAAAGGAAGGAAGGAAGGAGAGAGAAAGAAAGATAGGAGAGAGAGAAAGAGAAAGAAAGAACAAACAGAAAGAAAGAAGAGAGAAATAAAGAAGCAAAAGAAAGTAAGAGAGAGGGAGGGAAGGAGGGAGGGAGGAAGGAAGGAAAGAAGGAAGGGAGGGAGGGAAGAGAGTATGGGCCAGTCACAGTGGCTCACACCTATAATCGCAGCACTTTGGAATGCTGAGGTGGATGGAGCACTTGAGCCTATGAGTTCGAGAACAGCTTGGGCAACATAGTGAGATCCCATCTCTATAAAAAAATACAAAAATTATGTGGGTGTTGGGGTCTGTGCCTGTAGTCCCAGCTACTCAGGAGGCTGAGGCGGGAGGATCGCTTGAGCCCGGGAGGTCAAGGCTGCAGTGAGCTGAGACTGCACCACTGCACTCCAGCCTGGGCAACAGAGTGGGCACACCTTCACAAGGTGGCAGGGGAGAGAGAGAGAGAGAAAGAGAGAGAGACCAACCACAGGGGAAACTACCAAACACTTTCTTCTTTTCTTTGTTTTTCCTTTTTTTTTTTTTTTTTTTTTTTTGAGACAGAGTTTCACTCTGTCGCCCAGGCTGGAGTCCAGTGGCGCAACCTTGGCTCACTGCAACCTCTACCTCCCGCGTTCACGCCATTCTCCTGCCTCAGCCTCCCAAGTGGCTGGGACTACAGGTGCCTGTCACTACATACAGATAATTTTTTGTATTTTTAGTAGAGATGGGGTTTCACCGTGTCAGCCAGGATGGTCCCGAACTCCTGACCTCGTGATCCGCCCGCCTCGGCCTCCCAAAGTGCTGGGATGACAGGCAGGAGCCACCGCGCCCGGCTCTTTTTTTTTTTGAGACAGAGTCTCACTCTGTTGCCCAGGCTGGAGTGCAGTGGCACGATCTCGTCTCACTGCAACAGAGATGAGGCTGAGGCGGGTGGATTGCTTGAGCCCGGGAGGTCAAGGCTGCAGTGAGCTGAGACTGCACCACTGGACTCCAGCCTGGGCAACAGAGTGAGATCCTGTCTCCAAAAACAAAAAAAAAGCATACATTGCTTTGCAGGTGCCAAGCTCTAGGGCCCAAGTGCCCGCCAGTCCCTCATCTGCTGTCCTGATAGAATCCGTGAATCCCTGAAGCTCAGCTGCTCCCCCTAGTTGCATTCAAAGACGCAGCTTGAGGAGGCAGCCGAATGTCCCCCCTGCTGGGTCTCTATGACAATAGCCTCCAGTGGTGGGTACCTGCAGCTGCCTCTCTGCTGACAGCCGTGGGACCCCACTCTGTCTGTCCTCTTTTCCAGTACATCCCTTTTCCACCCCTTCGTGCCTGTTTGGGGTCTCCGCACTCACAAACCTGTAGAGTATCCTACAAACAACACTGCATGATTATAAGAAAAACTAGGCCGGGCGCAGTGGCTCACGCCTGTCATCCCAGCGCTTTGGGAGGCTGAGGCGGGCGGATCATGAGGTCAGGAGATCGGGACCATCCTGGCCAACACGGTGAAACCCCGTCTCTACTAAAAATACAAAACATTAGCCGGGCGTGGTGGCGGGTGCCTGTAGTCCCAGCTGCTCGGGAGGCTGAGGCAGGAGAATGGTGTGAACCCGGGAGGTGGAGCTTGCAGTCAGCACTGCACTCCAGCCTGGGCGACAGAGCGAGACTCCTTCTCAAAACAAACAAAACAAAACAAAAAAAACAACACAAAACTAAACAGCATTCCACTTTTCTGTAGTTTTACTGGTGGACGAACTCCCCCAAACAACGGGGACATAAATATCTTTATTCCTAAATAGCAAGGAACATCGGTGGCCTGGGTTTGTAGCCCAGACACCATCTCACTATCTGGGGATCTGGGTTGGTTGATCAAACTGTCCCTGTAAATCGGAGACAACGTAGCACCCTCCAGCGGGTACAGGGATACAGGGAGATGCCTGGTGAGTCTGTGGAAGCCACCCATTCCCCAGATGGGTATGACGGGGAGTAAGCGCAGGGTGACCCTCCTCAGGAGCCCGGCAATGGTTAGGGGCTGCCCGTGGTGATCTGTGCTGGGGTCCAGGACAGAGGCATCCCTGGGAACTCAGAGAGAAACTCTCTACCCAGATAGTCTCCAGTGTCTTCATTCACCATCCCCTAATTGAAAAGATGATGAAGGCAGCCACAATGGGGCATCCCAGAAAGGATGTGGGGAGAGGGGGTTATCCAAGAACATGCCAGGCCTGGAGCTGCTGACATTTGAGACTGGAGAATCCTCTGCGGTGGGGCCGTCCTGTGCACTGTACAATATTGAGCAGTGTCCCTCAGCTCCGCCCACCAGATGACAGGAGCACCTCCTGCTCCAGCCAGTGGTGAGAACCAAGGATGACTCCATATTTTACTGATGTCTCATGGACAGCAAAATCTTCTCCAGTTGAGAACCACTTTAATACAGAAGATGATAGATGATAGATAGATAGATAGATAGATAGATAGATAGATAGATAGATAGATGATACATGATAGATACATAGATAATAGATGACAGATAGATAGATAGATAGATTAGATAGATGATAGATAGATACATACATAGATAGATAGATACATAGATAGATGATAGGTAGGTAGATAGATGATGGATAGATAGATAATAGATAGATGGATAGATACATAGATTAGATAGATAGATGATAGATAAATAGATACATAGATTAGATAGGTAGATGATAGATAGATAGATACATAGATACAGAGATAGATTAGATAGATGATAGATGATAGATACATACATACATACATACATACATACGATAGATAAATGATAGGTAGGTAGATAGATGGATGATAGATGATAGATACATAGATGCATAGATACATAGATATATAGATACATAGATTATAGATAGATAAGATAGATGATAGGTAGGTAGGTAGACAGATAGATGATAGATAGATATATAGATAGATTAGCTACATAGATAGATAGATAGATAGATAGATAGATTAGATAGATGATAGATAGATACATAGATACATACATAGATACATAGATAGGTAGATAGATAGACGATAGGTAGGTAGATAGATAGATGATGGATAGATAGATGACAGATAGATACATAGATACATAGATAGACACATAGATTAGATAGATGATAGATAAATAGACACATAGATAGATACATAGATGGATAGATAGATTAGATAGATAGATGATAGATAAATAGACACATAGATACATAGATGGATAGATAGATTAGATAGATAGATGATAGATAGATACATAGATACAGAGATAGATACACAGATAGATAGATAGATGATAAATAGATAAATGATAGATGGATACATACATACATAGATACATAGATAGATACATAGATAGATACATAGATAGATAAGATAGATGATAGGTAGATAGATACATAGATAGATTGATAGATGATAGATAGATGATAGATACACAGATAGATGATACATAGATAGATAGATAAAGATAGATGAATGAATGGATGCATGGATGGATGGATGGATGGATGGATGGATGGATGGATGGATGGATGGATAAATGGATGGATAAATGGATGGATGAATAGAAGATGGATGGACAAATGTGCAAGCCTGGGCATTGTGGCTCACACCTGTAATCCCAACACTTTGGGAGGCTGAGGTGGGAGGAATGCTTGAGCTCAGGAGTTGGAAGCCAGCCTGGGCAACATAACAAGACCCCATCTCTAGAAAGAAAAGTTAGCTGGGCATGGTAGTGTGTGCCTGTAGTCCCAGCTACTCAGGAGGCTGAGGTGGGAGGATAGCTTTAGCCCAGGAGGTTGAAGCTGCAGTGAGCTAAGACTGCACCACTGCACTCCAGCCTGGGTGACAGAGCAAGGCCCTGTCTCAAAAAAAACAAAAAACAAAAAAACAGCTAAAATGGAAAAGATGTTTGATCTAAGGACAAAAACAAACAAACAAACAAATAAAAAAACCATGCTCATTCCGACAGAATGAGTAAGCTGAGGAGATCTTTGGTACAACACAGTGACTATAATGAATAACATTGAATTGTGTATTAAAAATCTCGCAGACCGGGTGCGGTGGCTCACGCCTGTAATCCCAGCACTTTGGGAGGCCGAGGCGGGCAGATCACGAGGTCAGGAGATCGAGACCATCCTGGCTAACACAGTGAAACCCCGTCTCTACTAAAATAAAAGTACAAAAAATTAGCCAGGTGCTGTGGCAGATGCCTGTAGTCCCAGCTACTTGGGAGGCTGAGACAGGAGAATGGGATGAACCTGGGAGGCGGAGGTTGCAGTGAGCCGAGATCGCGCCACTACACTCCAGCCTGGGTGACAGAGCGAGATTCCATCTCAAAAAAAAAAAAAAAATCTCGAAGACAGTGGATGTTAAGTGTTCTCACCACAGACACACAAACACATCATGTCTGGCCAGGTGAGGTGGCTCACGCCTGGAATCCTAGCACTTTGGGAGGCCGAGGTGGGTGGATCACTTGAGGTCAGGAGTTCGAGACCAGACTGACCAACATGATAAAACCCCATCTCTATTAAAAATACAAAATTAGTTGGGCATGGTGGTGCACACCTATAATCCCAGCTACTTGGGAGGCTGAGGCAGGAGAATCGCTTGAATCCAGGAGATGGAGGTTGCAGTGAGGTTGTAGCTGGGACTACAGACATCCGCCACCACGCCCGGCTAATTTTTTGTATATTTAGTAGAGACGAAGTTTCACCTTAGCCAGGATGGTCTCAATCTCCTGACCGCGTGATCCACCCACCTTGGCATCCCAAAGTGCTGGGATTACAGGCGTGATGCCTGGCTTATTTTTTTAAAAAAAATCTTGTAGAGATGGGGTCTGGCTATATTGTGCAGGGTGGTCTCAAACTCCTGGGCTCAAACAGTTTTCCTACCTAAACCTTCTAAACTTCTGAGATTACAGATGTGAGCCACCATGCCCGACCATTTTTTTTTCTTTTGGTAAAATTCACAGAACATAAAATTAACCATTTTATTTTATTTATTTTATTTTATTTGAGACGGAGTCTCGCACTGTTGCCCAGGCGGGAGTGCAGTGGTGCGATCTCGGCTCTCTGCAACCTCCGCTTCCTAGGTTCACGCCATTCTCCTGCCTCAGCCTCCCGAGTAGCTGGGACTACAGGTGTGCCCCACCACGCATGGCTAATTTTTTGTATTTTTAGTAGAGACGGGGTTTCACCATGTTAGTCAGGGTGGTCTTGATCTCCTGACCTCGTGATCTGCCCGCCTCGGCCTCCCAAAGTGCTGGGATTACAGGCGTGAGCCACCGCGCCCGGCCAAAATTAACCATTTTGAAGAGTGTGATTCAGTGGCATTTACCACATTCAGAAGATTGCACAACGATCACTGCCAACATTCTCATCACCTAAAAGGACACTCTGTACCCATTAAGCATGAATTCCCAATCCTCACTCCCCAGCCCCTCACAACCACAAATCCACTTTCTATTTGTATGGATCTGCCTGTTCTGGACATTTCATAGAAATGGAATCCTACAAAGTGTGTCCTTCTGTGTCTGGCTTCTCTCACTGAGCATGATGTCCTAAGGTTCATCCATGCGGCAGCCTGCGTCAGAACCTCATTCCTTTTTCAAGGGTGCATAGTATCCCATTTTCATGGCTGCGTAGTGTTCCATTGCATGGCTGTGTAGTACTCCATTGCATGGATTTATCCTGCATATCCACTCCCGTGTGTGCATGGATATTTGAGTTGTTTCCACCTTTCGGCTATTGTGTGCTGCTATGCATATTCCTCAGTGGTTCTGCCTCTCGATAGATTTAATTTAAAAAGAAGAAACAACCATAAAGTGTTTTCCTCCTGAGTTGAAGGTCACAGACATGCTTCCCTTTTTTGACCCCTTCCTGACACTGGAGCATCATGTTCAAATCAAGACCCCAGAACTGAGATTATAAGGAAATGAAATTGGTAGCCTGGGCTTCCTGTAGCCAGTACTTTGGTGTTTTGTTTTGTTTTGTTTTCTTCAAGACTGTAGTGCCAACTTCTGCAGAAAAACAGCACCCCTAGATGAGGAGGGTCAGATAGGGTTCGCGATGCAGAAAGTTGGAGGGTGTGGTACTTCCTCTTCCCGTACCACCTTTGCAGTCAACAACAGACCTCCCCAGGGCTGCCAACAGCCAGAGAGACAACTGGGTTACTCAGGAAAGCCTCATGAGAAGTGAAAGGCGGTGGCTACACAGCCCCGGCAGAGTTTCACAGGGTTCCCGTGAAAGCCATCCTGAAGTATGTTTGCCAGGCACTGGGTCCCAGGACGGCCCGAGTGCCTGGGACTTTACGGCACAGATGAGAAACGGTGGCCGTCTCCATTCCCCCGTACACATTCTCTACGCACGGCATCTGGCCCTAAACGCCAACTCAAGAGGGCCCTGGTAGCATCAGCTTCAACCCTGACCCTCCCTGGACGTGGATGACTCTTTCCTTTCCCTCATTTGCTGGGGCTGGAACCTTCATATTTCAGGAGAGTGTCTTAGTTCGTATGTGTTGCTATCGTGAAATACCATAGGCTGGGGGCCTTCTCAACAGCAGGCATCTATGTCTCATGGTTCTGGAGGCTGGAAGTCCAAGGTTAAGGTGTGGCAGATTCAGTGTCTGGTGGTCTATGAACCAGTGGCTTCCTGATCTATAGACAGCGCCTTCTTGCTGTGTCTCACATGGTGTTGGAAGGGGTGAGGGAGCTCTCTGGGGTCCATTTTATTTTATTTTATTTTGTTGTTGTTTTTGTTTTTTGAGATGGAGTCTCGCTCTGTCACTGAGGCTGGAGTGCAGTGGCGCGATCTCAGCTCACTGCAACCTCCGCCTCCCGGGTTCAAGCGATTCTCCTGCCTCAGCCTCCCGAGGAGCTGGGATTACAGGTGCCCGCCACCATGCCCCGCTAATGTTTTTTGTATTTTTAGTAGAGATGGGGTTTCGCCATGTTGGCCAGGCTGCTCTCAAACTCCCGACCTTGTGATCCACCCACCTCAGCCTCCCAAAGTGCTGGGATGACAGGCGTGAGCGTCAGCCTCCCGAGGAGCTGGGATTGCAGGCACCCACCACCACTCCTGGCCCTGGCTAATTGTTGTATTTTTTTGTAGAGATGGGGTTTCACCATGTTGGCCAGGCTGCTGTGGAACTCCTGACCTCGTGATCCGCCCGCCTCGGCCTCCCAAAGTGCTGGGATGACAGGCGTGAGCCACCGCACCCGGCCTGGGGTCCCTTTTATAAGGGCACAAATCCTACTCATAACACTCCACCTGCATGACCTCATCACCTCCCAAAGTCCTCACCTCCAAATACCATTGCCTTGGGGACTGAGGATTTCATCATGGGAGTTGTGGCGGGTTACAAACCTTGAGTAAGTAAACATCTTTCACCCATTCCCTGGGGCTGGAAGTTTCATGTTTCAGGATGATGTCTTAGTCCGTTTGCGTTGCTATAGCAGAATACCATAGCCTCGGTGGCTTAGAAACAACAGACATTTGCCAGGCGCAGTGGCTCACGCCTGTCATCCCAGCACTTTGGGAGGTCGAGGCTGGCAGATCACGAGGTCAGGAGATCGAGACCATCCTGGCTAACACGGTGAAACCCCGTCTCTACTAAAAATAAAAAATACAAAAAATTAGCCGGGGATGGTGGCGGGCGCCTGTAGTCCCAGCTACTCAGGAGGCTGAGGCAGGAGAATGGCGTAAACCTGGAAGGCGGAGCTTGCAGTAAGCTGAGATCGTGCCACTGCACTCCAGCCTGGGCGACAGAGGAAGACTCTGTCTCAAAAAAAAAAAAAAGAAAACAGAAAGAAACAACAGAGATCTGTTGCTCACAGCTCTGGAGGCTGGAAGTCCA
Source organism: Homo sapiens (assembly GCF_000001405.40). Classification (NCBI taxonomy): domain Eukaryota; kingdom Metazoa; phylum Chordata; class Mammalia; order Primates; family Hominidae; genus Homo; species Homo sapiens. The sequence continues at coordinate 1,553,333 of NC_000023.11, read as the reverse complement.
AGATCAAAGCATGCCACATTCAGCGTCTTACTGAGAACCCGCCTCCTGGTTCCTAGATGGTGCCTTCTCACCATGTCCTCACATGGTAGAAGGGGCGAGAAAGCTCTCTGGGGTCTGTTGTATGAGATCGCTGATCCCATGCATGATGCTCCATCTCCATGACCTCATCACCTGCCAAAGGTCCCATCTCCTGACACCATCACTTTGGGAGTGAGGATTTCAACATGGAAATTTTAGGAGGATACCAACATTCACACAGGAGCAGATAGGAAGCAGACCCTCTCTCCACTGGAAAGACCCCAAGTGGATGAGTCTTAGGATTTCAGATGAGCAAGGCTGTGCTGGTGGCTCTCTGGCCACCCGGTCATGCTGAAGTTGTCTGTGGCAACCAGATCAGCCTACACCATGTGAATAGTGAAGAACCAAATTCTCTGTTCCTGAGACTGGATGTGAAAGGAAGTCCCTGGACTTGTGTGAGTTGGGAAAATCAGAGACTCTTTTCTGTCCCAAATCACTTTTCTCCTATGTCACCCTTTCTCCCACAAACTGTAGGAAGGTACTCATGGAATAAATGATTTTTTGGTTTTCCATTTATAGAATGTCTTCATTTCTCCCACAAACTGTAGGGGAAACCTGATGGAAGAAATGATTTCTCGTGTTCCATACTTTCTCGCATACAAAACGTCTTCACCCGTCTGCACTCACTTTACCGTGAAAAGGTGTGATGTGTGCGCCGTTTCCAAGATGTACCAGGTTAATGTTCAGCCCGTCAGTCTGAGGAATCGTCCCCGGGGGGTGACTTCTACGCAGTCAGGGCCCTTCCTTCCTTCCTTCTTTCCTTCCTTCCTTCCTTTCCTTCTTTCTTTCTCTTTCTTTCCTTTCTTTCTTTCTTTTTCTTTCTTTCTTTCCTTTTTCATTCTCTCTCTCCTCTTCCTTCCTTCTTTTCTTTTCCTCTTTCTTTCTCTCTCCTTCCTTCCTTCTCGTATTCTTTTCTGTTTCTTTCTTTCTCTCTTTCTTTCTTTTCTTTTTTCATTCTCTCTCCCCTTCCTTCCTTCCTGCCTTCTTTCTTTTCTTTCTTTTTCCTTTCTCTCTTTCTTTCTTTTCTTTTTCATTCTCTCTCCCTTCCTTCCTTCCTGCCTTCCTTCTTTTTTCTTTTTCTTTCCTTTCTTTTTCATTCTCTCTCTCCCCTTCCTTCCTTCCTTCTTTTCTTTTCCTCTTGCTTTCTCTTTCTTTCTCTCTCCCTCCTTCCTTCTTGTATTCTTTTCTCTTTCTTTCTTTTCTTTTTCATTCTCTCTCCCCTTCCTTCCTGCCTTCCTTTTCTTTCTTTCTTTTTTCTTTCTCTCTTTCTTTCTTTTCTTTTTCATTCTCTCTCCCCTTCTTTCCTTCCTTCCTGCCTTCCTTCTTTTCTTTCTTTCTTTCTCTCTCTTTCCTTCCTTTCTTGCTTCTTGTATTCTTTTCTCTTTCTTTCTTTCTCTTTTTCTTTCTTTCTTTCTCTCTTTCTTTCCTTCCTCCTTTCTTGTCTTTTTTTTTTTCTTTTTTTTTTGAGACAGAGTCTCACTCTGTCACCCAAGCTGAAGTGCAGTGGTGCAATCTCAATCTCAGCTCTCTACAACTTCCCCCTCATAGGCTCAAGTAATTCTCCTGCCTCAGCCTCCCAAATAGCTGGGATTACAGGCATCTGCCACCACACCCAGCTATTTTTTGTATTTTTAGTAGATACGGGATTTCACCATGTTGGCAGGGATAGTCTCGAACTCCTGACCTCAGGTGATCCACCCGCCTTAGCCTCCAAAAGTGCTGGGATGACAGGTGTAAGCCACTGCACCCAGCCGACATGCTCTATTTCCTGCTTTATTCCCATGCAGTAATGAGTGATGGGGTGTCTCTGGTGTACCAGACACTGTGCTAGGTGCATAGGGAAGAGTGGAGAATTATTTTGGCCTCCACCGGCCTGAAGGCTGTGTTTGGGGGTAGAAGAAAGCACATAAGTCACTTATATCAGCCAGGCATTAGCAGAGGCTATGGTTTGTCTCGGTGTCGCCACCCAAACCTCGTCTCTAATTGTAACTCCCACGTGTTGAGGGAGGGACGTGATTGGATCATGAGGGAGGTTTTCCCCACTCTCTTCTCAGCATACTGAATGAGTTTTCAAGAGACCTGCTGGTTTTATAAATGATTGACAGTTCTGTCTCCACCTGCGCTCTCTTTGCTGCCACCTTCTGAAACAGGTGCCTGCTGCCCATTCACCTTCCGCCATGACTGTCAGTTTCCTGAGGCCTCAGCCATGTGGATATGTGAGTCAACGTAACCGCTTTGCTTTTTTTTTTTCTTTCTTTTTTGAGACGGAGTCCCACCGTGTCGCCGAGGCTGGAGTGCAGTGGTGCGATCTCGGCTCACTGCAACCTCCGCCTTCTGGGTTCCTGCCATTCTCCTGCCTCAGCCTCCCGAGTAGCTGGGACTACAGGCGCCCAACACCACACCCGGCTGATTTTTTGTATTTTTAGTAGAGATGGGGTTTCACCCTGTTAGCCTCTCATCTCCTGACCTTGTGATCTACCCACCTCGGCCTCCCAAAGTGCTGGGATTACAGGCGTGAGCCACTGTGCCCGGCCCTCTTTTGGGTTTGTTTTGAGACAGTCTCACTCTGTTGCCCAGGCTTGAATGCAGTGGTGTGATCTCACCTCACTGCAACCTCTGCCTCCTGGGTTCAAGCGATTCTCCTGCCTCTGCCTCCCGAGTAGCTGGGATCACAGGCACCCGCCACCAGGTCAGGCTAATTTTTTGTATTTTTAGTAGAGACGAGGTTTCACAGTGTTAGCCAGGGTGATCTTGATCTCCTGACCTCGTGATCCACCCACCTCGGCCTCCTAAAGTGCTGGGATTACAGGCGTGAGCCACCGCACCCGGCCTGCTGGTTTTATAACTGTTTGCCAGTTCTCCCTCTGCACGCTTCCTCTTTGCTGCCACCTTGTGAAGAAGGTGCCTGCTGCCCATTCGCCTTCCAACTGGACTGTAAGTTTCCTGAGGCCTCCTCAGCCATGTGGATCTGTGAGTCAATGCGACCTCTTTCCTTTCTCAATTACCCAGTCTCAGGCCAATCTTTATAGCAGTGTGACAAGGGACTAATACTGCAGGCACAGAACAGAGAACCCCATCCCAGGAAGGAGATACGGAATGCCAGGGTGGGGTTCTGTGGGACATTGCAGTGGGATTTGCCATGAGGAAGGAAATCATGCCATTAGAAACAGACTTTGGGATCCACCAGGGCTTTGGGCCAATGGCGTAACTATTCTGAGTGGTTTTTTTTTTTTGTTTTTTTTTTTTTGAGACAGAGTCTTGCTCTGTCACACAGGCTGGAGTGCAGCAGTGCCGTGATCTTGGCTCACTGCAACCTCTGCCTCCCAGGTTCAAGTGATTATCCTGCCTCAGCCTCCCGAGTAGCTGGGACTACAGGTATGTGCCACCGCACCCGGCTAATTTTTGTATTTTTAGTAGACATGGGGTTTCATCATGTTGGCCAGGTTGGTCTCGAACTCCTGACCTCAGGTGATCTACCTGCCTCGGCCTCCTAAATTGCTGGGATTACAAGCATGAGCCACTGCGCCCAGCCTTTTTTTTTTTTTTGAGGTGGAGTTGTGCTCTTGTTGCCCAGGCTGGAGTACAGTGGCGCGATCTCGGCTCACCGCAACTTCTACCTCCTGGGTTCAAGCCATTCTCTCACCTCAGCTTCTCAAGTAGCTGGGGTTACAGGCACCCGCCCCAATGCCTGGCTAATTTTTTGTATTTTTAGTAGAGACAGGGTTTCACCATGTTGGTCAGGCTGGTCTCGAACTCCTGACCTTAAGTGATCCGCCTGCCTCGGCCTCCCAAAGTGCTGGGATTACAGGTGTGAGCCGCCGCACGCGGCCCCGAGCGTTCTTGTAACACATATGTTTGATGACAGAAAGTCTGTGCATCCACCTGGCACACAGAGCCCAGTAACTGTCGGTGACCAATACCGCCTCACTCACACCAGGAACGGCCCCAAGGCATCGTACCCCCAAAATACACTCGGCTTCTCACCCCACAAACAGCCACCAGCCTTTCGCTGCAATAGGCTTGGCCGTCAATCATGCAAGATTAAGAGGTTGATGGTGCACACAGATGGGTAAAAATTAATCTCATAAGACAAGGATCCCAGAGGCTCAGTGAGACCTGCGTCCTCCGAACAACCCCAGGGTGACCACAGTCACATCCATCTCCTCTGCTGCCCCAGGTTCAGAGGAAACCAGCTCAGCCCACAATGTCCATCCTTCACTTGTCTCAGAGGGATGGCTCTGAGGCGGGTCCCACATGATCCCTCAAAGGTCCCAGGACGATGGAGCCTTGGGTGGTTCTTCGGACCCCACCCATGCTGTGTTTTCTTCTCTTTCTCTTTCTTTCCTGTTCCCCATCTCCATCCATGCCCAGAATCTTTTTTTCTTTTTTTTTTTGTGTGTGTGTGTGTTTGTGAGATAGAGTTTCACTCTTGCTGCCCAGGCTAGGGTACAATGGCGCGATCTGGGATCACTGCAACCTCCGCCTCCCGGGTTCAAGGGATTCTCCTGCCTCAGCCTCCTGAATAGCTGGGATGACAGGCACGTGCCACCATGTCTGGTTAATTTTTCTATTTTTAGTAGAGACGGGGTTTCACCATGTTGACCAGGCTGGATGGTCTTGAAATCCTGAGCTCGTGATCCACCTGCCTCGACCTCCCAAAGTGCTGGGATTACAGGCGTGAGCCACTGCACTCGGCCCTTTTTTTTTTTTCTTTTTGAGACTGAGTTTCTCTCTGTTGCCCAGGCTGGGGTGCAATGGCACGATCTTGGCTCACTGTAACCTCTGCCTCCCGGGTTCAAGCCATTCTCCTGCCTCAGCCTCCTGAGTAGCTGGGATTACAGGTGTGCGCCAGCACGCCCGACTAATTGTTGTATTTTTAGTTGAGACAGGGTTTCGCCATGTTGGTCAGGTTGGTCTCGAACTCCTGAGCTCGTGATCCACCTGCCTCGACCTCCGAAAGTACTGGGATTATGGCGTGAGCCACTGCACCCGGCCTTTTTTTTTTTTCTTTTCTTTTTGAGACTAAGTTTCGCTCTGTCACCCAGGCTGGGGTGCAATGGCACGATCTCGGCTCACTGCAACCTCTGCCTCCTGGGTTCAAGCCATTCTCCTGCCTCAGCCTCCTGAGTAGCTGGGATTACAGGTGTGTGCCAGCACGCCTGACTAATTGCTGTATTTTTAGTAGAGACAGGGTTTCACCATGTGGGTCAGGCTGTTCTCGAACTCCTGACCTCAGGTGATCTGCCCGCCTTGGCATCCCAAAGTGCTGGGATTACAGGCGTGAGCCACCGCACCTGGCCTTTTTTTTTTGTTTTCTTTTTGAGACTAAGTTTCACTCTGTTGCCCAGGCTGGAGTGCAATGGCACGATCTCAGCTCACTGCAGACCCCACCTCCTGGGTTCAAGTGATTCTCCTGCCTCCTAAGTAGCTGGGATTACAGGTGCCCACCACCACGCCCGACTAATTGTTGTATTTTTAGTAGAGACAGGGTTTCACCATGTTGGTCAGGCCGGTCTCGAACTCCTGACCTCAAGTGATCTGCCCGCCTCGGCCTTTCAAAGTGCTGGGATTACAGGCGTGAGCCACCATGCTTGGCCTATGCCCAGGATTTTGCTTAGGACGTGTTGCAGGAACAACTGAGCCTACAGCCCTCCAGTTCCTAACCTTTCTCACATCTACAAAGACCTTACTTGCAAATGAGCTTCGTTTCCCACATTCAGGGGGTGAACCTACAATTATTTTGAAAAAGGGGTATGAGAAGCAGCATTAAACACACTCCCCATCCCTAAACCAATTGCTGCAAATAGACTAACATCTCCACACTTGGCCTGCATGGATATGCTTTGATTTTGGGTCTGGGATTCTATTCCTGGGGCTGTCTAGGCCACCCAGGCCTGGGTGAACACACCCCCCAAAAATTCAGGGTATACTCAGCCCTGAAACCTTGCGTACCCAGCAGAGAAGCTGGCACGATGGCTTGGCCCCCACCGCAGCCCCTGGCCGCCTTGTCTCTCTGTCCCTTGGGTGTGCACATTGGGAGGGCAGCTCCTAACAGCCAGGAACTTACGGGTCAACAACAGGCTTTACAGGATCCCCTGGAAGCAGGCAGCCTCGTTTCCCAGGGCAGACGTGGGGGCCTGGCCCGGGCTGCTATTTCTGTCCCTCTCTTCCTCCAGGCCCTGTCGGTTTTCCGTTCCTCTCTCAACATCAGGCCCTCAGCTCTCCCGGGACATGAACACATCCTGTTCCTGGTTTCCTTCAGAGAAACAGCCCCAAACAACCTTACGGCGGTCACTAAACCCACTGGGGTTCAGCTGGCATCCTCGGATCAGCTCAGATCGGCTCAGACACCTTCAAACACCATGTCAGAGAGATGAACATATTTTTCCCTGCAACCTGCAACGCGGACTCACAAGATACAACGCATGGCCCCACGAGATGCGGAAATGAACATGACTGAACCACATCGGTCTGTAGCACCCAGCCTGAGGGTCTGCAGCTGCCCCATAGAGAGGTCAAGCAGGTGGACAGCTATGCACAGCCGTCTCCCCAGAAACTAAGAGGGAATTCCTTCTGCCTGATGGGCTTTCAGCTGTGACATTGGTCTCCCTAGGCCTTCAGACTGGAACTCACACCCTCAGCTCTCCTGGGTCTCAGGCCTTCAGGCTCACACTAGAACTCACACCGTCAGCTCTCCTGGGTCTCAGGCTTTCAAACTCAGACAGGAACTCACCACCTCAGCTCTCCTGGGTCTCAGAAATTCAGACTCACACTAGAACTCACACCCTCAGCTCTCCTGGGTCTCAGGCCTTCAGGCTCACACTAGAACTCACACCGTCAGCTCTCCTGGGTCTCAGAAATTCAGACTCACACTAGAACTCACCACCTCAGCTCTCCTGGGTCTCAGAAATTCAGACTCACACTAGAACTCACACCCTCAGCTCTCCTGGGTCTCAGGCCTTCAGATTCAGACAGGAGCTCACACCCTCAGTTATCCTGGGTCTCAGGCCTTCAAACTCAGACAGGAACTCACACCCTCAGTTATTCTGGGTCTCAGGCCTTCAGACTCACACCAGAATTCACACCCTCTGCTCTCCTGGGTCTCAGGCCTTCAGACTCAGACAGGAACTCACCACCTCAGCTCTCCTGGGTCTCAGAAATTCACTCACACTAGAACTCACACCCTCAGCTCTCCTGGGTCTCAGGCCTTCAGACTCAGACTGGAACTCACACTCTTGGCTCTCCTGGGTCTCAGGTCTTCAGACTCAGATGGGAAGTCATACCCTCCACTCTCCTAGGTAGAAATTCAGACTCAGACGGGAACTCACACCCTTGGCTCTTTCAGGTCTCCAGCTTTTCACACAGCAGATTGTGGGACAGCTTAATCTCTATAATGCTATGAGTCAGTTTCTTCCAAGAAGTCGCATATATTGTATAGTTGTTAAAATATATATATGTGTGTATTTATAAATAAGTAATATGTATAGACTATATAAATATTTATAAATTCTATAAAAGAAATATATATGCATATGTCCTTATCTACCAAAAGATATATGTAATAAAACACATATATTTACATATATAAACATTGCACACCCAGATAAAAATTTATCTCTTATGTATATATAAAAAGATATTCTATTGATTCTTTTCCCTGGAGAACACCAATTCATATAACGATATATCTTTTTTCAGGGGGGTAAACAATTTTATTTTTTAAAATTTTATGTTGCAAAATTATATTATGCACATTTATAAATAACAAACTTGTCTTTAGGACATTAACCATCAGAATTTTTCACCTGACTCACATACTTTTTTCTTTTAACTTGCTATTGGGTTAACTGATATTTAGCATTTACTCTGATAAAAGAAAAAACACATCAATCTATTACGAGAGAGTTTACATCTTTTGCTAAGTGTTCTCTTGGCTTGCACGTACTCTTGACCAAACAAAAAACAAACACCCTTGGCTCCATACTCTAAACCATTTTTGGAGCCTACGTTATGAGATAGTGAAAACCAACATGAATCTTTTTTTTTTTTTTTTTGAGATGGAGTCTCGCTCTGTCACCCAGGCTGGAGTGCAGTGACGCGATCTCAGCTCACTGCAACCTCCACCTCCCAGGTTCAAGTGATTCTCCTGCCTCAGCCTCCTGAGTAGCTGGGACTACAGGTGCCCACCACCACGCCCAGCTAATTTTTGTATTTTTAGTAGAGATGGGGTTTCACCAGCCAACATGAATTTTTTTTTTTTTTTTTTTTTTTTGAGAGGGAGTCTCGCTCTTTTACCCAGGCTGGAGTGCAGTGGCGTGATCTTGGCTCACTGCAAGCTCCGCCCCCTGGGTTCAAGCAATTCTCCTACCTCAGCCTCCCGAGTAGCTGGAACTACAGGTGCCTGCCCCCACACCCAGCTAATTTTTGTATTTTTAGTAGAGACAGGGTCTCATCAGCTAACATGAATCTTTAAGATTGGAAGGACCCTTCAAACACCATGATGGAGCATTTCATAGTTTATCTTTAGACTTAGTGAAGGAAAAATAATAATAATAATTAGTCCCATACTGCATTTCACATCTCTGAAAAATACTGTTTTAGCAGCTTAAGGCTTTTTAATTACATAACCTACTACAGTAATATCTACCTTGAAATATCGCTTATAACCAAATCAAGTATTACACACATACACTGGTGCTTTAGCACAAGGGCAAACTTTAGAAACAAATGATTTTGGACCTTTAAAATTAGACCACAGGGCCGGGTGCAGTGGCTCACACCTGTAATCCCAGCACTTTGGGAGGCCGAGGCAGGCGGATTACCTGAGTTCAGGAGTTCAAGACCAGCCTGGCCAACATGGTGAAACCTCGTCTATACTAAAAATACAAAAATTAGCCAGGCGTGGTGGCAGGCGCCTGTAGTCCCAGCTACTCAGGAGGCTGAGGCAGAGAATCACTCGAACCCAGAAGTCGGAGGTTGCAGTGAGCTAGGATCATGCCACTGCACTCCAGCCTGGGCAACAGCAAGAAAGACTCCATCTCAAAAAAAAAAAAAATGAAAAAAGACTGCCGGATTTTCACTACCTGTTCTCTTGTTTGCTGCCAAGCCCAGGATAATAGCTGTTGCTTTCTGGTGAGTCCTTTCCTTTGTTAATACAGAAGTTTTCACAGGCCAACCTGCTGAGTTCAGCCTAGGAGCTGAGCCCAACATCTGAGTTTCCTCAGCACGAAGTTTCAGAGGTGTCCCAGTGACTTCCAGCTTGGAACGATGGCAGCAGTGGTGTTCTCTAGACTTTGAAGCCTCCTTCCTTTTCTTTTTTTTTTTTTTTTGAGACGGAGTCTCGCTCTGTCGCCCAGACTGGAGTTCAGTGCTGTGATCTCGGCTCACTGCAACCTCCGCCTCCCGGGTTCAAGTGATTCCCCTGCCTCAACCTCCACAGTACCCGAGATTACATGTGTCTGCCACCACACCTGGCTAATTTTTGTATTTTTAGTAGAGACGGGGTTTCACCATATTGGCCAGGCTGGTCCCGAACTCCTGACCTTGTGACCTGCCCACATGGCCTCCCAAAGTGCTGGGATGACAGGTGTGAGCCATTGTGCCCGGCTGCCTCCTGCCCTTTTTATGGGGAGAGAAGAGGCACGGATCCCACAAAACCCAGCAGCACCAACGAGCCAGCTGCTGACCACCCCGACATCTGCAACCGGATCTCCTCTTTCTGCCTCTCCCGACACAGTCCAGGGTTACGTATCTTAGAGACAGTGGATCTGGGCCTCGCAGCCCAAGCCCTCCTGGTCATACTCCCCCAGGTCTCACTGCAGCCTGGACCCCAAATGTCCGCCTGCAAGCTTGTAGCCAGAGAGCTCTGCTGGGACCGTCAGCTGCAACCATAGCCCAGTCTTGTCTGCTTCTCAATGCACCTCCCTCTTCCGTCTGAATGTCCAGCCCTTGACGACTGCAAGCCATAAGCTTCGTGTCTTTCTGACGGGAGCTGTCCCATCTGTGCACAGCTTTGCAAGGCGAAACTACATGATTCCGTTATGTAATTACATGATTTCAAGGTGAAAGGACATTACTTCGTTCTTTTTCACTGCTGCATACTATTCCACGGTATCTATGTACCCCATTTTCTTATTTATTTATTTATTTATTTTTGGACAGAGTTTCACTCTTGTTGCCCAGGCTGGAGCGCGATGATGCAATCTCAGCTCACTGCAACCTCCACCTCCCGGATCCAAGTGATTCTCCTGCCTCAGCCTCCCTAGTAGCTCGGATTACAGGCACCCGCCACCACGCCTGTAGTCCCAGCAGTTTGGGGGACCAAGGTGGGTGGATAACCTGAGGTCAGGAGTTCGAGACCAGCCTGGCCAACATGGCAAAACCCTGTCTCTACTAAAAATACAAAAAATTAGCCAGGTGTGGTGGCAGACACCTGTCATCCCAGCTACTCAGGAGGCTGAGGCAGGAGAATTGCTTGAACCGAAGAGGCGGAGGTGGCAGTGAGCTGAGATCACACCACTGCACTCCACCCTGGGTGACAGTGTGAGACTCCATCTCAATAATAATAATAATAATAATAGTAATAATAATAATAATACATAAGTGCTGGGATTACAGGCCATCCCCCTACTCCATGGGTCATCCTCACAGCAAGCTGAAGAAGGTGTCCAAATATTCCTACAACCTCCACTTATTTGAGCAACACTTGGGCAGAGAGAAGATCACAGCTTTCGCCGTGAAGAGCCCATTTTCAAAGGACTCTCTTCCAAATGCCACGTGACCCTGAGTCTGCCTTGGGACAGCTGTTTCACTTCTGTCTGATTAGCAAAGATAATCAATTCTCATGATTCCATCCATCCAGTGCAGTGGCTCATGTCTGTCACCCCAGAGCTTTGGGAGGCCAAGTCAGGAGGACGGCTTGAGCCCGGGAGGTCAAGACCAGCCAGGACAACACAGAGGATCCCATTTCTACAAAAAAAAAAAAATTTTTTTTTTTTTGAGACGGAGTCTCGCTCTGTCGGCCAGGCTGGAGGTCAGTGGCGTGATCTCAGCTCACTGCAAGCTCCGCCTCCCAGGTTCACGCCATTCTCCTGCCTCAGCCTCCCAAGTAGCTGGGACTACAGGTGCCCGCCACCACGCCCGGCTAATTTTTTGTATTTTTTAGTAGAGATGGGGTTTCACCGTGTTAGCCAGGATGGTCTTGATCTCCTGACCTCATGATCCACCTGCCTTGGCCTCCCAAAGTGCTGAGATTACAGGCATAAGCCATTACGCCCGGACTCCACAAAAAAATTTTTTTTTTAAATTAGCCAGGTGCGGCCAGGCAAGATGGCTCACACCTGTAATCCCAGCACTTTGGGAGGCCGAGGCGGGTGGATCACCTGAGGTCAGGAGTTCAAGACCAACCTGATCAACATGGTGAAACTACGTGTCTACTAAAAATAAAAAAAATTAGCTGGGCGTGGTAGTGCATGCCTGTAATCCCAGCTACTCCAGAGGCTGAGACAGGAGAATGGCTAGAACCCTGGAGATGGAGGTTGCAGTGAGCCAAGATTGTGCCACTGTACTCCAGCCTGGGCGACAGAGTGAGACTCTGTCTCAAAAAAAAAAAAAAAATTAGCCAGGTGTGGCAGAGTATGCTCCCATAGTCCCAGCTACTCAGGAGGCTGAGGAAGGAGGATTGCTTGAGGCCAGGAGTTGGAGGCTACAGTGAATTATGATCGCACCACTGCACTCCAGCCTGAGTGAGACAGACTGAATAAAGAAAGAAATGCAAATTATTCTCGACTTCTATATCTGTGAATTCCTCCACACACTAACATTTATTTGGAACCCCAAAACCAAGACTCATGACGATTTTGCAAACGTTCAAAAACAGATACACAGTGGTGAAAAATGGGGGCCTTCCGGGATCAGCTCATCCTTTTGGGGGTATACTGAGTGCCAGGTATTTTTACATTTTTGTGCATTTTGTTGGCGATTTCTGTTTCAAAAGCCCCAGAAGCTGCAAAGCTGCCTAGCATCCGTAAGCCCATGAAGACTGCAGCGCGTCTTCTGGAGAAAATAGGTGTGTTAGAGACGCTTTGCCCAGGCATGAATTATAATGCCGTTGGCTGTGAGTTCAATGTGACTGCGTCCACAATATCGACTCCATACGGCTTTTTAAACAGAAACACACGTAAAATAAGGTTATGTATGGATCAGCTGTGAAAAATTTGGGGACCAGAGGTACAAAAGCTACAGGCGTCTAAGTGTGGACTTTTTGCAGGACGGTTTGTATTTGTTAACTCAGCGTTTGCTCCGACTTTATGGACCACGTCTACCATGAAGAAGGAGGGACCACTGTAATCCTGAAGACAAACACTTCACAAACTGATGAATAGACTCTGCCTTTGATTTTCTTTCCTTTTTTTTTTTTTTTTTTTTTTTTTTTTTTGAGACAGAGTCTCACTCTGACGCCCAGGCTGGAGTGCAGTGGCATGATCTCGGCTCACTGCAATCTCTGCCTCCCGGGTTCAAGCAATTCTCCTGCCTCAGCGTTCCGAGTTGCTGAGACTACAGGCATATGCCACCACGCCTGGTTAATTTTTGTATTTTTGGTAGAGACTGCAACCTCCACTTCCCGGGTTCAAGCGATTCTCCTGCCTTAGCCTCTCTAGTAGCTGAGATTACAGGTGTCTGTGACCATACCCGGCTAATTTTTGTATTTTTAGTACAGACAGTATTTCACCATGTTGGCCAGGCTGGTCTTGAACTCCTGACCTCAGGTGATCCGCCCACCTCGGCCTCCCAAAGTCCTGGGATTATAGGCATGAGCCACTGTGCCCAGCCTTTACTTTATTTTAGATTCCGGGGGTACATGTGCAGGTTTGTTACAAGGGTATCTTGTGTGATGCTGAGATTTTGGGTATGAATGATCTCATGACCTAGCTACTGAGTTTAGCACCCAGTAGGTAGTTTTTCAGCCCTTCATCTCCCTCCCTCCCCACTCTAGGAGTCTGTAACGCCTCTTCTTCCCATCTTTTTTTTTTTTTTTGAGACAGAATTTTCACTCCTGTTGCCCAGGCTGGAGTGCAGTGGTGCGATCTTGGCTCACTGCAACCTCCACCTCCAGGGTTCAAGCGATTCTCCTGCCTCAGCCTCCTGAGTAGCTGGGATTACAGGCATGTGCCACCATGCTCGAGTAATTTTTGTACTTTTAGTAGCGACTGCAACCTCCTCTTCCCGGGTTCAAGCGATTCTCCTGCCTCAGCCTCCCGAGTAGCTGAGATTACAGGTGTCTGTGACCATGCCCAGCTAATTTTTGTGTTTTTAGTACAGACAGGGTTTCATCATGTTGGTCAGGCTGGTCTCAAACTCCTCACCTCAGGTGATCCACCCACCTCGGCCTCCCACAGTGCTGGGATTACAGGCATGAGCCACCACGCCTGGCCTGTTGTTCCCATCTTTATGTCCATGAGTACCCTGTGTTTACCTCCTGCTTATAAGTGAGAACATGCGGTATTTGGCTTTCTGTCTCTGTATTAATTTACTTTGGAGAATGGCCTCCGGCTGGATCCAAGTTGCTGCAAAGGACATGATTTCATTCTTTTTCACAGCTTTGTACTATTCCATGGTGTCTATGTACCCCATTTTATTATTTTTTATTTTTATTTGTTTATTTATTTATTTTTTGAGACAGAGTTTCGCTCTTGTTGCCCAGGCTGGGGTGCAGCGGCATGATCTCGGCTCACTGCAACCTCCGCCTCCCGGGTTCAAGCGATCCTCCTGACTCAGTCTCCCAAATAGCTGGGATTACAGGTGTCTTTCACCACGCCAAGATTATTTTTTGTATTTTTAGTAGAGAGGGGGTTTCTCCATGTTGACCAGTCTGGTCTCGAACTCCTGACCTCAGGTGATCCACCTGCCTCGGCCTCCCAGACTGCTGGGATTACAGGCGTGAGCCTCTGCACCCGCCGGTCACGTACCCTATTTTCTTTATCCGATGCATGGTGGATAAGCACCTGGGTTGACTCTGTGTCTTTGCTATGGTGAATAGTGCTGTGATGAACTGTGAGTGTGGATGTCCTTTTACAGAACGATTTCCTTAATAAGGTGTTTTCAAACAGAAACACACATAATATAAAGCTACTTATTGATCTGTTGAAGAAAACACTGTGACCAGGGGCCTGAAGGATTCTTTTGATTTTTTTTTTTTTTTTTTTTGAGACAGGGTCTCTCTCTGTTGCCCAGGCTGGAGTGCAGTGGCATGATCTCGGCTCTCTGCAACCTCTGCCTCTCTGGTTCAAGTCATTCTCTTGCCTCAGCCTCCCCAGTAGCTGGAACTACAGGCCCCCACCATCACACCCAGCTAATTTTTGTATTTTTAGTAGAGACAGGGTTTCGCCATGTTGGCCAGGCTAGTCTTGAACTGCTGATCTCAAGTGATCCACCCGCCTTGGCCTCCCAAAGTGCTGGGATTATAGGCGTGAGCCACCAGGCCTGGCCTTTTTTTTTTTTTTTTTTTGAGACAGTCTCACTCTGTCACCCAGGCTGGGGTACAATGGCCCAATCTGGGCTCACTGCCACCTCCACCTCCTAGGTTCACATGCTTCTCCTGCCTCAGCCTCCCCAGTAGCTGGGATTACAGGCGTCCACCACCACGCCTAGCTAATTTTTGTATTTTTAAGGGACAGGTTTCGCTATGTTGGCCAGGCTGGTCTCGAACTCCTGACCTCAAGTGATCCGGCCCACCTTGGCACCTCAAAGTGCTGGGAATACAGGTGTGAGCCACCAGGCCTCGACTTTTTTTTTTTTTTTGAGACAGTCTCACTCTGTTACCCAGGCTGGAGTGCAATGGCCTGATCTTGGCTCACTGCAACCTCCAGCTCCCGGGTTCAAGTGATTCTCCTGCCTCAGCCTCCCCAGTAGCTAGGATTACAGGCATCCACCACCATGCCCAGCTAATTTTTGTATTTTTAGTAGGGACGGGATTTCGCTATGTTGGCCAGGCTGGTCTCGAACTCCTGACCTCAAGTGATCCACCCGCCTTGGCCTCCCAAAGTGCTGGGATTATAGGCGTGAGCCAGCAGGCCTGGTCTTTTTGTTTGTTTGTTTGTTTTTTGGGACAGTCTCACTGTCACCCAGACTGGAGTGCAATGGCCTGATCTTGGCTCACTGCAACCTCCACCTCCCAGGTTCAAGTGATTCTCCTGCCTCAGCCTCCCCAGTAGCTGGGACTACAGGTGTCCACCACCACACCCAGCTAATTTTTGTGTTTTTAGTAGGGACGGGATTTCGCCATGTTGGCCAGGCTGGTCTCAAACTCCTGACCTGAAGTGATCCACCCGCCTTGGCCTCCCAAAGTGCTGGGACTACAGGCGTGAGCCACCACACCCAGCCTGGCTTGAGGGATTGATTCTACCATGTCTTTTCCCTGAGCAGTGGTTCAATATTCATTCATTCTTTCTCAGTGACAGATCCTTCCCTCTCAACCTCCTCCCACGAGTGACAAGAACCAACCGTTGCTCCTCACAAGCAAGGATACCAGAGCTCGGAAACCTGGTTCTCATTCCTGAAACTGGCCGATCCCCCATGGGATGTTGAGGATATGAGCCTGCAGCGCCCGTGACCAACTGTGAGAGCCGGAATGATCAGTGCCCAAGGTCTGTTCGCTTGTCACAGTCTGGCTGTGTACCAAGAGATGTCGCAATGAGCACAGCTTTAGAGTCTAAAAGGAAACGTGTTCTGTTCTTTCTTTGTTTTGTTTTGTTATTTCAGAAGAAACAGGAATCGGTTCTGGAGCATGCCACGGCTCTTCACTGCTGGTTACAAAATTTAGAAAAATCATTCTCCCTCTTTTCCTCACTCTCAGGGTTCTCTTAAGAGTAGGGCCCCCTGCGAGCCAGTGATAGGGAGGTGGGCGGTTAACGGTGCTGCCCAGAGACACAGCGACGTTACTCCAGTGGGCTCAGCCCTGCACATGAGTGTTCAGACAGTTACAGAGGAAATGTCACAACACACTTCCTTTCCACCTAAGCCTGAGTCGCAACCGTGGTGGTGCGCTGGGAGGTGGAGTTTGCAGAATTTGCATTCGGAGACAGTCGTGCCAGCCGGTGGGCCACCCAGCGAAGCGGCCGCCTTTGCAAGGTTGCTGGACAGATGGAACTGGAAGGGCAGCCGTCTGCCGCCCACGAACACCTTCTCAAGCACTTTGAGTGACCACGGCTTGCAAGCTGGTGGCTGGCCCCCCGAGTCCCGGGCTCTGAGGCACGGCCGTCGACTTAAGCGTTGCATCCTGTTACCTGGAGACCCTCTGAGCTCTCACCTGCTACTTCTGCCGCTGCTTCTGCACAGGTGAGCCGCCGAGCTGGACTTTTATGCTTGTCCTGCACTGTCAAGGGAGAAGACAGGGTCGCTGGGAGGGTCCGTGTACGGTGAGAACATGGGGGAAGACGGTGCAAACTCCATGAGGCGTGTTCTCCTCACGCTAGAGCAGACCAGGAGTGCAAATTTCCTGGGAGGAAGACTTTGCACAGCCGCTTCGTCACTTAGGGGAGAAATGCTCAAATTTTCCAGGGCTGCAAGCCACCCTTCCTTTAATAACTCATTCCATGAACTTTCAGAGGCCGAGGTGGGCGGATCACGAGGTCAGGAGTTCGAGACCATCCTGGCTAACACGGTGAAACCCCGTCTCTACTAAAAATACAAAAATTAGCCAGGCGTGGTGGCAGGTGCCTGTAATCCCAGCACTTTGGGGGACCGAGGTGGGTGGATCATCTGAGGTCAGGAGTTCGAGACCATCCTGGCTAACACGGTGAAACCCCGTCTCTACTAAAAATACAAAAATTAGCTGGGCTTGGTGGTGGGCGCCTGCGGTCCCAGCTACTCGGGAGGCTGAGGCAGGAGAATGGCATGATCCCTGGAGGTGGAGCTTGCAGTGAGCAGAGATCACGCCACTGCACTCCAGCCTGGGCGACAGAGCGAGACTCTGTTTAGAAAAAAAAAAACAAAAAAAAACTCATTCCATGAAATGCGCCTCTCTTGAGGTTAACCTTAGAGAGGGTAAGCAGCTGCGGCTGCTGCACGTAACCCATTTACGCCTGAGATTGCAGTTTTTTCAATGTTTGCAATGAGACCTTGGCGATGACCTTGAGCCGTGGGATATAAATAACTCCCAAATGCTTAGCGTTCCAATAATGGAAGAGTAAGCATAAATTAAACGGGTTTTAAAGCCCTATGGGTGCCTGGATGAGCACGGTGGCCCCTCGTCACCCCCTCGGTGCCAGGGAGACCCCAGACCCGGGTCTCACGGCCACCTCAGACCTCATTTGTACAGGTCCGCTTAGAAACCCCAATTCCTTGGGTCTTGTCAGATCTGTCCCCTAAAAAGCTGAGAAAAGGCAGAGGGAGCTGCTCTGGGAATTTCAGGCCACACACAACAAGGCCTGCTGTGGCGCTTTAGGTCCCATTTCTATAAAGGGGAACCATGGTCACGTGGCTCTGTTCCCAAAAAGAAAAGGGTTTGTGTGTGTGTGTGTGTGTGTGTCTGTGTGTGTGTCTGTGTGTGTGTGTGTGTGTGTGGTTGTTTCTTCCCATGTTGTTATCTTTACGTAACGTGGATGAGAAGTCTGAAGCGCGAGAGCCCTAAGTGAAAACCGCTGAGGAGCTGAAGCCCGTGGGGAAGCAGGTGCACCTGACTGCGCCGTTCAATCTCTCCTTCCCGTTCCGTTCCTCCTTGCATAGCCCACTTGACTTTGGCAAGCAGCGCCAGATAGTAGCATATTTTGTGTTTACGGCGGTGACAGACGCCTGTAATCCCAGCACTTTGGGAGGCCGAGGTGGGTGGATCACTTGAGGTCAGGGGTTTGAGACCAGCCTGGCCAACATAGTGAAACCCCGTCTCTACTAAAAATACCAAAATTAGCCGAGTGTGGCGGCGGGCACCTGTCATCCCAGTTACTCGGCACGCTAAGGCAGCAGAATCACTTGAACCCAGGAGGCGGAGGTTGCGGTGAGCCAAGATCGCGCCACTGCACTCCAGCCTGGGTGACAGAGTGAGACTCTGTCTCAAAAAAAAAAAAAAAAAAAAAGGAATTATCCCACATTGGAAAAGCAGTACTTTCATTTAGGCACTGCCAGACAGGTGCCAGCGTCCTACGTGCACCAGGATGCTGCCCCTTTTCCCAAATATTGGCCTCCCCCACCCCACAAGAGGACAATTAGGTCAGAGGCTGAGAGAGGCGTGCATGGGACGTACGGGACGGTGGGCAACCCTGTGTTTGTAAAAGCACATGCTTTTCAGATGCCTTCTGCCAGGTCCCCGCCTGGCTGCACCATTCAGACTGACCAACCTTGGGGTGGGTGGGAGAGGTGAGGTCCCCTTGGAGAACCACAGAGACGCTCCCTCCCTCCAACCCTACCCACACTGCAGTTCTGAGTTTGTCCCTTAAAGTTCCAGGGAAGAAGCGATGGCTTAGGATTAACAACAGCAGGGTAGCTGTTGCCAGTGGTGCATACGTACAGCCCTGCGCTTGGAGAGGCCCTTTCCCCGGGCAGATGGCCCCCTCTCGTCTGAGTCTCTCTCCTGCGCCCTCTCCTTCAGCCCTGCCTCTCCATCAGGACCTCCTCATTGGCTGTGTCTGGGCATGGTCCCCAACCTCCCTCCCCCAGCCCCTCTTCTGTCCCTAGAGGCAGTGGGGTGGGCGGGGCAGGGTCCAGGGATCCCAGTGTCCACCTGGAACCCTGCTCTTCCTCTCTCGGGTTAGGAGATTCTGCACGGCCCCTGGGAGACACACAACACCCTGCCTACACCTGTTAAGGTACGGAAAGGGCGTGGGCGTGATGGGTGCCCCCAGGATCACCCCCAAGGACCAGACTGAGCTCAGGGGACTGCAGGGAGTGTTCTGCGGTTCACAATGTCGCTCCCTAGTGATGCAGTATCTGTGTTCACTTAGGATAAAGCAACAGATACACCTATCTGTGTGTGTGTATATATATATGTATTACATATATAATTATATAAATAATTATATATAAATAATATATAATATATAAATAGTAAGTATATAAATATATATGTAAATATATATAAATATATAATATATGTAAATATATTGTATATAAATATATATGTAAATATATATAAATATATAATATATGTAAATATATTATATATAAATATATATGTAAATATATTATATATAAATAATATACAAATATATATGTAAATAATAAATAGATAAGTATATAATATATGTAAATATGTAATATATAAATAATATATAAATATATAATATATTTAAGTTATAAATATATAACTATGTAATATGTAAATAATAAATAATATATGAATATATAATATATTTAAATAATACATATATAAGTATATAATATATAAATAATAAATAATATATAAATACATAATATATTTAAATAAATATAAGTATATAATATATAAATAATAAATAATATATGAATATATAGTATATTTAAATAATAAATATATAAGTATATAATATATAAATAATAAATAATATATGAATAATATATTTAAATAATGAATATATAAGTATATAATATATAAATAATATATAAATATAAAATATATTTAAATAATAAATATGTAAATAATAAATATGTAAATAATAATATATAAATATATAATATATTTAAATAATAAATATATAAGTATATAATATATTTAAATAATAAATATATAAGTATATAATATATAAATAATAAATAAAATATAAATATACAATACATTTAAATAATAAATATATAAGTATATAAGATATAAAGAATAAATAATATATAAATATACAATATATTTAAATAATAAATATATAAATATATAATATATAAATAATAAAAAATACATAAATATATGTTTAAATAATAAATATGTAAATATGTAATATATGAATATATATATATTATTTTTGGCAATCTCTTTTATTTGCCTCAAGAAAGCACACTCCTCAGAAGATTTTTTCAGAAGCTGATGTGTGTTTTTGTTGGTTTGTTTTACACTTTTTACTTCCATAGGTTTTGGGGAAACACGTGCCATTTGGTTACACGAGGAAGTTCTTTAGTGGTGATGTGTGAGATTTCAGGGTATCCGTCACCCAAGCAGTATACACTGAACCCGGTTTGTGGCCTTTTATCCCTCATCCTCTCCCCAATCTTTGCCCTGGAGTTCCCAAAGTCCTTTGTGTCATTCCTTTTTTTTTCTTTTTTCTTTCTTTCGTTTTTTTTTTTTTTTTTTTTTTTGAGACAGAGTTTCACTCTGTTGCCCAGGCTGGAGAGCAGTGGCGCGATCTCGGCTCACTGCAACCTCCTTCTCCCGGATTCAAGCGATTCTCCTGCCTCAGCCTCCTCCTGAGTAACTGGGATTACACGCATGTGCCACCACACCCGGTTAATTTTTGTATTTTTAGTAGAGACGGGGTTTCACCATATTGGCCAGGCTGGTCTCAAACTCCTGACCTTGTGATCTGCCCACCTCGACCTCCCAAAGTGCTGGGATGACAGGTGTGAGCCACCGCATCCGGCCGTTGTGGCATTCTTATGCCTTTGCATCCTCATAGCTTAGCTCTCACTTATGAGTGAGAACATACGATGTTTGGGTTTCCATTCCTGAGTTACTTCACTTAGAATAATAGTCTCCAATCTCATCCAGGCCACTCCAAATGCTATTCTTTTTCATGACTGAGTAGTATTCCATCATAAGTATATGTATATATATATACACATCATATACATCTATACATATATGTGTATATATACACATATACATCTATACATATATGTGTATATATACACATATACATATATACATATATGTGTATATATACACATCATATACATATATACATATATGTGCATATACACACATCATATACGTATATGTGTATATATACACATCATATACATATATGTGTATATATACGTGTGTGTATATATATGGCACACATATATATGACATATATGTGTGTGTGTTTGTGTGTGTGTCAGTGCCGGCATTTATATATATAAATACACCACAGTTTCTTTATCCACCTGTTGATTGATGGGCATTTGGGTTGGTTCCACATTTTTGCAATTGCAAATTGTGCTGCTATAAACATGCCTGTGCAAGTATCTTTTTCGTATAATGAGTTACTTTCCTCTAAGTATCTTTTTCATATAATGAGTTACTTTCCTCTACCTAGATACCCAGCAGTGGGATTGCTGGATCAAATGGTAGTTCTACATTTAGCTCTTTAAGGACTCTCCACACTGTCTTCTATAGTGGCTGTACTAGTTTACGTTCCCACCAGCAGTGCAGACGTGTTCCCTGTTCGCCACATCCACACTAGCATTTGCTATTTCTTGATGTTTTGATTGTGGCCATTCTTGCAGGAGTGAGGTGATGTCACATTCTGCTTTTGATTTGCATTTCCCTGATCATTCGTGATGTTGAGCGTGTTTTCATGCCGCTGAGCCGGGCTGGGACCTTGAGGACTGCGTTGATGCTTTTGTGCAGAGTGCCCTGCTCCAGGGGAAAGGTGCTGGTGCCCTGAGCAGAGGGACTTTGTGGAAGCAGGATGTGTGATTTTCTAGCCAAGAAGGTCTCCATGGGAGGGAGGAGTCCTATGAGACTCTCCATGGCTGGGCAGGGAGTGGCACAGACAGAAGCAGGTGGCAGGTGCCAGGCTGTGTTGGTTTCGGATGATGAGTTGGTGGAATGGCAATGTGCTGTCCAGGCTCCCCAGGAGTTCATGAGCTGGGGGTGGGCTGAGCATGCTAACCCCTCGGGCTGGGCACAGTCAGGCTGGGAGGGGGCCTGGACATTGTTTACGGGGGACCCTGTAAGCAGGGGGACCCCTGATGGAGAGGGCATGCAGGAAGATGGGGCAAGGACAGATCTTGGGATAGAACCATTCATGAGACACAAAAGGCACAGGCTGTCTGCTGGAGCACTAGTGACATTTGGGGCGGGGGAATTCCCTGTGGTGGGGCCATCCTGGGGATTGTAGGGTGTAGAGCAGCGTCCCTGGGCTCCAGCCACAAGGTGCCAGGAGCACCCACAGTTGTGACAATCAGAAATGTCTCCAGATATTACTCAATGTCTCCAGGTAGCAAAATCACTTGCTCATCTATCACTGTCTTAAAGATAGATGGGTGACAAATTAGATAGATAGATAGATAGATAGATAGATAGACAGACAGACAGACAGATAGATAGAATCGATAAATAGATACATAGAATAGATAGATATATACATACATACATAAATTAGATAGGTACATACATACATACATACATGGATAAATAGATTAGATAGATAGATACATAGATACATGCATAGATTAGATAGATAGATGATAGATTAAAGAGATATATAGATAGATGAGAGATAGAATAGACAATACATACATAGATATAGATAGATAATGGTGATGATAGACAGATAGATATATAGATAATAGAGATAGATAGAAAAGATACATACGTAAATTAGATAGATATATACATACATAGATTAGATAGATACATACATACATGGATAAATAGATTAGATAGATAGATATATAGATGCATAGATTAAATAGATGATAGATTAGAGAGATACATAGATAGATGAGAGATAGATAGATAGGATAGATAGATACACACATACATATAGATAGATAATGGTGATGATAGAGAGATAGATCAATCAGATAGATAGATACATAGATAGAATAGATACATACATATGTACGTACATAAATTAGATACATATATACATACATACATAGATTAGATAGGTAGATACATACATACATACATGGATAAATAGATTAGATAGATAGATACATAGATACATACATAGGTGCATTAATAGATTAGAGAGATAGATGATAGATTAGAGAGATACCTAGATAGATGAGCAATAGATAAGATAGATAGATATGTACATACATATAGATAGATGACAGATAGATAGATAGATAGATAGATAGATAGATAGATAGATAATGGTGATGATAGGTAATAGAGATAGATAGATACATACATAGATACATGGATACATAGATAGATAGATAGATAGATAGATAGATAGATAGATAGATAGATAGATAGATAGATCATACATACATACATACATACATACATACATAGATGCATAGATACATAGATACATGGATACATAGATGGATGACGGAGAGAGAGAGAGAGAGGAGAGATTCTCTATACTAAAAGCAGGATCTTTCCACGTCAACACTATAGACATTTGGGGCCGGGTGATTCTCTGTGGTGGGGCCATCCTGTGCAGTGTAAGGTATTGAGAAGCATCCCCGGGATCCACCCACCAGATGCCAGGAGCACCCCCACAGTTGCGACAACCAGAACTGTCCTCAGACATTACCCAGTGTGCCGTGATGAGAAAAATCACCCCTAGTTGAAACCACTGTCAAATGGTAGGCAGATAAATGATAGAGATGAGAGATAAATGCTAGAAAGGTATAGATAGATGACAGACAGAGAAGATTAATAAATAAATAGATATAGGTGCCAGAGAGCTAGATATGATATATAGATAAATTGATAAATGATAGATATGATAGATAGATATAGATGGATAGATAGTCACTAACAGAGACTCTCTCATGCTCAGGCAGGGTGTCAGCCTCAGCACTGCTGCCATGTAGGGCTGGAGGATTCTCTGTGTTGAGCCTATCCTGTGCACTGCAGGGCACTGAGCATCTTCCCAGGCTCCACCCACCACGCCCCAGGAGTACACCCTCCAGTTGTGACACCCCAAACTGCCCAAGATATAGACAAGCATCCCCACTGGAACAGAATCTCCCGCAATTCTGAACCACAGGGTGAGAGGCAGGCAAGATAAGACAAGATGATCCTTCCAGAGACCTGGAAGGAGAAGCAAGATCATGTCCCATCCCCCAGGTCTCAGGGAGAGAATGGGCTGGGTCAAGGGACTCTGGATCACTTCCTTCCATTTCTCCATCTCCCAATGTGCTGTATGCATGCTCTTGTTACTATAATAAAGTAAGTAGAATTGAAGAGACTCTGTCGTTACAAGCCACACATGTGTAGATTAAGCAGATATTCCCTGTGCAGGTCAGGTCTCAGGGGAAATGGAGGATTTATTCTCCACCTTTCCAAGACCAAGGGCCCCGCTGTGTGTACGTGTTATTCTCATCAAACATGCTTATCTGCCCGAGGACTAAATGCTGGCTTCCACATGTGACATTTTTACTTGCAAAACTGGATCAATGGGGAGCGTCATTTATACTGTCCCATGCAACAAAGGGAACTGAAAAAGTGCAGGAATGAGGAGACTCAAATCCACGCACATTCAGAGACTCCAATCCACACTCAAAGAGACTCAAATCCAACTCATTCAAAGAGACTCAAGTCCACACTCATTCAAAGAGACTCAAATCCACACTCATTCAAAGAGACTCAAACCCACACGCAATCAAAGAGACTCAAATCCATACTCATTCAAACAGACTCAAGTCCACTCATTCAGAGACTCAAACCTACACGAATTCAAAGAGACTCAAATCCACACTCATTCAAAGAGACTCAAGTCCACAATCATTCAAAGAGGCTCAAACCCACACGCATTCAAAGAGACTCAAATCCACACTCATTCAAAGAAACTCAAATCCACACTCATTCAAAGAGACTCAAATCCACACTCAATCCAAAGACCAGAGCCAGCCTCTTGGAAGCACTTGCTCCTCCGGGCTTCCCTGGGACGTTTAAAGTGGTTTTGAAGATGTCGTATGAGGATGAATGCAAGACTTTGAGTTCACACGGTGCTGACTGGCAGCGCCTGCTGCTCAGAGCTGTGATGGCCTCCTCAAGGGGCAGTTGTGCAGCAGTAGCTCTGATGGAATCTCCAGGAACCCACTCTCCAGCAAGGAGCCCTGTCACATGCATACCTGCATGAGCCTCTCAGCCAGTGGTTGAAATGGGCATGTTGCAGACAGCCTCTCTGTGAGATGCAATAGATGAAACCTGAGGCTCAGTGAAGCTGGAGGCCTCCCAGGCACTAGCTGCTCAGTGAAGGCGCTGTTGTCCATCTACAGTGTCCATATGTCCATCACAAGCTCTTGGCATGAACACAGGAAACTTCTAGGATACTCAGGCTATTACCCTGGGGTTGGAGGCATTCTGTCTCCAGGTATTTATTTATCACTCATCTGTTCTTGGGGTGGAGGAGAATGAGACTACTCCTGCACTCAGGACAGGGACAGACCAGCAGGTGGCCACACGTGGAATAGAAACAGGAGATACCCCTTCAGTCTCAGCCACAGGGAATGAATGAGCAGGGTCCCTGTAGGGGCTGTGACTTTGTAGATGAGAGACCAGAATAGATTAACATGGCCTCAGTACTGTTTGTTGGATGGTTGAATGGATGGCTGCATAAATAGATGGGTGAATGAATAAATGAATGAATGAGTGAATGAGTGGATTAGTACATTAGTGAGTGGATGGATGGATATGTAGACAGGTGAATGAAGAGTGGATGAATGGATGAATGGATGGATGGATGGATGGATGGATAGATGAGTAAATGGATAAGGAATGAATGAGTGGATGAATGAATGAATGAAGGGATGATTGGATGGATGAATGAATGAGTAGATGAATGAATAAATGGATGGATGGATGAACAGATGGATAGATAGGTGGATGAATAAGGAATAAATGATTGAATGAATAGATACATGAATGGGTGAATGATAGTGGGTGTATTGATAAATGGGTGGATGACTGAATGGATGGATTGAAGGATGAACGGATGGATGGATGAGTGGATGGATAAGGAATAAATGAATGAATGAATAGATAAATGAATGAGTGAATGAATGGATCATGAATAAATGAATGGGCAAATGAATAGTGGATGTATGGATAAGTGGATGGATAAACGGATGGATGGATGGATGGATAGATGAGTGGATGGATAAGGAATGAATAAGTGGATGAATGAATGAATGAGTAGATGAATGAATAAATAGATGGACGGATGAACAGATGGATAGGTAGGTGGATGGATAAGAAATGAATGAATAGGCTGGGCGCGGTGGCTCACGCCTGTAATCCCAGCACTTTGGGAGTCTGAGGTAGGCGGATCACCTGAGGTCAGGAATTTAAGACCAGCCTGGCCAGCGTGGTGAAACCCCGTCTCTACTAAAAAATACAAAAATTAGCCAGGCGTGGTAGTGGGCGCCTGTAATCCCAGCTACTTGGGAGGCTGAGGCAGGAGAATCCCTTGAACCCGGGAGGCAGATGTTGCAATGAGCCAAGATCGAGCTGTTGCACATCAGCCTGGGCAACAGGAGTGAAACTCGGTCTCAAAAAGAAAAGAAAAGAAAAGAAATGAATGAATAGATGAATAAATGATTTAGTGAATAAATAGATGCTGAATGAATGCGTGGGTAAATGAATGAGTGAATTCATCGATGCATGAATAAACACATGGATAAATGAATTAATGGATGGATGAGTAAGTAAATGGATGAATGAATGAGTAGATGGCTGTATAGATGGATAGATGGATGAATTGGATGGATGGATGGATGGATGAATGCTGAATAAGTGGATGGATAAGGAATGAATGAGTGGATAAATGAGTGGATGCATAAATGAATTACTGAATAAATGGGTGAATGATTAAAGGCATAAATGAATGAATGGATGAATGAGTGAGTTTTGGATGGATGAGTGGTGGATGCATCCATCCATCCATGCATGGATGACTGAATGGATGGATGGATGGATAAATGGATGGATGGATGAGTGGCTGGATAAGGAATAAATGAGCGAATGAATGAATGAATGAATGAATGGATGCATGAATAAATGAATGGGTGAGTGAATAGTGGGTGTATTGATAAATGGATGGATGACTGAGTAGATGGATGGATGGATGAATGAATGGATGGGTGGATGAGCGGCTGGATAAGGAATGAATGAATGAGTGAATGAATGGATGCATGAAAGAATGGGTGAATGAATAGTGGATGTATGGATAAATGGATGGATGGATGAACAGATGGATGGATGAGTGGATGGATAAGGAATGAATGAGTGGATGAATGAATGAATGAATGAGTGAACGAATGGATTCATGAATAAATGAATGGGTGTCTGAATAGTGGGTGTATTGATAAATGGATGGATGACTGAGTAGATGGATGGATGGATGAATAGATGGATGGATGAGCGGCTGGATAAGGAATGAATGAATAAATGAATGAGTGAGTGAATGGATGCATGAATAAATGAATGGGTGAGTGAATAGTGGGTGTATTGATAAGTGGATGGATGACTGAATGGATGGATGGATGGATGAATGGAAGGATGGATGAGTGGATGGATAAGGAATAAATGAATGAATGAATAGATGAATGAGTGAATGAATGGATGCATGAATAAATGAATGGGCGAATGAATAGTGGATGTATGGATAAATGGATGGATGGATGGATGGACAGATGGATGGATGAGTGGATGGATAAGGAATGAGTGAGTGGATGAATGAACCGATGGATAAATGAATGAGTGAATGAATGGATGCATGAATACATACATGGATAAATGAATTCATGGGTGGATGGATGGATGAATGGATGAATGGATGGATGCATGATTGAGTCAATAGGTGAATAGACGGATGAAACAAGAAAGGAGCTGATTTCCAGTCAATTGCCCCGAATTAATGCATACTGTTTCTGAGGCTTTGGGGAGAATCTTTCCTGCGTCTCTCCAGCTTCTGATCCTCTGCCATCCTTGACGTCCCTGGGCTTGGGAATGCCTCCCTCCAATCTCTGCCTCTGTCTTCACACAGCAATCTTCCCTCTGTGCATGTCTGCGTCCCAGTCTCTTCTTAGAAGGACCCCAGTCCCATAGGATTAAGTCCCCACCCAAATGCAGTATGATGTCATCCTAACTTACACCTTAATCCCATCTGCAAAGATCCTATTTCCAAATAAGGTCCTATATTCACAGGTACCTATGTTGAGGCTTTGAATGTGTCTTTCAAAGGGATGCAATCCAACTCAAAACACTCTCCAAACAAATTCTTCACAAAACACTGAGCTCCTTGGCCTAATCAGAGGAGGAGAGAGGATTTATTGCACCAATAGGGATTTTGGGGGGTCCCCACTCAAACCCTCTGCACTGCTGTGGAGCACAACTCCCTGCAAGGTGACAGACCCTGGCTACAGGACTATGAGAGGGTGAAGAAGCTGCCCCCACCCTGAGACCACCTTCTTGAGCAGCTGAATGGACACAGACCCTCACTGTAGACAGGTGAATGAATGAGTGGATGGATGGGTGGGTGGATGGATGGATGGATGGATGGATGGATGGATAGATGGATGGATGGATGAGTGGATGGTTGAATGGATGAGTGGATGGATGGATGGATGGATGGATGGATGGATGGATGGATGGATGAGTGGATGGATGAATGGATGAGTGGATGGATGGATGGATGGATGGATGGATGGATGGATGGATGCATGGATGTATGGATGGATGGATGAATGGATGAGTGGATGGATGGATGGATGGATGGATGGATGGATGGATGAATGGATGGATGGATGGATGGATGTATGGATGGATGGATGGATGAATGGATGGATGGATGGATAGATGGATGAATGGATGGATGGATGGATGGATGGATGGATGGATGGATGCATGCATGGATGGATGGATGGATGGATGAATGGATGGATGGATGGATGGATGGATGCGTGGATGTATGGATGGATGAGTGGATGAATGGATGGATGGATGGATGGATAGATGGATGAATGGATGGATGGATGGATGGATGGATGGATGCATGCATGGATGGAGGGATGGATGGATGGATGGATGAGTGGATGGATGGATGGATGGATGAATGGATGGATGCATGGATGGATGAGGAATGAATGAGCGGATGAATGAGTGAATAAAGGGATGAGTGGATCCGCAGAAGAGAGGGGGGTAAGCAGCTGGCAAGTGTGACAAGCCTACTGTGTACAAAGGGACATTCTCAATGCTCCCCCCACACCATCAAACTCTTGAAACAACCCTGAGTACAAGACCCAATTCTACCCCATCGCTACATTGCAGATGAGAAAATCAAACAGGAACGGGGTTACGGGGAGACGTGTAGACACTCCAATGCCAAAAAACTCAGTCACCAAAATAAATACTGCTGTTTTATTTGTTTTAATTTATTGAGGTGAAATTCACATAACAAAATTCACCATCTTTGCCGGGCACAGTGGCTCATGCCTGTAATCCCAGCTCTTTGGGAGGCCAAGGCAGGTGGGTCACTTGAGGTCAGGAGTTCCAGACCAGCCTGGCCAACAGGGTTTTTTAGTGAAATCCTGTCTCTACTAAAAATACAAAATTAGCCGGGCGTGGTGGTGCGGCACCTATAATCCCAGCTACTGGGGAGGCTGAGGCAGGAGAATCGCTTGAACCCGGGAGGCGGAAGTTGTGATGAACACAGATCGTGCCACTGCACTCCAGGCTGGACGACAGAGGGAGGCTCCGTCTCAAGAAATAAATAATAATAATAATAAATTTACCATCTTCAATACAACGCAGTGGTATTTAGCTCGTTCAGAGTGTTGTACAATCATCACCTCTGTGTACTTCCAATACATTTTTATGACGCTCAGAAGGAGACCTGTACCTATTTGCAATCGCTCCCACTTCTCCCTTCCCTCCTCCCTCTGGCAATCACAAATCTGCAATATTTTTCAGCCTAAATGGGAAGAAAGTATTGATACCGCTACAATATGGATGAACCTCAAAAATTCTATGCTAAATGCAAGAATTGTGAAACTCAGAGAATATTGGGGACCAGGGAGATGATTAGGGACCAAGGAGACGATTAGGTACCAGGGAGAATATTGGGGAACAGGGAAGATTTTAGGGACTAAAGTGACACCCTTTGAGAAAGCTCTGCTGACATCCCCATTTTGCTTAGGGGAAACTGAGGGACACAGAAAGGAAGGCACACCCTCACCTGGCTGGGGCATTACCTCCAACTGCACCAGCCACAAAGGTCACACCCTTAACTGCTACTCCAAACTATTTGCTATATCTTTTTTTTATTTTTTTCAATTTTTGTTTTATTTATTTATTTATTTATTTATTTATTTATTTATTTATTTTTGGCAGTGGGGGATGGAGTCTCTCTCTGTCGCCCAGGCTGGAGTGCAGTAGTGCAATCTCGGCTTTCTGCAACCTCTGCCTCCCGGGTTCAAGTGACTCTCCTGCCTCAGCCTCCCGAGTAGCTGGGATTATAGGCATGTGGCACCATGCCCAGCTAATGTTTGTATTTTTAGTAGAGATGGGGTTTCGCCATATTGGACAGGCTGGTCTCGAACTCTTGACCTCGAGTGATCCGCCTGTCTTAGCCTCCCAAAGTGCTGCGATAACAGGTGTGAGCCACCACGCCCGGCCTTAATTTTTATTTTTAGGGGCAGAGTCTTGCTCTGTTGCCCAGGCTGGAGTGCAGTGACTTCATCATAGCTCACTGCAGCCTCTAACTCCTGGCCTCAAGCAATCCTTCCACCTCAGCCTCCCAAGTAGCTGGGATTACAGGCACTGACCACGCCCGGCTAATGAAAGTGTCTTGCTATGTTGCCTAGGCTCATCTTGAACTCCTGGCCTGAAGCCACTCTCCTGCCTTGGCCTCCCAAGGTGCTGGGACTAGAGGCATGAGACAACGTGCCTGGCCAGTGTACTATAATTATCGCATCTTGGTTGTTGAATCTCTGTGCGTGCACGACGATTCCGAGCCTTGTCATCTGAGGATTGCATTTAAAGTTACAATACACACGTGTGTGGGAGGTGAGGAAAATATTCTGAAACTACATCGAGGTATTGGCTGCACGGAGGCATGAATGCAATAAATCCCCCTGAGGTATTCCGTTTACAATGATTGATTTCATTATGTAAACCTCACCTTTTTTTTTTTAAGCGAGAAAAAGAGGGCGGGGCATGGTGGCTCACGCCTGTCATCCCAGCACTTTGGGAGGTTGAGGCGGGTGGATCACCTGAGGTCAGGGGTTCGAGACTAGCCTGGCTAACATGGTGAAACCCCCGTCTCTACTAAAAATACAAAAAATTAGCTGGGCATGGTGGTGCATGCCTGTAATCCCAGCTACTCGGGAGGCTGAGGCAGGAGAATCACCTGAACCCGGGAGGCGGAGGTTGCGGTGAGCCGAGATCGCACCATTGCACTCCAGCCTGGGCAGCAAGAGCAAAACTCCATCTCAAAAAAAAAAAAAAAAAAAAAAAAAGAGAGCGAGAGAGAAAGAGAAAGACATAAGAAAAAATAACCATGCAATACCCCTTGTCTCACTTCCTCATTCTGGGCTATAAACACTCTTCGCGGGACCCTTTTCGGGCTGCACAGGAATTAGGAGGTTGTCCGTCACGCTCACCGGAAGCAAAGGAAGGGGAGTTTCTGAAACCTCCACCAAATACCACCAAATACCCAGCTGAGGTGCGGCTGACTGGCTTCCTTCACCCCATGCAACTCACTTCTAAGTAAACACACCTTCCTTTGCCGTTTCTAAGCACTCATGCAAATGACTGACGGTCCACATTCCTGCAGGCAGGGTCCAAGTGAATTGACTTCCTGCAGACAAATGCAGAGTGTCCTCCGGCCTGTGACTTTGATGCCAAGGTTCCTGCTGATGCCAGGGTGACAGTGGTTGCAAGCCGTGTTCCATGCTGGGTACTCAATGATCTTAGGGTTTGTCCATACTGGGACGGATTAAAGTGGAGCATAAGGATTACAGTGGACCATAAGAGAGGGGTGATGGATCAGAGAGAATATTGGGGACCAGAGATATTATTGGGGACAGAGAGAATATTAGAAATCAGAGAGGATAAAGGCCGGGCGCGGTGGCTCATGCCTGTAATCCCAGCACTTTGGGAGGCCAAGGCGGGCGGATGACGAGGTCAGGAGATGGAGACCATCCTGGCCAATATAGTGAAACTCCGTCTCTACTAAAATACAAAAATTAGCTGGACGTGGTGGAGCATGCCTGTAAACCCAGCTCTGTAATCCCAGCTACTCAGGAGGCTAAGGCAGGAGAATCCCTTGAACCAGAGAGTTGGAGGCTGCAGTGAGCTCAGATCGCACCGCTGCAGTCCAGCCTGGCGACAGTGTGAGACTCTGTCTCAAAAAAAAAAAAAAAAAAAGAAAAGAAAAATCAGAGAGGATATTGGGGAGCAGGGTGATGATTGGGGGCCAAGGAGATGATTGGGGGCCAAAGAGGTGATTGGGGACCAGGAAGATAATTAGGTACCAAGGAGATGATTGGGGATCAAGGAGATTATTGGGGACAAGGGAAATTATTGGGAACCAGGGACATTTGGGGGTACTATGGAGATTATTGGGGACCAGAGACAATATTAGAAATCAGAGAAAATATTGAGGATGAGGGAGATTATTGGGGATCAGGGAGATTATTGGGAGACAAGAAGATGATTGAGGACCAGAGATAATATTAGAAATCAGACAGAATATTGGAGACCAGGGAGATTATTAGAGAACAAAGAGATGACTGAGGATCAGAGAGAATATTGGGATCAGAGAGATTATTGGGGATCAGGGAGAGGATTGGGGACCAGAGAAATTATTAGGGACCAATGAGATAATTGAGGATCGGAGATAATATTGGGGATCAGAGAGATTATTGGGGATCAGAGAGATGATTGGGGACCAGAGAGAATATTGGGGATCAGGGAGATTATTAGAGGCTAAGAAGATGATTGGGGACCAGAGAGAATATTGGGGACCAGAGAGATTATTAGAGACCGAGGAGATGATTGGGGATCAGAGAGAATACTTGGGACCAGAGATAATGTTGGAAACCAGGGACATTATTGGGGTTAAGAAGATGATTGAGGACTAGAGACAATATTAGAGATCAGAGAGAATATTGGAGACCAAGCAGATGACTGGGGACCAGAGAGAATATTGGGATCAGAGAGATTATTGGGGATCAGAAAGATGATTGGGGACCAGACAGATTATTAGGGACCAAGGACATAATTGAGGAGCACAGAGAATATTGGGGACCACAGAGATTATTGGGGGTCAGAAAGATGATTAGGGACCAGAGATTATTAGGGACCAAGGTGATAATTGGAGATCAGAGAGAATATTGGGGACCAGAGAGATTATTGGGGACCAGAGAGAGATGATTGAGGACCAGAGAGATTATTAGGGACCAAGGTGATAATTGGAGATCAGAGAAAATATTGGGGACCAGAGAGATTATTGGGGACCAGAGAGATGATTGGGGACCAGAGAGACTATTGGGAACCAGGGAGATTTTTGGGGACCAGAGAGATTATTAGAGATCAAGAAGATGATGGGGATCAGGGAGATTATTAGGGACCAAGTATATGATTGGGGATCCGAGAAAATATTGGGAACTAGGGAGATTTGGGGGAGATCAGAGACAATATTAGAAATCAGAGAAAATCTTGGGGACCAGGGAGATGATTGGTAACCAGAGAGATGATTAGGGACCAAGGGGATGATTGTGGATCAGAGAGAATATTGGGGAACAGAGATAATATTAGAAACCAGGGAGGTGATTGGGAGCCAAGAAGATAATTGGGGATTAGAGACAATATTAGAAATTGGAGAGAATATTGGAGACCAAGGAGATGACTGGGGACCAGAGAGAATATTGGGACCAGAGAGATTACTGGGAATCAGAAAGATGATTGGGGACCAGAGAGATTATTGGGAACCAGAGAGAATATTGGGATCAGAGATATTATTGGAGATCAGAGAGAATATTGGGGAGCAGGGAGATTATTGGGGACCAGAGAGAATATTGGGGACCAGAGAGAATATTGGAATCAGAAAGATGATTGGAGACCAGAGAGATTATTAGGGACCAAGGAGATAATTGGAGATCGGAGAGAATATTGGGGAGCAGGGAGATTATTAGGGACCAGAGAGATTATTGGGGACAAGAGAGAACATTGAGACTCAGAGAGAATATTGAGGCTCAGAGAGAATATTGAGATCTCAGAGATTACTGGGGATCAGGGAGGTGATTGGGGACCAGAGAGATTATTAGGGACCAAGGAGATGATTGGGGATCAGAGAGAATATTGGGGAGCCGAAAGATTATTGGGGACCAGAGGAATATTGGGGATCAGAAATATTACTGGGGACCAGAGAGATTAGGGACCAAGGAGATGATTGGGGACCACAGAGAATATTGGGGATCTGAGAAAATACTGAGGACCAGGGAGATTACTGGGGGCAGGAAGATTATTGGGGGCCAAGGAGATGATTGGGGATCAGGAAGATTATTGCAGACCAGATAAAATATTGGGGCTTAATGGAAGTATTGGAAATTAGACAGGCTTTGGGAGTTAGGCAGGATTTGGGGGACTAGAAAGATTTTGGGGAACCAGAAAGAATACTGGAGACTGGAAAGATTATTGTGAACCACAGAGAATATTGAGGATTAGAGAGAATATTGGCGGCCAGGGAGAACCAAACAGATTTGAGGGGACTGGAGAGATTTTAGGGAACCAGAGAGAAGATTGGGGACAAACAAGATGATCAGGGCCCAGCAAGGATATTGAGGATCAGGGAGACCATTGGGCCCAGCAAGAATATTAAAGACCAGAAAGATTTTGGGGAAACAGACAGGTTTTGGGGGACTAGGGAGCTTTTGGGGAATCAGAGAATATTACAGACCAGAGAGATTATTATTTTTTATTATATATATTAAATATTTAATATTTTATTATATTATTATTATTTTTTTTTTTTTGAGACGGAGTCTCGCTCTGTCACCCACGCTGGAGTGCAGTGGCACAGTCTCAGCTCACTGCAAGCTCCGCCTCCTGGGTTCACGCCATTCTCCTGCCTCAGCCTCCCGAGTAGCTGGGATTGCAGGCACCTGCCACCATGCCTGGCTAATTTTTGTATTTTTAGTAGAGACGGGGTTTCACCATGTTGGCCAGGATGGTCTCGAACTCCTGACCTCAGGTGATCCACCCATCTCAGCCTCCCAAAGTGCTGAGATGACGGGCGTGAGCCACCGCGCCCGGCCAAGATTATTTTTATTTATTTTTTTATTTTTTTTTGAGATGGAGTTTCGCTGTTGTTGCCCAGGCTGGAGTGCAGTGACAAAATCTCGGCTCACTGCAACCTCCGCCTCCCAGGTTCAAGCAATTCTCCCGCCTCAGCCTCCTGAGTAGCTGGGATTACAGGTGCGCACCACCACGCCCAGCTAATTTTTGTATTTTTAGTAGAGATGGGGTTTCACCATGTTGGCCAGGCTGGTCTCGAACTCCTGACCTCAGGTGGTCTGCCCACCTCAGCCTCTTAAAGCGCTGGAATGACAGGCGTGAGCCACCGCGTGTGGCCGAGAGATTACTAAGAACCAGAAAATATTGAGGACCAGGGAGAATATTGGGGGCCAGATATTACTGGAAACCAGAGACACGTGTGAAGATTGAACTTCCCTTAAATCTTCTGAGACCTCGCTTGGGTCTGAGCATGCTTCCTGTTAACATTACCTGGCCCCACAGGCTCAGGCAGAAGGACCCTGACACCAGGCTTCTTCTCTGCCGGAGCTCAACAGACTCACTCACTGCAGATCCTCTTTTCCCACTGAAATTAGTTTCCATTTTGCTCAGAGCCCTCAGATGACTTCCTTAATACCTTCCAGTTCATCCTGAGACTCTGGAGGGTGGAACAGCAGTCTAAGGCCATGTACTGGGGACTGCCCACAAGGCACACAGAGGCGGACAAGGTTGGGGGTGTTTGTGGGATGGGGCGGGGGCCCAAGCTGAAGGCTGAGGTGGTTTAAAAGCCAGACCTTGATTCTCCTGGAGGCTGGACATCAGGTGTGGACAGGGCTGGTTCCTCCTGAGGCCTCTCTCCTGGGCTTGTAGATGCTGTCTCCTCCCTGTGTCCTCACGGGGTCGTCCCTCTCTGTGTGTCTGTGCCCTCATCTCCTCCTCTTATGAGATGTCTTAGTCCATCTCAGGCTGCTACCACAGAATACCATAGACTGGGTGGCTTAGAAACAAGAGACATTGATTCTCCCACAGCCCTGGAGGCTGGAAATCCAAGATTAAGGTGTGGGCAGGGGTGGTTCCTCCTAAGGCTTGTCTCTTTGGCTTGTAGATGCTGTTTTCTCCCTGTGTCCTCACAGAGTCGTCCATCTGTGTGTGTCTGTGTCCTCATCTCCTCTTCTTATGAGGTGTCTTAGTCCACTTCAGGCTGCTAACACAGAATACCATAGACTGCGTGGCTTATACACAACAGACATTGATTGTCCCACAGCCCTGGAGGCTGGAAGTCTGAGATCAGCGAACGGGCAGGGCTGGTTCCTCCTGAGGACTCTCTCCTTGGCTTGTAGATGACGTCTTCCCCCTGTGTCCTCACAGGGTCGCCCCTCTGTGTGTGTCTGTGTCCTCATCTCCTCTTCTTATGAGATGTTCTCGTCCATTTCAGGCTGCTATCACAGAATACCATAGACTGCGTGACTTATACACAACAAACGTTGATTCTCCCACAATCCTGGAGCTGGAGGTCTGAGATCCAGGTGTAGGCAGGGCTGGTTCCTCCTGAGGCCTCTCTCCTGGACTTGGAGACGCCATCTTCTCCCTGTGTCCTCACAGGATCATCCCTCTGTGTGTGTCTGTGTCCTCATCTCCTCTTCTTATGAGATCTCTTAGTCCATTTCAGGCTGCTATCACAGAACACCATAGACTGGGCGGCTTAGAAACGACAGACATTGATTCTCCCACAGTCCTGGAGGCTGGAAGTCTGAGATCCAGGTGTGGGCAGGGCTGGTTCCTCCTGAGGCCTCTCTCCTGGGCTTGTAGACACCGTCTTCTCCCTGTGTCCCCACAGGGTTGTTCTCTGTGCTTATATTTGTGGGAGAGGGGTGAAGAAGGGAGGAATGGAGGGAGGGAGAGAAGGAGGGAGTACGTGGATGCTCTGCGGTCTCTTCCTGTTTTTTTTTTGTTGTTGTTTTGTTTTTCTGAGGTGGAGTTTCACTCTTTTTGCCCAGGCTGGAGTGCAGTGGTGCAACCTCCGCTCACTGCAACCTCCGCCTCCCAGGTTCAAGCGATTCTCCTGCCTCAGCCTCCCAAGTAGGTGGGATTACAGGTGCCTGCCACCGCGCCTGGCTAATTTTTAGTATTTTTTTTTTTTTTTTTTAGTAGAGACAGGGTTTCACCATATTGGCCAGGCTGGTCTCGAACTCCTGACCTCAGGTGATCCACCACCCCCCGACCCCTCGGCCTCCCAAAGTGCTGGGATTACAGGCATGAGCCCCCATGCCTGGCCCTCTTCCTGTTCTTATAAGGAAATTTGTCTCATCATGGAGCATCTCTGCTGTAAACTCATCCCACCCTAATCTCCCCCAGAGCTCTCACCTCCTGACAGCATACTGAGGTTTAGGGTTGAAACCTATATATTTTGGGGTGATATAAACCTTCAGACAATAGCAGTGAGTAAGAGCCAGAGGGTATAGGATTTCTTTTTGGGGTGATGAAAATATCCTAAATGGCTGGGTACAGTGGCTGATGCCTGTAATCCCAGCACTTTGGGAGGCCGAGGCGGGTGGATCACGTGAGGTCAGGAGTTCGAGACCAGCCTGGGCAACATGGAGAAATCCCATCTCTTCTAAAAATACAAAATTAGCCGGGTGTGATGGCGGGCACCTGTAGTCCCAGCTACTCGGGAAGCTGAGGCAGGGGAATCGCTTGAACCTGGGAGGCGGAGGTTGCGGTGAGCAGAGATTGTGCCATTGCACTCCAGCCTGGGCAACAAGAGCAAAACTGTCTCAAAAAAAAAAAAAAGAAAGAAAGAAAATATCCTAAAATAGACTGCGGAGGTGTTTGCACAACTTAACGTTCTAAACCCAATGAACTGTAGATGGGTGAATTGCATGCTGTAGGAATTCTATCTCTACAAAGTTGTTTTTATCTTTAAAAAATAATAATAATAAAAGAAAAGAAAAAGGCAGGTTGGGCGCGGTGGCTGATGCCTGTAATCCCAGCACTTTGGGAGGCCGAGGTGGGTGGATTGTTTGAGGTTAGGAGTTCGAGACCAGCCTGGGCAACATATGGTGAAACCCCATCTCTACTAAAAATACAAAAATTAGCTGGGTGTGGTGGTGGGTGCCTGTAATCCCAGCTACTCTACTCGGGAGGCTGAGGCAGGAGAATTGCTTGAACCAGGGAGGCTGAGGTTACAGTGAGCTGAGGTAGTGTCACCGCACTTCAGCCAGGACAGCAGAGCAAGTCTCTGTCAAAGGGAAGGGAAGGGGAGGGGAGGGGAAGGGGAGGGGAGAGGAAGACAGGGGAAGGGGAGGGGGAGGGGGAGGGAAAGGGAAAGGGAAGGAAAGGGAAAGGGAAGGAAAGGAAAGGAAGGGAAGGGAAGGAAAAGGAAGGGAGGGGAGGAAAGGAAAGGGAAGGGAAGGGAAGGAAGGGAAGGAAGGGAAGGAAGGGAAGGGAAGGGAAGGAAGGGAAGGAAGGGAAGGAAGGGAAGGGAAGGGAAAGGAAGGGAAGGGAAGGGAGGGGAGGAAAGGGAAGGGAAGGGAAAGGAAAAGGAAGGGAAGGGAGGGGAGGAAAGGGAAGGGAAGGGAAAGGAAAAGGAAGGGAAGGGAGGGAAGGGAAGGGAAGAGAAGGGAAAGGAAGGGAAGGGAAGGGAGGGGAGGAAAGGGAAGGGAAGGGAGGGAAGGGAAAGGAAAAGGAAAAGGAAAGGAAAAGGAGGGGAAGGGAGGGAAGGGAAGGGAAGAGAAGGGAAAGGAAGGGAAGGGAAGGGAGGGGAGGAAAGGGAAGGGAAGGGAGGGAAGGGAAAGGAAAAGGAAAAGGAAAATAAAAGGGAAGGGAAGGAAAGGAAAGAAATGGAAAGGAAAGGAAAAGGAAAGGAAAGGGGCGGGTGTCCATACCAAGCACAGAACCCAGCTGTGGTAGGCAGAGAGAAGAGCCAGCCTGAGCAGACATCAAGATTAAACAGAATTGTACTTACCTGTGCAGGTGTTGGATGTGGGGAGATAATCCATCTTGGTTTGCCCTGGATTTATAAGGTATTTTCAGGACACAAGAACCTCAGGGCTAAAAGTGGGACAATTAAAGGAAAACGGGCACAAGTTGTTAACGCTATGTGTAGTGGGTTCAATGGTGCGTACCTGCAAAAGATAGGACCATGCCCTAACCCCCTGGAACCTGGAAACAGGACTTTGTTTGCTGAAAAAGTCTTTGAAGATGTGATTTAAGGGTTTGGGATGAGATCATCCTGGATTAGGGTGGGCCCAAAATCCAATGACAGGTTCACTTCTGAGAGACAGAAGAGGAGACACAGACACAGAGGAGGAGGCCATGGGGAGACAGAGGCAGAGACTGGAGTGATGGGGCCACAAGCCCAGGGACGCCTGGAGCCCCCAGGAGCTGGGAGAGGCAGGAGGGATCCTCCCTTAGAGCCTCCCAGAAGGAACTGGATACAATTGTAGTGGATTGAATAGTGGCCACCAGAAACATTTGTCCATATCCTAATGCTCAGAGTCTGTAAGACCTTATTTGGAAATAGGGTCTTTGCAGATGTCATTAAGTTAAGGACCTTGAGATTGGATCATTCTGGATTAGAGTGGGCCCAAAATGCAATGACAGCTGTCCTTGTAAGAGACAGAAGAGGAGACACAGACACAGAGGAGAAGGCCACGTGGAGACAGAGGCAGACACTGGAGTGATGCGGCCACAAGCCCAGGGATGCCTGGAGCCCCCAGGAGCTTGGAGAGGCAGGAGGGATCCTCCCCTAGAGCCTCCACAGGGAGGATGGTTGATATGGTTTGACTATATCCCCACCCAAATCTCACCTGGAATTGTAATAATCTTCACGGGTCTATGTTTATTGCAGCACTATTTACAATAGCAAAGACTTGGGACCAATCCAAATGCCCATCAATGATAGACTGGATAAAAAAAAAAGTGGCACATAGACACCATGGAATACTATGCAGTCATAAAAAAGGATGAGTTCATATCCTTTGCAGGGACGTGGATAAAGCCAGAAAGTCACTCTCAGCAAACTAACACAAGAACAGAAAATGAAATGCCGCATGTTCTCACTCATAAGTGGGAGTTGAACAATGAGAACACACAGACACAGGGAGGGGAACATCACACACCGGGGCCTGTTGGGGGGTGGGGGGGCAAGGGGAGGGAGAGCATTAGGACAAATACCCAATGCATGTGGGGCTTAAAACCTAGATAATGGGTTGACAGGTGCAGCAAACCACCATGGCATACGGATACCTATGCAACAAACCTGCAGGTTCTGCACATGTATCTCACAACTTAAAGTAAAATTAAATAATAATAATAATAATAATAATAATTTCCACATGTGAAGGGCAGGACCAGGCAGAGATAATTGAACTTTATGGGCAGTTTTCTCCCATACTGTTCCTGTGAGAGTAAATAAGTCTCAGGAGATCTGATGGTTTTATAAAGGGGACTTTCCCCTTTTCTCTTGCTTGCCACCATGTAAGACATGACTTTGCTCCTCCTTTGCCTTCCGCCATGATTGCGAGGTCTCCCTAGCCATGTGGAACTGTGAGTCCATTAAACCTCTTTCCTTTATAAATTACCCAGTCTTGGGTATGTCTCTTTTTTTTTTTTTTTTTTTGAGACGGAGTCTCACTCTGTTGCCCAGGCTGGAGTGCAATGGCATGATCTCAGCCCACTGCAACCTCCACCTCCCAGGTTCAAGCGATTCTCCTGCTTCAGCCTCCCGAGTAGCTGGGATGACAGGTACCCACCACCACGCCTGGCTAATTTTTGTGTTTTTAGTAGAGATGGGGTTTCACCATGTTGGCCAGGATGGTCTCAAACGCCTGACCTCAGGTGATCCACCCACCTCGGCCTCCCAGTGCGCTGGGATTACAGGCTTGAGCCACTGCGCCCAGCCAGGTATGTCTTTATTAGCAGCGTGAGAACAGACTAATACCGTGGGCCTGCCTGCACCTTAATCTCAGACTCTTCACCTCCAGGACTGGGAGATGATGAATTTCTGTTGTTTAAGTACCCCCAGTGTGGGGTCATTGTTTGCTATATCCCCAGGACACTCTTACACAGGAGACCCTGGACAGGAGACCCCCCCGCCAGCCTGGGAGCCTCTTCTCTTTGCTTACATATCTGGTGTGATGAGCCCTGGACCAAGGAGCTAGGAAAAAAAGGCAGAGGAACAGGTGGGCCCCCATATCACCGAAGGCAGAACACTTGCTCACCTGGAATTCCAGAAGGACACACCTGGCCATTGTGG
Organism: Homo sapiens; assembly: GCF_000001405.40. Taxonomy (NCBI): domain Eukaryota; kingdom Metazoa; phylum Chordata; class Mammalia; order Primates; family Hominidae; genus Homo; species Homo sapiens. Next base: position 1,511,910 of record NC_000023.11, on the reverse strand, counting down.
GTGTTGTCAGCGAGTGATGTGGGACAGACGAGAGGACTCAGGTGGGGGAAGTTATAAGGCAGGAGGCCATGTGTCAATCAGGAAGAACTCTCAGACAACAGACAGCTAAGAGAATCGTGTCTGGAGCCCCAGAAGGGACCCAGCTGGCCATCCGTAGACATGCCGTTGAAGGCAATGCTCAGTGCCGTCAAGAGAATGGAAGGTGTCAACTTAAAATCACGAGATTGGTTGGGCAAGGTGGCTCCTGTCTTTCACCCCAGTGCTTTGGGAGGTTGAAGTGGGAGGACAGTTTGAACCCAGGAGTTGGAGGCTGCAGTGGGCTGTGATCACACCACTGCATTCCAGCCTAGGTGACAGACCGAGATCTCGTCGCTTAAAGAAACAAAAAATGACAAGATGTACACATTTGGAGAGGGGAGCTTGATTTGTATAGCCTAACAGGCTGGGAAATGTAGCCTCTGGCAGAAACTAAAAGTAGACATTTCGAAGAAGAAAAGACAGAGATGGGAATTTATGTTGAATGAGATGACCAAGCATACTTGTATTCAACAGGTTACAGGAGGAGCTATGAATTTTAATGAAGGGCATCCTGACACGTGGATACAGGACAAACATGCCTGTGGCAGAAGTTCCACATTCACTTGGGGGTAGAGACTTTTAACCTTTAATGTGCCCCAATGAGGCTGTCTATATCAAAAGGTGTTTTCTTTTTTTCTTTTCTTTTTCTTTTTGAGACAGAGTCTCACTCTGTCGCCCAGGCTGGAGTGCAGTGGTGCGATCTTGGCTCACTGCAACCTCTGCCTTCCAGCTTCATGCCATTCTCCTGCCTCAGCCTCCTGAGTAGCTGGGACTACAGGCACCTGCCACCACAGCTGGCTAATTTTTTTGTATTTTTTAGTAGAGACGGGGTTTCACTGTGTTAGCCAGGATGGTCTCAATCTCCTGACCCCGTGATCCACCCGCCTTGGCCTTCCAAAGTGTTGGGATTACAGGCGGGAGCCACTGTGCCTGGCCTCTTTTCTTTTTCTTTTTGAGACGGAGTCACACTCTGTTGCCCAGGCTGGAGTGCAGTGACGCGATCACGGCTCACTGCAACCTCCGCCTCCCAGGTTCCAGCAATTCTCCTGCCTCAGCCTACTGAGTAGCTTGGATTACAGGTGCACGCCACCGTGCCTGGCTTAATTTTTGTGTTTTTAGTAGAGATAGGGTTTCACTGTGGTCGCCAGGCTGGTCTTGAACTCCTGACGTCAAGTGATCCACCCATCTCAGCCTCCCAAAGTGCTGGTATTACAGGCATGAGCCACTGCGCCTGGCTGTCAAAAGGGGCTTCCAGAACACAGAGGCACTGAGTGTGCAGCCTCTGTCAACCATCCAGAACCAGCCCATTGTCAGAGTCTCTTACCAGGAGAAAGTGGCTGAAATTAATCTCTTGTGCGATCAAAGTTGTAGTTATGGCTGGTGGAGCAGGGGATCCGTGAGTGAGCATCTGTGAGCTGGACGAGCTTCACCAGTTTTCATATTGTTCATCTCCAAGCCAGGGCTCGTTCAGCTGCTAGAGAAAAACAAAAAGCTTGTATTAGTGAGGACACTGGTGGTGTTCCTCGCAGCTACTCTCCCAGAGTAGTGAGTCCATCACGCTCTAAGCCAGGTGTAGACAGATAGATGAATAGATATAGCTATTCGATGATTGATAGATATTGAGGTAGACGGATGAATAGATTAGATGATAGATGATTGATAGCTAGCTATTGAGATAGATAGGTAATACATAGATATAGATGACAGATTGACAGATATTGAGACAGATAGGTGGTAGATGATAGATGTATAAAGATGATAGATGAGATAGATAGATAGATGATAGATAGAGGATAGTTAGATACATGGTAGATACAATGAATGGATAGATACATAGATACATAGATGATGGATGGATGGATGGATGCATAGATAATATTTACATAGATGGATGGATACATAGATACATAGATGATAGAGAAGATAGATAGATACATACATAGATAGATAGAATGGATAGATACATAGATACATAGATGATAGATAGATAATAGAGATAGATAGATAGATAGATAGATAGATAGATAGATAGATAGGATGGATACATAGATGATAGATAGATAGATAGATAGATAGATAGACAGATAGATACATAGATAGATACATAGATGCATAGATAGAATAAATGGATGGATGGATGGATGGATGGATGGATGGATGGATGAACACATACAGGATAGACAGATGGATGAATAGATGGATAGATACATACATGATAGATACATAATAGATACATGATAGATACAATGAATGGATGGATACATAGATACATAGATGATAGAATAGATGGATGGATGGATGGATGGATGGATGGATGAATGGATGGATGGAGGGATGGATGGATGGATGCATAGATGATAGACACATACATGGATGGATAGATACATAGATACATAGATGATAGATAGATAATAGAAATAGATAGATAGATAGATAGATAGATAGATAGATAGATAGAATAGATGGATGGATGGATGGATGGATGGATGATGGATAGATAAATACATACAGGATAGATAGATGGATGAATAGATGGATAGATACATAGATGATGGATAGATAGATAGATGGCTAGACAGATAGATACATAGATGATAGAGAGATAAATAGATGGATGGCTAGATAGGTAGATACATAGATGGATAGATAGATAGATAGATAGATAGATAGAATGGATGGATACATAGATGATAGATAGATAGATAGATAGATAGATAGATAGATAGATAGATACATAGATACATAGATAGATACATAGATAGATACATAGATAGATGCATAGATAGAATAAATGGATGGATGGATGGATGGATGGATGGATGGATGGATGAACACATACAGGATAGACAGATGGATGAATAGATGGATAGATACATACAGGATAGATAGATAATAGATACATGATAGATACAATGAATGGATGGATACATAGATACATAGATGATAGAATAGATGGATGGATGGATGGATGGATGGATGAATGGATGGATGGAGGGATGGATGGATGGATGCATAGATGATAGACACATACATGGATGGATAGATACATAGATACATAGATGATAGATAGATAATAGAAATAGATAGATAGATAGATAGATAGATAGATAGATAGATAGATAGATAGAATGGATGGATGGATGGATGGATGATGGATAGATAAATACATACAGGATAGATAGATGGATGAATAGATGGATAGATACATAGATGATGGATAGATAGATAGATGGCTAGACAGATAGATACATAGATGATAGATAGAGAGATAAATAGATGGATGGCTAGATAGGTAGATACATAGATGGATACATAGATAACCAATATAAGGAGTCTCTCATGTGGGGATAACCGATATGTGGAGTTTCTCAGCCTCAGCACTGCTGACATTTTGGGGCTGGATGACACTCTGTGGCAGGGCCGTCCCGTGCAGTGTAGTGTGTTGAACGGTGTCCCTGGGCTGCACCCACCAGATGCCAGGAGCTCCTCCACCCCGTCATGACAGCCAGAGATGTCGCTGCTGCCCAGCGTCCCCTGGGGACCACAGTGGCCCCAGTTGAAAACCTTTGATCAACACTCAGCCTGGTTAATGGCAGCATGAACGCCACCTCCCCAGCTGACTGCCTGCAGCTCTGCCAGCCCCTGGGGCTTTCCATGGTTTTAGAGACACTCAGCAATACTGCCAGAACATCAGAGTCTGTTGTGAGGAATCTTATGTGACCTGCCCTAGGCCATTGCTGGATTTTTCCCCCAAACCCACAGGGCGTCGGGGGGACAGGGGCATCGTGATGAGAGGTCATCAGGCACACGCCATACGGGGTGAAAGAGGTGGGGGAGGCGGCAGGGAGGTCTCCTGAGGGATGGCGGTGTGGGTCCCGCCTGGTCCCGCCCGGCTGCAAAGACGTGGGGTGTGTGTTGAGTGCCAGACGGGGCTGGCTTGATTCAGGCGTGCCTTTACATGTTATCAGCCGTGGGTCTGACCACGGCCATGCCATGACCTAATAGCTAACCTCAATTTCCTCTTCTGTCAAGTGAGAAAAACCTTTACTTTCCCTCCCGTCACCACAGGGGTAGTGTACCCAGAAGCAGGCTCAAACTCAACATGAAGCTACTCATGAATGTGGCAGGGAGACATGGGAAGTCAGGCAGGGGGGCGGAAATCGCGCGTCGCCAACAGGAGGGGCCGGCACGTGGGGACTCCGCCGGGTGCTGTGACCGGGTGCCGTCACGGCCCCGAGCCTCAGTTTAGCAATCCACACAACAGGTATGTCGCCAGTACTGCAGGGACTCATGAGCTACCCCAGCTCCGAACCACCGTCGGCGGTCACCGGGGATATGAGCGACAGCTTTTCTGGCTCAGTGATGATTTTCAGCTAGGAAGGCTTGGGTGGGGTCCTGGCGTGTCTCCCGGGACAACTCCTCATCCAACGAGAGATGAGGTTGACTATTTCCAGGACTCAGGAAGTAGTGGGTGCTGACTGACAGGTGTTCAAGGACAATGTGGAATGTCAGGTCTCATCTCGTCCGGTGAAATCTAGGGGACTTCATCTTGGACACGCACAGAGAGAGCAAGTGAGGACGCCTGCCCTGATCATGCCTCTGAACTTAGACCCTCCTTGCTTCGCTCAGAGGCAGCTGGGGGTGTTGCATGTACGCAAGGGCTTCGGGAGGCTTTTGGAAACAGTAGACCACGGAACTTTGGGGCCCATGAGGACTCCGATTTGAACAAACAGGGACCTGATACCTTGAGACTTGACCAGGTCTGAGTTATTCTTGGTGGCCAGCTCCTAGGACCCCTGAATCCATGGACTCCTAGGACCCGTCCATTGCCTACAGAAATGAAAATGGCCAGAAAGTGGCCGGGCGCGGTGGCTCACGCCTGTCATCCCAGCACTTTGGGAGGCCTAGGTGGGCGGATCACGAGGTCAGGAGATCGAGACCATCCTGGCTAACACGGTGAAACCCCGTCTCTACTAAAAATACAAAAATTAGCCGGGCGTGGTGGCGGGTGCCTGTAATCCCAGGTACTCGGGAGGCTGAGGCAGAAGAATCACTTCAACCAGGGAGGCAGAGGTTGTAGTGAGCCAAGATTGCGCCACTGCACTCCAGCCTGGGCGACAGAGCAAGACTCCATCTCAAAAAAAAAAAAAGAAAGAAAGAAAGTGGCCAGCAAGTGACAAACGTCCAAAATGTCCAGGGTCCCTCTGAGTCACGGAGCTCATGGTGATGTCGTCAAGATTCTGGTCAACGTGGTAGATACATCTTTACATCCAAACACCTCTCTCTCTCCTCTGCCTTCTTTCTTTCCTGGACTCCTGATACCCCCAGCTCAGGGCTGAAAAGGAAGCATTTTCTCAATGGAAAGGACAAAGAGGCAGTCTTCTCTCAGAAGAGACATCTCCATCTATAGCCTGGTGGGCCACACCAGTTCTGTCTAGAAGGACACAAACTTCTGTCTTCTTTTGTCTACCCAATTAGCCTCCTGGCTCATCTTAGAAGGGGAAGGGCACAGGGGAGCATGTTTTAAGAAGGAAATTAAGCATCAGGCATGGTGGCTCACACCCGTCATCCCAGCAGTTTGGGAGGCTCAGGCAGGCGGGTCGTCTAAGGTCAGGAGTTCGAGACCAGCCTGGCCAACATGGCAAAACCCCGTCTCTACTAAAAATACAAAAATTAGCCAGGTGTGGTGGCGGGTGCCTATAATCCCAGCTACTAGGGAGGCTGAGGCAGGAGAATCACTTGAACCCGGGAGGCGGAGCTTGCAGTGAGCCAAGACTGTGCCACTGCACTCCAGCCTGGGTGACGGAGTGTGACTCTGTGTCAAAAAAAAAAAAAAAAAAAAAAAGAAGAAAGAAATTAAGATGCTTTGTTCAATGTAAAAAAGATATTCTTTTGTTACAAAGTTTAGAAATGGGAAATGATTTTTAAAAATGCAATACTCAAGGAATTTTACACAGGGGTAGAAATGGAAACTCTACTTGCAAGTCCTCCTCCTGGATTCTTTTGTTTTTTGTTTTTTGTGTTTTATTGTTTGTTTGTTTTTGAGACGCAGTCTTGCTCTGTCGCCCAAGCTGGAGTGCAATGGCGCCATGTCGGCTCACTGCAACCTCCGCCTCCCTGGTTCAAGCGATTCTCCTGCCTCAGCCTCCCGAGTAGCTGGGATGACAGGCGCCCGCCACCACACCCAGCTAAGTTTTATATTTTGAGTAGAGATGGAGTTTCACCATGTTGGCCAGGCTGGTCTCCAACTCCTGACCTCAGGTGATCGACCCGCCTCGGCCTCCCAGAAGGCTTTTTGTATCTTCCGAAGCTAGTGGATAATATTCTGAAATTGTTGATGAGACACCTAGCTTCATCTTCAGTTGTCTGCAGACACTCATCCAGTGCCTCCATGTGGAGTGGTTCCATTTTTCAGCCCTGTCCTTGCTGGCCACGAGGAAACTCAGTCCATGGACACTATCTGTGGTCATTAAGACGCCAAGGCCAACGGAAAGGCCGGTGACGAGGCCCTCTGTTGCTTCCTTCTCAGAAAGATAAAGATCTGCTTTCCACAGTCTCATCCGTTTTTGTGATGGGCAAGTGGCCAGAGTACCACGTCAGTCACAGAAACCCAGCTCAGGTCCTCTGAGACGCCCTGATTCACGTTTCCAATTTGAGGTTGAGCATGAGATTTTCTTCCTTTTTTTTTTTTTTTTGAGACAGAGTCTCTCTCTGTCACCCAGGCTGGAGTGCAGTGGTACGATCTCGGCTCACTGCAACCTCTGCCTCCCGGGTTCACGCCATTCTCCTGCCTCAGCCTCCCAAGTAGCTGGGACTACAGGCGCCTGCCACCACGCCCGGCTAATTTATTTTTGTATTTTTTTTAGTAGAGACAGGGTTTCACCGTGTTAGCCAGGATGGTCTCGATCTCCTGACCTTGTGATCCACCCGCCTCGGCTTCCCAAAGTGCTGGGATGACAGGCGTGAGCCACCACGCCTGGCCAATGCCCGGCTAATTTTTGTATTATTAGTAGAGACAGGGTTTCAGCATGTTGGCCAGGCTGGCCTCGAACTCCTGACCTCAGGTGATCCGCCCGCATCAGCCTCCCAAAGTGCTGGGATTACAGGCGTGAGCCACAACACCCGACCTAATTTTGTATTTTTAGTAGAGATGGGATTTCACCATGTTGGCCAGGCTGGTCTCAAACTCCTAACCTCAAGTGATCCACCTGCCTCAGACTCCCAAAATGCTGGGATGACAGGCATGAGCCACTGCACCCAGCCTGATCAGTTTTGACCACAGAGAACATTTCAACAGAGGGAAGTTTCCAGCACGTGGGATCCTTATGGTAGCAGGAAGTGAAACCTATGTTTAAATTTCAACACATGAACTGTTTTGCTGTCATGAGGTGGACAGGGTCACCACTAAAAGGCTTTCAAATCCAGGTCTACATCACATCAGGAGGCAATAAGATTGAAACAGAAGCTTCAAGGGGGGCAAAGAAGCATGTGGAATTCCCAAATCTTTTTTTTTTTTTGACACAGAGTCTTGGTCTGTTGCCCAGGCTGGAGTGCAGTGGCGCCATCTCGGCTCACCGCAACCTCCGCCTCCCGGGTTCCAGCGATTCTCCTGCCTCAGCCTCCCGAGTAGCTGGGACTACAGGCGCCTGCAACTACGCCCAGCTAATTTTTGTATTTTTAGTAGAGACGGGGTTTCATCATATTGGACAGGCTGGTCTCGAATTCCTGACCTCATGATCCGCCCGCCTCGGCCTCCCAAAGTGCTGGGATTACAGGCGTGAGCCACCACGTCCAGCAGAATTCCCAAATCTTTAAAGACAGTTCCTTTACAGGTTATTTAAGTGGATAATTGCCTGTAAAACACCAACATGATTACAGTCTATTCAGTTCCTCCAGAACAGCGACAAAGCAGCTGTGTTTGGTTTTTCTTGTTTTTTGTTTTGTTTGAGACTAAGTCTCACCCAGGCTGGAGTACAGTGGCATGATCTCAGCTCACTGCAACCTCTGCCTCCCGGGTTCAAGTGATTCTCCTGCCTCAGCCTCCTGATTAGCTGGGACTACAGGTGCCTGCCACCATGCCCAGCTAATTTTTGTATTTTTAGCAGAGACGGGGTTTTGCCACATTGGCCAGGCTGTTCTCGAACTCCTGACCTCAGATGATCCACCCGCCTCGGCCTCCCAAAGTGCTGGGATTACAGGTGTGAGCCACCACACCTGGCTAATTTTTGTATTTTTAGTAGAGACGGGGTTTACCACGTTGGCCAGGCTGGTCTCGAACTCCTGACCTCAGGTGATCTGCTCGCCCTGGCCTCCCGAAGTGCTGGGATGACAGGTGTGAACCACTACGCCCAGCTGGCAGTTGTATTTTAAGTAACAAAGCTCGTGGCATGTCAGAAAGTGCCTGCATCTTTCAAACTTGTTCAGTAGTAACATTAAAATTATTTTAGGGGTGCAGAGACAAAGCCATTTCTGTGAGTCCCCTGAGGCTGACACAAAAAATGCCACAAACTGGGGAGTTCGACAACAGGAATTTACTTTCTTACAGTTCCGGGGGCCAGAAGTCTGAGATCAAAATGTCTCAGGTCCGTGCTCCCTCAAGGAGCTCTAGGGGAGGGTCCTTCCTGTCTCTCCCAGCTCCTGGGGGCTCCAGGCATCCCTGGGCTTGTGGCCGCGTCATTCCAGGCTCTGTCTCCGTCTCCACGTGGCCTTCTCCTCTGTGTCTGCGTCTCCTCTTCTGTCTTTTACCAGGGCACCTGTCATTGGATTTAGGGCCCAGCCTAATCCAGGAGTATCTCATCTTGAGATCCTTAACTCATTAAATCTGCAAAGTTCTTATTTCCAAATAAGGTCTCATTCCAGGTTCTGGGCTCTAGGATATGGACATATCTTTCCAGGATCCGCTGTTCAACCCATTACAATTGGATCCAGTTCCCTCCGGAGGCTCCTTCCTGTCTCTCCCAGCTCCTGGGGGCTCCAGGCATCCCTGGGCTTGTGGCCGCGTCATTCCAGGCTCTGTCTCCGTCTCCACGTGGCCTTCTCCTCTGTGTCTGTGTCTCCTCTCCTGTCTCTTAGAAGGACACCTGTCATTGCATTTAAGGCCCACCCAGACAATGCAGGATTATTTTCTCTCAAGATCCACAACGGAATGAATCTGCAAAGACCCTCTTTTCCAAATGAAACCCCCTCCCCAAATAGCAGGGCTCAGGACACGGACATATCTCTGGGGGCCACCATCCAACCCAGCATGGGAGGCCCTCGATCTGGGTTTGCAGGTGGGGAAGGCTGCTGAGAGTAGGGACAGGGGCGGCTCACGTGGCAGCCAGCACAGGGGCTCTTCGGCAAAGCGTGTTGCCGGGAGGCAAACAGGGTCCCCAGAGAGTCAGTAGAAAGAGGAACCTGGCTCGCAGCGGGGTCCTGTCCCTGGCTGAGTGTCACCAACACTCACTCTGTGTTCGAAGTGGGGGAGGGAGGGGAGGAGGTTTGCCACCCCCACCCCTGCCCCCCGGGAGGACATGACCAAAACAGAGATAAGCAAATCCATGTTCTTGCTCGTGTATCTTCAGTGATGTGGTCCCACTCCTCATAAACCTAGACAGGACTTTATTTCCAAATAGAAAAATGAGGCCAGGCGTGGTGGCTCACGTCTGTCATCCCAGCACTTTGAGAGGCCGAGGTGGGTGGATCACCTGAGGTCAGGAGTTCAAGACCAGCCTGGCCACCACAGTAAAACCCTGTGTCTACTAATAATACAAAAATGAGCTGGATGTGGTGGCACACGCCTGTAGTTCCAGATATTCAAGAGGCCGAGGCAGGACAATCGTTTGAACCCGGGAGGCGGAGGTTGCAGTGAGGCAAGATCACAGCGCTGCACTCCAATCTGGGTGACAGAGCGAGATTTCGTCTCAAAAAATAATAATAATAATCAATAAAAATGAAAACTCGCCGGGCGTGGTGGCTCATGCCTGTAATCCCAGCACTTTGGGAGGCCGAGACAGGCAGATCACAAGGTCCAGATATCGAGACCATCCTGGCTAACACGGTGAAACCCCATCTCTACTAAAAATACAAAAAATTAGCCGGGCGTGGTGGTGCGCGCCTGTAATCCCAGCTACTCGGGAGGCTGAGGCAGGAGAATCACTTGAACCCGGGAGATGGAGGTTGCAGTGAGCCAAGATCGCACCACTGCACTCCAGCCTGGGCAACAGAGTGAAACTTTGTCTCAAATAATAATAATAATAAAAAATAAAAATGAAAACTAAGACGGGGCAATATAGTGAGACCCCTATGTCTACAAAAATAAATAATTAGCCAGCCATGGTGGTGAGCACCTGTGGTCCCAGCTGCTCAGGAGGCTGAGGTGGGAGGATCGGTTCAGGCCAGGAAGTTGAGGTTGCAGTGAGCTATATAATGTCACCATGGCACTCTAGCCTGGGGCAACAGAGCAAGACCTTATGTCTCCATAAATAAATACAGAAAAACGAAAGTGAAAATGAAAACGCATCAGAAAGTCAAACACAGGCCAAAAGTCTGCAAAGCACCGTCACAGGGATGCACAGAGTGCTTCCAGGGGTCTGATATTTACGTCCCTTGAAGTCGGACCGAAAACATTCAGATGTAAGCCTGGACATGGTATCTGAGAAGACACAGCCACCTCCTTCCAAGACGTAGTTCACAAGAGGGCCCTGGGACTCTCCGGCCAGCTCTGTGAGCTTTGGAAGATGGGCGTAGAGTCTGTCACAGGAAGGAAGGCTGGATAGCAGCCCTGTGGTAAAGTTAAAAGGTCAGGCTTAAAAATCCCCACCTCTCCCAGGACAGAACCGAGAGATTCAGGCCACCCTGGGCCAGACAGGCGGCCCCAGCTGCTTGGCCTGGAAAACCACCCAGGGGATTGTAATGGGTCATTTCCCTCTGGCGGGGAGGTTGTGTCTCCCAGAACCTCGGAGCCTGGGTGCTGCTGGGGGCTTTCCTGGTTTTAGCACACCCAAAATCCTATGTCCACGGCAGCCCATTGGTCGTCACAAACAGGGCTGGGGGTGGCGGCGGCTCAGAGCAATGGGCCTCTGTTGACTTCTAAAGAATTAACGTGGCCGGGCGCAGGGCCTCTCGCCTGTAATCCCAAGACTTTGGGAGGGCTAGGTTGGAGGATCACCTGGGGTCAGGAGTTCGAGACCAGCCTGGCCAACATTTAGTAGAAACCCCGTCTCTACCAAAAATACAAAAATTAGCTGGGTGTGGTGGCGTGTACCTGGAATCCCAGCTACTCGGGAGGCTGAGGCAGGAGAATCACTTGAACTCGGGAGGCGGAGGTTGCAGTGAGCCGAGATCACACCACTGCACTCCAGCCTAGATGACAGAGTGAGACTCCGTCTCAAAAAACAAAAAAAAAAATTAGCTGGGCATGGTGGTGCACGCCTGTAGTCCCAGCTACTTGAGAAGCTGAGGTGGGAGGATCACTAGAACCCAGGAGTTCAAGGCTGCTGTGAGCCATGATTGTGCCAATGCACTCCAGCCTGGGCAACAGAGTGAGACCCTACCTCAAAATAAGTACATAAATAAGAGAATAAGAAAACAATTACATTAACAATAACACCAAAAAGAATAAAACAGTTAGAAATTAATCATGAAAGTAGATTTGTACACCGAAAACTAAAAAAAAACATTAAAAAACAACAACAGGCCGGGCGCGGTGGCTCACGCCTGTCATCCCAGCACTTTGGGAGGCCGAGGCAGGCGGATCATGAGGTCAGGAGATCGAGACCATCCTGGCTAACACGGTGAAACCCCGTCTCTACTAAAAATACAAAAAATTAGCTGGGCATGGTGGTACACGCCTGTAGTCCCAGCTACTCGGGAGGCTGAGGCAGGAGAATGGCGGGAACCCGGGAGGCGGAGCTTGCAGTGAGCTGAGATCACACCACTGCACTCCAGCCTGGGCCACAGAGCGAGACTCCGTCTCAAAAAGAAAAACAAAACAAAACAAAACAAAACAAAAAAACAGATTCAAAAAATTAGAGATATAAATAAATAGAAAGACATCCCAGGTTGCCTCTTGTCTTGTTCCCAAGTTACTTACGGCTCTGTTTTGGGGAAATCATTTAGAAAGTTTTGGTCAGGTTGTTTGAATGTAGTATTTTAAATTATAGGGTTTTTTTGTTTTGTTTTGTTTTTATTTCTTTTTTTTCCTTATTAATACGTTTCACCTAATGACACATTTCCCATAAGTTATAGTTTTAATATACGCAGTAAATACATAGTACGTGAAACATTGCATTAAAGTTTGGGCGTAAGAGGCGATCTGGTGATAGTTTGCAGGAACATAACCAGTAGGTGTGGCAAGCATTACCTCATGCGTAAGAAAAGGCCAGGGCCACCAGGCATGGTGGTTCACGTCTGTAATCCCAGCATTTTGGGGGCCAAGGCAGGAGGATCACCTGAGGTCAGGAGTTCGAGATCAGCCTGGCCAACATGGTGAAACCCCGTCTCTACTAAAAATATAAAAATTGGCCAGGCGTGGTGGCACACACCTCGTGTAATCCCAGCTACTCAGGAGGCTGAGGCAGGAAAATCGCTTGAACCTGGGAGGCAGAGGTTTCACTGAACCGAGATCGTGCCATTGCACTCCAGCCTGGGGGACAAGAGTGAAACTGTCTCAAAAAAAAAAAAAAAAAAGAAAAGAAAAAGAAAAAGAAAAAAAACAGAGGGTTGGGTGCAGGGGCTCATGCCTGTAATCCCAGCACTTTGGAAGGCTGAGGCGGGTGGATCACAAGATAAGGAGTTCAAGATCAGCCTGGGCAACATGGTGAAACCCTGTCTCTACTAAAAATACAAAAATTAGCTAGGCATTATGGCACGCGCCTGTAATCCCAGCTACTCAGGAGGCTGAGGCAGGAGAATCGCTTGAACTCAGGAGGCGGAAGTTGCAGTGAGCCAAGATCGTGCCACTGCACTCCAGCCTGGGTGACAAGAGTGAGACTCCATCTCAAAAAATAACAGAGGGCCAGGTGCGGTGGTTCGCACCTGTCATCCCAGAACTTTGGGAGGCTGAGGAGGGCGGATCACAAGATCAGGAGTTCGAGACCAGGAGTTCAAGATCAGGAGTTCAGCCTGTGCAACATGGTGAAACCGCATCTTTACTAAAAATACAAAAATTAGCCGGGCATGGTGGCGCGTGCCTGTAATCCCAGCTACTCAGGAGGCTGAGGCAGGAGAATCGCTTGAACCTGGGAGGCAGATGTTGCAGTGAACCAAGATTGTGCCACTGCACTCTAGCCTGGGTGACAAGAGGAAAACTCCGTCTGAAAAAAAAAAAATACAGAGTTGGCTGTTGCAGGTCCCATAGTGTTGGGAGGTCACCTCTTGTGGGCTGTAACCAAGATGGGCTGGCCCTCTTCAAGTTTTCTTTCTTTTTCTTTTTTTTTTTTTTTTTTGAGACAGAGTCTCGCTCTGTCGCCCAGGCTGGAGTGCAGTGGCGCGATCTCGGCTCACTGCAAGCTCCGCCTCCCAGGTTCACGCCATTCTCCTGCCTCAGCCTCCCGAGTAGCTGGGACTACAGGCACCCGCCACCACACCCGGCTAATTTTTTGTGTTTTCAGTAGAGACGGGGTTTCAGCATGTTGGCCAGGATGGTCTTGATCTCCTGACCTCGCGATCTGCCCGCCTCGGCCTCCCAAAGTGCTGGGATGACAGGCGTGAGCCACCGCGCCCGGCCTCATCAACAGTTTTCTGACACTGTGGGTGCTGTTTAAAGTTCAGGAGCAGCTTGAGTCTCCAGGGCAAACCAGGAATCAGCTCGCAGGGAGCAGTTGGTCTTTTATTTTTATCCTTCATGCTCTCCGTGTCTGTTGGCTGGCACCCGGCGGGAGTGTACTGCTCATCCCTCTCTGCTTCTTACCTCCTCAGTCCTGCTTCCTGGGTTCAGCTGCCCCAAACCAAATACTCACAGCTTCCTGGATGGCAAGGACCCGCTAGGCTGCAGGTCTGACACCCACAGGCCTCCAAGCCGGTCCCAACAAGCCCCTCGCCGCCCCACTGCACCCCAAACCAACCATCTCTCACCAGCCTGGATGCTACTCCACACCTCAGCAAGTCCGGTACCTTCTTGGAGATGCCAGGCGTAATAACAAACAGAAAAGGCCATATTTGCTTGTCAGCATACTATTTATTTATTTATTTATTTTGAGACAGAGTTTACTCGTCACCCAGGCTGGAGTGCCGTGGCACGGTCTCGGCTCACCGCAACCTCCGCCTCCCGGGTTCAAGCGATTCTCCTGCCTCGGCCTCCTGAGTAGCTGGGATTACAGGCACCCGCCACCATGCCCGGCTAATTTGTGTATCTTTAGTAGACACAGGGTTTCACCGTCTTGGCCAGGCTGGTCTCAAACTCCCAACCTCAGGCGATCTGCCCACCTCGGCCTCCCAAAATGCTGGGATTACAGGTGTGAGCCACCGTGCCCGGCCTACACTCCAGCTTGGGCCACAGAGTGAGACCTTGTCTTGAAAAAAAAAAAGAGAAAACCCTAATTAACATGCTATTTAAAAAAAAAAACATTGATCTCTCTCTGTGATGTTTGAGTTTCTTTTTTTTCTTTTTCTTTTCTTTTTTTTTTTTTTTGAGACGGAGTCCCACTCTGTCCCCCAGGCTGGAGTGCAGTGGCGCGATCTCAGCTCACTGCAACCTCCACCTCCCGGGTTGAAGTGATTCTCCTGCCTCAGTCTCCTGAATAGCTGGGATTACAGGCACCCGCCACCACCACGCCTGGCTAATTTTTGTATTTTAAGTAGAGACAGGGTTTCACCATGTTGATCAGACTGGTCTCGAACTCCTGATCTCAAGTGATCCACCCGCCTCGGCCTCCCAAAGTGCTGGGATTACAGGCGTGAGCCACCACGCCCGGCCTGATGTTTGCATTTCTATCCATACTGGTTTACTAGCGGAGTGACTGAGTTTCTAAAATACTAATATTAAAAATACTTGGCCAGGTGCGGTGGGTGCCTGTCATCCCAGCTACTCGGGAGCCTGAGGCAGGAGAATTGCTTGAACCAGGGAGGCGGAGGTTGCAGGGAGCCGACATCGCGCTACTGCACTCCAACCTGGGAGACAGAGTGAGACTCCATCTCACAAAAAAGAAAGAAAGAAAGAAAAAAAACTCCCAGGAAGCAGTGTTGAATATCTTCCCAAGTCCTAGTTACCTACAAATGACTGCTCCGTCTGAAGCCGCGGCTGACTGAATGTTTTAAGGGGACACCACCTTCCTTCCCAGCCTGTTCCCTCCAGGAAAATAGTAGAGGACAGAGGCTCCAAGAAGTAGATTTGGGAACTGCAGACAAGTTGCTTCCTGTGAACTGAGCGGAGAGAGAGAGAAACCCTCTGAGAGGGCAGAGGGCAGGATCCCAGGGAGTCGCACCCGGGAGGGCTGTGGCTGTGGCTGTGAGCCTTCTCATGTGGCTCCCCAACGCCAAGGCAGGCAGCCACTGAACAATTGTGAATAACCATTTCCCACCCTGTAACGTGCTGTCTCTACTGAGAAGCTGGCGGGGGAGCATGACTCCAGATGGCCTCGAGATGGTCTTTGGGATTCAACAGCAGGGAGAAGCCAGTGGTACCCAAGTTGACGTCCATTCAGCCTAGGTCTCAGCAGCATCCCAAGTTCACTTCCATTCAGCCTAGGTTTCGGCAGCATCTCTGACGTCTGCCTTCTCCCAACTGCTTCAGAGTGGATGGGTAGTCAGCTCGGCCGCCGTAATAAAACACTGCAAACTGGGTGGACTGTAAACAACAGACATTGTTTCTCCCACAGTCCTGGAGGCTGGAGGTCTGAGATCCAGGTGTGGGCAGGGCTGGTTCCTCCTGAGGCCTCTCTTGTGGACTTAGAGACATCGACTTCTCCCTGTGTCCTCACAGGGTCATCTCTCTGTGTGTGTCTGTGTCCTCATCTCCTCTTCTTATGAGGTGTCTTAGTCCATCTCAGGCTGCTGTCACAGAATACCGTAGACTGGGGGGCTTATACACAACAGACATTGATTCTCCCACAGTCCTGGAGGGTGGAGGTCTGAGATCCAGGTATGGGCAGGGCTGGTTCCTCCTGAGGCCTCTCTCCTGGGCTTGGAGACGCCGTCTTCTCCCTGTGTCCTCACAGGGTCATCTCTCTGTATGTGTCTGTGTCCTCATCTCCTCTTCTTATGAGGTGTCTTTGTCCATTTCGAACGACTATCCCAGAATACCATAGACTGGGCAGCTTAGAAACAACAAACATTGATTCTCCCACAGTCCTGGAGGCTGGAGGTCTGAGATCCAGGTATGGGCAGGGCTGGTTCCTCCTGAGGCCTCTCTCCTGGGCTTGGAGATGCCGTCTTCTCCCTGTGTCCTCACAGTGTCGTCCCTCTGTGTGTGTCTGTGTCCTCATCTCCTCTTCTTATGAGGACACCGGTCCTATTGGATCAGGGCCCACTCCTGGTGACCTCATTTTACTGTAGTTAACTCTTTAAAGAGGTAACCTCCAAATACAGCCACATTGTGTGGTCCTAGGGGTTAGGACTTTAACGTATGAATTTGGGAGGGTACAATGCAGCCTGTAACAGACACAACACTCAGAAAATATATACTGAGCTCGCTGTTTGTAATAAAGGGCTCTCCCTTTAATTTTTAAGACAGGGTCCTGCTCTGTCACCCAGGCTGGAGTGCAGTGGTGTGAGTTCAATTCAGTTCCGAACAGTGAGTACAGTGCAGTTCAGCTCACTGCAGCCTCAAGCTTCCAAATAAAAAACTGTCTTAGCATCATCCAATGAGTACTGACTACTTTTAAATAGTGAATACGCAGCCGGGCGCAGTGGCTCATGCCCGTAATCCCAGCACTTTGGGAGGCCGAGGCGGGTGGATCACCTGAGGTCAGGAGTTCAAGACCAGCCTGACCAACATGATGAAACCCTGTCTCTACTAAAAAAAAAATACAAAAAAAAAAAAAAATTAGCCAGGTGTGGTGATGTATGCCTGTCTTCCCAGCTACTTGGGAGGCTGAGGCAGAATCATTTGAACCTGGGAGGAGGAAGTGACAGTGAGCGGAGACGGTGCCATTGCACTCCAGGTTGGGAGGCAGAGCGAGACTCAGTCTCAAAAGAAAACAAATAGTGACTATGGACATACATATTTTTAAAAATTAGTATTTTCACATAAAGCATAAAGTAATATCCAATATATCCAAGAGAAGCTGTCCTTAAGTTTAACCCATTTTCTAATCCTAAACTAACCCTTCTGAGGCAATGGTCCCGCATACATGGAGGCCAAACTCATTTTTTTTTTTTAAAGCCTAATTGAAAAATACCGCATTAGGAGAAAAACACATAAAATCCCCCTCGGATTACCTGACCTCGCTCCCTGGGGCCCAGGGCCAAAAAGAGGAAGCTTTTCCATCTATTGTTGCTCTGGCCAGTTTCATAACCGCCATGCACCAAGCTCAGTCTGCAGATGACAGATCGCAGCTAAGAGCAGCTTGCTGGGTCTCCGGAGGCTGCTGGTGTCTGTCTCAAGGTGCGGTGCAGGCACAGCCAGTGGGATTTTTTTCCCAGCAGAGCAGAGAGCTGGCCCTCCACTCCTGCTCCTGTGCGGAGCTCACTCCCATAGGGCAGCCGCCTCTGGCCCAGGAGGAGGGTCCCCCAGGACCCCCTGCCTAGCTTGACGGCTGCTCAGACAAGCACCACCAGACCAGCATCACCCAGGACGTCTGCCCTCCCTGCAGCCACCGTTGTAAGTCACGGGGACCTGGGAGTGTTCGGGTAGGAGAGGCTGCTCTGCAGAAATACCCCAGCTAGCAGGGCATATCCAGGCCAGAGACGCTGCTGAATGCCAGAGAAAGCCCTCAGCTCAGCCTCCCTTTGGGGTGTGTGATTTTTAACCCGGGCTCACCAGAGTGCTGCAAAAGGACACACAGCCTCCAGGCAGGAGCTGTGCCATTTGCACAAGCTCTCGAGGGTCGCAGAGAGGGCTGAGGTTGGCCTAAAACAGACCCCCTTCTTGCACATCTTCAGACGTTGCCGCAAGAAAAGAGCAAAATCGTCTTGTCCGTTTTAACGGAGATTCCCAGTTTGCAAGCCAATTGTTCCTTTGACGAGGGGTACAGGCCGGCCCACGCCGAGATGCTGGGTTGGGTGGCTCTCGGATGAAGAAAGTCCCACCTTCTTTAAAATGCGCTCTCCCAGAAATCTTCTTCACACCTGTCTTTGGCTTTTATTTTGCTTTTGTTTTGTGGGGAGGAGACGTTGTTCTTGGTTTTTCGCTAATAAAAATAGTTCACGTCGACTGAGTGAGGAGGAAGCAGCAGCCACTTTTACAAGGGCTTTATCTCTGCGATCTTTCCTTCCTTCCCTCCCTCCCTCCTCCCTCCTTCCTCCTTCCTCCTCCTTCCCTCCCTCCTCCTTCCTCCTTCCTCCTCCTTCCTCCTTCCCTCCCTCCCTCCTTCCTCCTTCCTCCCTCCCCCTCCCCTCCCCTCCCCTCCCCTCCCCTCCCCTCCCCTCCCCTCCTCTCCTGTCCTCTCTTCTCCTCTCCTTTCTTTCCTTTCTTGTCTCGCACTGTTGCCCAGGCTGGAGTGCAGTGGCGTGACCTCTGCTCACTGCAACCTCCGCCTCCCGGGTTCAAGTGATTCTCCTGCCTCAGCCTCCCACGTAGCTGGGATTACAGGCGCCCACCCCAACGCCCGGCTAATTTTTTGTATTTTTTAGTAGAGATGGGGTCTCACTATGTTGACCAGGCTGATCTCGAACTCCCGACCTCATGATCCACCCGCTTCGGCCTCCCAAAGTGCGCCTGGCCTGATCTCTGGGATTTTCGAAACTTCGTGAGACAGGTGCTGTTACAATCATCCCTGTTTTACCAGTAACGGAAACTGAGGCAGACATGGAGGCGGGGGTGTGTTCAAGACCTACAACCAGAAAGAGGCAGAGGTGGGCGCTGAGTGCTGCTCGTTAGCCTTGAACCACTGCACTGGGGAATTAGTGATGAATGATACGTGACTGCCTTTGAAACAACCATGTCTCAGCCCAGGGCAGGTGGCCTGGGCTCCGTGGGCCCTCTCTCTGGAACTAGGACAATTCTGTCCCTCAACTGGGAGCCCAACCTGCCTACCCCTAGTGCTTGAGGCATAACTGTCTTCTATGGCCAGCAATAGAAACTTGAGTCGAGCTAGCTGAAGTCAAGGTGGAAATTGTCAAATTGGATAATTAGGATTTCTATGGGGGCTTCAGGCATGGCTGGATCCAGGAGCTTACATGGTTGTCAGTTTCTCCTCTTTCTCTTTCTCTCTTCCCACGTTTCAGCCCCACCTTTTTCTGCCTCCCTCAGCTGCAGGGTGTGGAATCACTGGAGGAAGACCACTTTCTCTATAGGGATGGAAAGAGGGTCTCTGGTAGCCTGGGGTCCCCATCTTTTCAGAGCAGAATCAAATGGGAAAAGAGACACCCTCTCTCTCCTGGCACCCACAAGTTACACCTCCTGAAGGGTTCCGACCAGCCATGTCAGAAACAAATGACCACTGCTTGAGATAATTTTTATGAACAGGGTGAGGGTGGCCCCCTAACTGGCCAGGCTTGGGCCACACCCCTCTCTTGGGTGATTGACAGGCTTTGGCCACACACCCCCATCTTCAGTGATTGACAGGCTTGGACCACACCCCCCTATCCTCAGTGATTGAAAGGCTTGGACCACACCCCTCTCCTCATTGATTGGCAGTCCTGGAGAACCACACAGCCCAGACAGGGAGTGACCCCAGGGGCGAGGGGTGCTGGGTGCACAGTTTCCATGGATGCAGCAGAGAGGTCAGGGCCAGTAGCAAGCTGGACCAAAGTGGACCGGAGGGAGGCGGTGGGGCTAACGTCCACACTGCCCCTGCCGCCTTCTGTCCATTCCATCACTCATTCACTCTGCATTCTCAGAGTGGCATTCATTCATGCATTCATTCATGCATTCATTCATTTACTCATTTGCTCCACACATTCCATCACTCATTCGCTCTGCATTCTCAGAGTGGCATTCATTCATTCATTCATTCATTTACTCATTTGCTCCACACATTCCGTCACTCATTGGCTGTGCATTCTCAGAGTGGCATTCATTCATTCACTCATTTACTCATTTGCTCCACACATTCCATCACTCATTCGCTCTGTATTCTCAGAGTGGCATTCATTCATTCATTCATTCATTTACTCATTTGCTCCACACATTCCGTCACTCATTGGCTGTGCATTCTCAGAGTGGCATTCATTCATTCACTCATTTACTCATTTGCTCCACACTTGTCAGGAACTAGTGGGCATCATGCATTCACTCTTTCATTTATTCACTCCACTTTTAGGGAGAAAACCCTACACGTCATTGATTTATGTATTCACCCATTCGTTTATCAAGCAAGTCCTGTGTGCTACTCATTCCTTCATTCCCTCCACATTTGCAGGAATGAATCTCTGTGTGTCATTCATTAATTCCCTTCACATTTGTGGGGAATCCCCGGATGTCATTCATTAATTCCCCCCACATTTGTGGGGAATATCTGGGTATCATTCATTCATTCTCTCTACATTTGCAGAAGTGAATCTGGGGTATCATTCATTCATTCCCCCCACATTTGCAGTGAATATCTGGGTATCATTCATTCATTCTCTCTACATTTGCAGAAGTGAATCTGGGGTATCATTCATTCATTCCCTCCACATTTGTGGAGAATCCCTGGATGTCATTCATTCATTCCCCCCACATTTGCAGGGAATATCTGGGTATCATTCATTCATTCTCTCTACATTTGCAGAAGTGAATCTGGGGTATCATTCATTCATTCCCCCCACATTTGTGGGGAATATCTGGGTATCATTCATTCATTCTCTCTACATTTGCAGAAGTGAATCTGGGGTATCATTCATTCATTCATTCCCCCCACATTTGCAGGGAATATCTGGGTATCATTCATTCATTCTCTCTACATTTGCAGAAGTGAATCTGGGGTATCATTCATTCATTCCCCCCACATTTGCAGGGAATATCTGGGTATCATTCATTCATTCTCTCTACGTTTGCAGAAGTGAATCTGGGGTATCATTCATTCATTCCCCCCACATTTGTGGGGAATATCTGGGTATCATTCATTCATTCTCTCTACATTTGCAGAAGTGAATCTGGGGTATCATTCATTCATTCCCTCCACATTTGTGGAGAATCCCTGGATGTCATTCATTCATTCCCCCCACATTTGCAGGGAATATCTGGGTATCATTCATTCATTCTCTCTACATTTGCAGAAGTGAATCCGGGGTATCATTCATTCATTCCCTCCACATTTGTGGAGAATCCCTGGATGTCATTCATTCATTCCCCCCACATTTGCAGGGAATATCTGGGTATCATTCATTCATTCTCTCTACATTTGCAGAACTGAATCTGGGGTATCATTCATTCATTCCCTCCACATTTGCAGGGAATATCTGGGTATCATTCATTCATTCTCTCTACATTTGCAGAAGTGAATCTGGGGTATCATTCATTCATTCCCTCCACATTTGTGGAGAATCCCTGGATGTCATTCATTCATTCCCCCCACATTTGTGGGGAATATCTGGGTATCATTCATTCATTCTCTCTACATTTGCAGAAGTGAATCTGGGGTATCATTCATTCATTCCCCCCACATTTGTGGGGAATATCTGGGTATCATTCATTCATTCTCTCTACATTTGCAGAAGTGAATCTGGGGTATCATTCATTCATTCCCTCCACATTTGTGGAGAATCCCTGGATGTCATTCATTCATTCCCCCCACATTTGTGGGGAATATCTGGGTATCATTCATTCATTCTCTCTACATTTGCAGAAGTGAATCTGGGGTATCATTCATTCATTCCCCCCACATTTGTGGGGAATATCTGGGTATCATTCATTCTCTCTACATTTGCAGAAGTGAATCTGGGGTATCATTCATTCATTCCCTCCACATTTGTGGAGAATCCCTGGATGTCATTCATTCATTCCCCCCACATTTGCAGGGAATATCTGGGTATCATTCATTCATTCTCTCTACATTTGCAGAAGTGAATCTGGGGTATCATTCATTCATTCCCCCCACATTTGCGGGGAATATCTGGGTATCATTCATTCATTCTCTCTACATTTGCAGAAGTGAATCTGGGGTATCATTCATTCGTTCCCTCCACATTTGCAGGGAAGCCCTGGATGTCATTCATTCGTTCCCTCCACATTTGCAGGGAATATCTGGGTATCATTCATTCATTCTCTCTACATTTGCAGAAGTGAATCCTGGGTGTCAGTCATTCATTCCCTCCACATTTGTGAGGAATCCTTAGGTGTCATTCATTCATTCATTCTCTCCACTGTTGCAGGAGTAAATCTCTGAGTGATATTCATTCTCTCTACATTTACGGAAGTGAATCCTGGGTGTCAGTCATTCATTCCCTCCACATTTGTGAGGAATCCTTAGGTGTCGTTCATTCATTCATTCTCTCCACTGTTGCAGGAGTAAATCTCTGAGTGATATTCATTCCCTCTACATTTGTAGGGAATCCTTAGGTGTCAGTCATTCATTCCCTCCACATTTGTGGGGAATCTCTGGGTATCATTTATTCATTCTCTCTACATTTGCCGAAGTGAATCCTGGGTGTCATTCATTCATTCCCTCCACTTTTGTGGGGAAGCCCTGGGCATCATTCATTACTTTTCTCTACATTTGCAGAAGAGAATCTTGGGTGTCATTCATTCTTTCCCTGCACATTTGTGGGAATGAATCTCTGGGTGTCATTCATTCTTTCCCTCCACATTTGTGGGAGTGAATCCTAGGTATCATCCATTCATTCCCTCCACATTTGCAGGAGTGTACCCTGGATGCCATTCATTCATTCATTCCCTCCACATTTGTGGGAGTGAACCCTGGGTATCATTCATTCATTCCCTCCACATTTGCATAACTGAATCCTGGATGTCATTCATTCATTCTCTCCACATTTGTGTGGACGCTCTGAGTGTTATTCATACATGCACCCATTCATTCCCTCCACAGTCATTGGGAATGTCCTGTATCACACACACACACACACACACACACACACACCCTGCATTTACCAAGACCATCCTGGGTGCACAGCTCTAAGCTAAGGACAGCAGACCCAAAGGAGTTTGCAGCAGGTACCTGGTGGGGAGGAGAGGGTCTTCATGGAGGCAGGAGCTGGCACCCATGGGCTGGAATGAAATGCAGACTTCCAAGAGGCTCTGGCAGGTCCATGGTGGGCTGATGCCCCAAGAAGGAGGGTTGAAGGTGTCACTCAAGACTGTGCTGGGTGCAGACAGGCATAAGGAGCTGCATGGGCCAGAGGAATCACAGGAGCTAGGGCAAGGAGATATCTGTGAGTTGGTCCCACCGCTGTGGGGACACAGCTTTCTGCAGGGCCAGGTAGACCACTGTACCAAGGAAACTGGCATAAGCACATCATCTGTGCCTGACAGCGAGCAGGGGAAACACCACCCCAGCCTTTGAGTAGTAGTCACTTGGTAGCTTTGCATTCACCCCTTCCCAGGAGGGTGGTTTAGGGCAGAACCAGGCAGTGAGATTCCTCAGCTCGTTCTGCCTCTCCAGGAATAACTCAGGCAGGCTGAGGGGCTCCTGGGGGCTCAGCTGTTAGTGATACACTGGGGACCCTGTTGAGACCCACTTCTCTTCTTCTTCTTTTTTTTTTTTAGACAGAGTTTTGCTCTTGTTGGCCAGGCTGGAGTGCAGCGGCACGATCTTGGCTCACCGCAACCTCCACCTCCCAGGTTCAAGCGATTCTCATGCCTCAGCCTCCCAAGTTGCTGGGATTACAGACGCCCACCACCACGCCTGGCTAATTTTTTATAGTTTTAGTAGAGACGGGGTTTCACCGTGTTAGCCAGGATGGTCTCGATCTCCTGACCTCGTGATCCACCCGCCTCGGCCTCCCAAAGTGCTGGGATGACAGGCGTGAGCCACCGCGCCTGGCCCGGCCTTCTTTTTTACCCGTATTCTGACTTGTCCCCAACCCCTGCAAAGAGCAGGTGCAAATGCACCTGCCCAGCAGGCCAGGACTATGCTCCAGCCTCAGGGAGCACCAGGATGATACACTTCAGGTCTCTTCTCCTTGGGGAGCTCTCAGTATGCAGTATGGTCCCTGAAATCCCCTTGGGAGGGCAGGGAGGATGAGACAGGCAGCCAGAGACAGGTGCAGAGTTCAGGCTCAGAGGCGCAGGTGTGTTTCCACTCAGATGCGTGTATTTGGAGATTATTGCAAGGCAGAGTGCGGCATCTTCTACATGCCCAGAAAACCTACAGTCTGGGTCCCAAGCACCACGCCCCTTGTCACTCATGGCCCAGGTTCCTTATGCCCTCTGCCCCTCAGTGTCCCCATATGTAAAGCAAAGATGATAAGCGCGTCTTCCTAGGACGGGTGCACAAAAAAACGTTTGCAAACATTCAATGTGACGTCTGCTCTAAGAACAGGCGATGTCACCTGAGGACTCAAGCACACTTGACCTTCTCCTTCCCTGTCATCTCCAGGCAGCTAGGAAGGAAGCTCTGTGTGGCCGGGAAAGACAAGGAGGAAATTGAAACAATGCTGGACTTGAGAACTTGGACGCCTTTCACTGTGGCTCCCTGAGGGACACCGTGAGGTCACTGGTTCACACAGTGGTGGCCACTGCTTCCCCTCCACTCAGGCCCAGCCAAGCTCAAATCAGCCATAGTGACCACAGACAGGGAAGGCTTGCGCAGCCGGCCCCAGACACCCCGGTAGGGACCTGAGGGATGAGGAGGCCAGGCTGGCTACGGCCCCAGTGACGACTGCATCCCCCAAAAGCGGAAGCTCGGCCCTGGGGCTGCCCTGTCCCGGGGAGAAAGGGTCAGCCTGGCTGTGACCGGGGCTCTCTGAGGGACAGGAAGACCCAAGCAACAAGCGGGGGAGCACTGAGACTGCAGGAGCATTCAGGACTCAGCGCGGGCAGGGAGTCAGCCAGGAGGGTGTAGGGGAAGGGCCAGCTCAGACGCAGGAAGTAAACCAGAAACCTGAGGAATGTCCTTCCTGCTTCAAGAGACAATTGTTTCTTGTTGAGATTATGCTTGACATGAACTCACCGTTTTAAAGCGAATAACTGGGGGACATTTAGGACCTTCACAGTGCTGGGCAACAGCCGCCTCTGTCTATTTCCACCACTTTGTCATTCCTGCAAAAGGAAACACCCCCTTTAGGGGGAAAGTCACTCCCCGTTTCCCCATCCCCAGTCCCAGCCATGGTCATCTGCTTTCTCTCTATATGGATCAGCATGTTCTGGGCATTTTATTGAAATGGAGTCCTACACCATGTGGCCTTCTGTGTCTGGCTTCTCTCCCTGAGCATGATGTCTTCAAGGTTCATCCACAGTGTAGCCTCGGTCACAGCCTTCTTCCTTTTCATGGCTGTATACTATTCCACTGTGTGCATGGGGGGGCCACGTTGTGTTTATCTGTCTGTCTGTTGACGGACACTTGGGCTGTTTCCACCTTTTGGCTGTTGTGAAGAGTGCTGCAGGGAACGTTCATATGCAAGTTTTTATGGGTGCAACCATTTTTTGTTGTTGTTGAGACAGAGTTTCACTCTTTTCACCCAGCCTGGAGTGCAATGGCATGATCTCCGCTCACTGCAACCTCCGCCTCCCGGGTTCAAGCGATTCTCCTGCCTCAGCCTCCCAAGTGGCTGGGATGACAGGTGCCTGCCACCACTCCCAGATAATTTTGTATTTTTAGTAAAGACAGGGTTTCACCATGTTGGCCAGGCTGGTCTTGAACTCCTGGCCTCAGGTGATCCACCTGTCTCAGCTTCCCAAAGTGCTGGGATTATAGGTGTGAGCCACCACACCTAGCCCCTTTTTATACATTTTCTAATGCTACCTTCACTTACCAAAATGACATGCAGAAATAATGTATTATACATATAATTATATATACACATAAGGTGATCTATAAAATATGTTGTATATAATTTTATATATGCTATGTTCAATATGTTACATATAATACACAAATTATATATAACATATAAATGATACTATACAATATATCGTATATAATTATTAAATATACATACAATATAACATGTTTAATTTATAATAAAATAAGTTGTAAATAAATTATTATATAACAATAATATATATAAATAATATATGTAATATTATATAATAATAATTTATACATTATATCACTTTATATGATTATGTATATTATTTACATATTAAATTTACATATCCATATAGCCTTAATTACAATATAAAAGAGAAACAAAAGTAAATAAAATGTTAATAAGGTAATATTTAATTTAATGTGTACACATTTACCCATAATTTACAGTAAGGCATCATTAAGGGGCTGGGCGCAGTGGCTCACGCCTGTAATCCTAGCATTTTGGGTGGCCAAGGCAAGTGGATTGCCTGACCTCAGGAATTTGAGACCAGCCTGGGCAACATGGTACAATGCCCATCTTTGCTAAAATTCAAAAATGTAGCTGGGCGTGGTGGTGCACACCTGTAGTTCCAGCTACTCGGGAGGCTGAGGCACGAGAACTGCTTGAAGCCCAGAGGTGAAGGTTGCCGTGAGCCGCCATGAAGCCACTGCACTCCAGCCTGGACGACCGAGTGAGAAACCACCTTCAAAAGAAGAAAAAAGACATTACTAAGGGCTGGGTGCAGTGGCTCAGACCTGTAATCTCAACACTTTTGGAGGCTGAGGCAGGAGGATTTCTTGAGTCTAGGACTTGGAGACCAGCCTGAGCAACAAACTGCAATCCTGTCTCTAAAAAAAAAAAAAAAAAAAAAAAAAGACATTATTACATCATTAAGGAATCAGATGTTTGCTTAACAAATTCTCCACCTGTCTTTATTTGTCTCCAGCTTTTACCTAGGAGGAGAATTGGTGCATGACATGGTTAACTATTTGAGGACACACCAGGTGATTTTTGGAGTCAATTTGCAAACACGCAGGACTTGAATGGGACACAGAGGATTCTAGTTTTTGCTCAGGAAGGTTCCCCAGCTGCCGCTTCTTCTTCTTCTTCTTCTTTTTTTTTTTTTTTTTTTTTTTTACAGGGTTTTGCTCTGTCACGCAGGCTGGAGTGCAGTGGTGTGATCTCAGCTCACTGCAACCTCCGCCTCCCGGGTTCCAGCAATTCTCCCGTCTCAGCCTCCCGAGTAGCTGGAATGACAGGCACCTGCCATGACACCCGGCTAATTTTTTTTGTATTTTTAGTACAGACGAGGCTTTGCCTTGTTGACCAGGCTGGTCTCGAACTTCCGACCTCATGATCCGCCCGCCTCAGCCTCCCAAAGTGCTGGGATGACTGGCGTGAGCCACCGCGCCCGGCCTGTAATGTTAATTTCTTGTGCTGAGGGGTAGCCTAGGATGGGTACTGCTTTGAAATCTTTTAAAATATCCTTTTCTGTGGGCCTGAGAACCTCCCTTAGGTCACAAAGAGAACAAAGAAATGAGTCTCTGTCTATGATCACTGCTACCTTGGGACCCTTTCACCTTTCAGAGGAGAGAGATTGAAACTGGCTCACACGTGGGGAAATACGTATACTGGAGGCTTGTCACAGCTGAGGGTTCCCGTCATTGGGGGTTTGGGTCCAGGGAGCAAGAGAAAAACACACTCCTTTGTGTTCAAAGATGAAAATCTTTCCTGAGTTTAGGGGAGCCCAGCTTTGGGTTTAGGGGAACCCAGCTTTTTAGGTATATAAGGGCCCAGCTTTGGGTTTAGGGGAGTCCAGCTTTGGGTCTAAGGGAGCCCAGCTTTGAGTTGAGGGGAGCCCAGCTTTGGGTTTAGGGGAACCCAGCTTTGGGTTTAGGGGATCCCAGCTTTGAGTTTTAGGGAAACCCAGCTTTGGGTTTAAGGGAGCTCAGGTTTGGGTTTAGGAGAGCCCAGCTTTTGGTCTAAGGCAGCCCAGCTTCAGGTTTAAAGGAGGTCAGCATTGGGTTTAGGAGAGCCCAGCTCTGTGGTTAAGGGAGCTCAGCTTTGGGTTTAGGGGAGTCCAACTTTGGGTTTTGGGGAGCTCAGCTCTGGGTCTAAGGGAGCCCCTCTTTGGGTTTTAAGGAAGCCTGTTTTTGAGTCTAAGGGAGGGTAGCTTTGGGTTTTAATGGAGCTCCTGTTTGGGTTGTTTCTTTTTTTTCTCTCTCTTTAGACAAAGTTTTGTTCTTGTTGCCCAGGCTGGAGTGCAGTGGCGCAATGTTGGCTCACCGCGACCTCTGCCTCCCGGGTTCAAGCAATTCTCCTGCCTCAGCCTCCTGAGTAGCTGGGATTACAGGCATGCGCCTCCATGCCTGGCTAATTTTGTATTTTTAGTAGAGATGGGGTTTCTCCATGTTGGTCAGGCTGGTCTCGAACTCCCAGCCTCAGGTGATCCACCCACCTCAGCCTCCCAAAGTGCTGGGATTACAGGCATGAGCCACCACGCCTGGCTCCTGTTTGGGTTTTAAGGAAACCCCGCTTTGGATCTAAGGGAGCCCAGCTTTGACTTCGGGCAGGAACAAGGTAGTTGAGACCGTCTCGGTTTCTTCTCCAGGGATCTTTCTCTTTGACTGCTTTGCTGAGCACATGGCTGGAAACAGGATGAGCAGAATCCACCAGATCACAATTAAAGTATCCTAAGGCAAGTCCGCGTCAACTCACACTGAGCAACGATCTTTATTTATTTATTTAAATTAAAATAATTGATTTTATCTTTCATTTAAGTTTTAGGGTACATGTGCACAACGTGCAGGTTTGTTACATATGTATACATGTGCCATGTTGGTGTGCTGCACCCATTAACTCGTCATTTAGCATTAGGTATATCTCCTAATGCTATCCCTCCCCCGTCCCCCCACCCCACAACAGTCCCCGGTGTGTGATGTTCTCCTTCCTGTGTCCATGTGTTCTCATGGTTCAATTCCCACCTATGAGTGAGAACATGCAGTGTTTGGTTTTTTGTCCTTGCGATAGTTTGCTGAGAATGATGGTTTCGAGCTTCATCCATGTCCCTACAAAGGACATGAACTCATCATTTTTGATGGCTGCATAGTATTCCATGGTGTATATGTGCCACATTTTCATAAATGGTGCTGGGAAAACTGACTAGCCATATGTTGAAAGCTGAAACTGGATCCCTTCCTTACACCTTATACTAAAATTAATTCAAGATGGATTAAATACTTAAATTTAGATCTAAAACCATAAAATCCCTAGAAGAAAACCTAGGCACTACCATTCAGGACATAGGCATGGGCAAGGACTTCATGTCTAGAGCAACGATCTTTAAACAGAGAGCAGCTGTTAGGAAGTCAAGCCTGCGAACCTTCCTGTCACCTCTCTCTCATCTGTTAAATGAATCTGTCTGCCATAACCTGCTAAAACCATGGGCACTGTGGCTCAGTAACGGCAGAAGTGCTTAAATTTCAGCATACGTGCTATTTCCACACTCTTCTTTTGCAGCAGGGCAGGAGCCACACACTCAACCACTTTGGGTTTTTTTTTTTTTTTTCACCAAATGGCATTTCATGTTAATTAGCTTAATTCCACGTACAGTGGCTTCCTGCCTTCCAGAGTGAGGCCGATTTTGCTGCTGTTGAGACATCCTCACCCATACACACACACACACACACACACACACACACCACACACACAAATTAATTTTGTTTCAAAAAGGGGCTTCTTATGTTTCTCAGAATCTGCTCTCTGGCCAGCGATGAAGCCCCGTGCTATATACTCTGAGAATGAGATACAGAAATCAGAGAAACGCGGCCGCTGCCTTTGCAGAAGACGCAGATCAAAATCTCCACGGGGCGTCTGCGGAGGACAGCATGCAAATCTCGCTGGGCAAACGGTCTGCTTCGTTGGGTGATGCAATACAGGAAAATCAACACACAGCGGCAGAGCTCAGAGCATTTCCTACGCGTTTTTGTGCTTAGCTAGGAGGATTCTTGCCTTGTGATCTGAGGCCGACGCCAGCAGGTCCTCTATCCCCTGACGCCTGCCAGCTGCCAGTTCACTGGGGCTGGTGGGTCACTTTGAAGTCAGTAGAACACAGAGTTCGTTCAGAGGCAGGTGTTATCACAGAAACAGGGGTCACTGGGTCTACAAAGATGGGGAACTTTGAGGGTGCGAGGGTTGGAAGCTGAGCTCCACTAAACCCAAAGCTGGACTCTCCTAATCCCAAAGCTGGACTCTCCTAATCCCAAAGCTGGACTCTCCTAATCCCAAAGCTGGACTCTCCTAAACCCAAAGCTGGGCTCCTTAAACCCAAAGCTGGGATCCCTTAAGCCCAAAGCTGGGATCCCTTAAACCCAAAGCTTGAAGAAAATGTGACTACCTGGCCGGGCACGGTGGCTCACGCCTGTAATCCCAGCACTTTGGGAGGTCGAGGCAGGTGGATCACCTGAGGTCGGGAGTTCAAGACCAGCCCGGCTAACATAGTGAAATCCCATCTCTGCTAAAAACACAAAACTTAGCCAGGCGTGGTGGCAGGTGCCTGTCAGCTACTCTGGAGGCTGAGGCAGGAGAATGGCTTGAACCCGGGAGGCGGAGGTTGCAGGGAGCCGACGTTGTGCCATTGCACTCCAGCCTGGACCACAGAGCAAGACTCAGCCTCAAGAAAAAAAAAAAATGTATTGCGTGCTGCAGAGTGACCTAAAGGTCAGAGGGTGCAGGGACCGTCTTCTTGTGACCAGCATTCAATGAGAGTTCCGGTACTTCATCTGTTGGTATCTCTAGATCTTAGTCACCCTGAGACCTGTCGGCCGGCATGTCTCGGCGGTATTAATTTGCAATTCCCTGATGAGCTACGACATGGAGTGATTTTTCGTAGGTGAATTTGCCACCTGCAAAGCATCTTTCGTGAGGTGGCCCATGTTTAAATGGTTTTTTTTTTTTCCAGTGGTTGAATCTTAAGAGTTTTTTTTGGCACATTTTGCATACTGGTTCTTTGTTTTAAAAAAAGTTCTTTTATTTTCTTTTTATTTTACTTTAAGTTCTGGGGTACATGTGCAGAACATGCAGGTTTGTTACATAGGTGTACAGGTGCCAGGGTGGTTTGCTGCACCCATCAACCCGTCATCTACATTAGGTATTTGTCCTAATGCTCTCCCTCCTCTATCCCCTCACCCCCCGACAGGCCCTGGTGTGTGACGTTCCCCTCCCTGTGTCCATGTGTTCTCATTGTTCAACTCCCACTTATGAGTGACAACATGCAGTGTTTGGTTTTCTGTTCCTCTGTTAGTTTCTCAGAATGATGGCTTCCAGCTTCATCCATGTCCCAGCTTACACAGGAGGCTGAGACAGAAGGATCTCTTGAGGCCAGGAGTTCGAGGCTGCAGTGAGCGGTCATTGCACTACTGCCCCCAGCTTGGTTGACAGAGAAAGGCCCTGTCTCAAAAAAAAAAAAACCCGGGAAGCGCAAGCTGCAGTGAGCCAAGGTCGTGCCACTGCAGTCCAGCTCAGGAGACAGAGGGAAACTCTGACTCAGCCAATAAAAAAAAAAAAGAAAGAAAAGAAAGAAACATGTCAACCTCTGTTGCTGTGATGAAAATATGAGTTGAAACCTCTCACCCTTCAGGCTAGTTGCTGTCACCCTTGTTGATGAGGGTGTGAGAATGAGTGTTGCCCTTGTCTATCAGCTGTAAGCACATATTGGTGAAATTTATTGGGTGGATATTTGGTGATATTCCCTGTGTTTCTATCTTCTGGAAGGAATGGTAGAGAATCAATATAATTTCTTCCTTAAATGTTGGGGAAAATTCATCAGTAAACCCATCTGGGCCTGGAGCCTTTTGTTTGGGAAGGTTATTAAATTATCGATTCAATTTCTTTAAGAGATATAGGCTCACTCAGATTGGCTGTTTCTTCTTGTGTGAGTTGTCAGATTTTATCCTTTTGTTCTTTTCATCTAGGTGATCAATTTTATGGGCACAGAATTGTTTATAATATTTCTTTATGATCTTTTTAATGTCCATGGGATCTGTAGTGATGTCTCCTCTTTCATTTACAGTATTAGTAACTTGTGTCCTCATTCTTTGTTGTTGTTAGCCTGACTAGAAGCTTATTACTCTCATTGATTGTTATTTCAAAGAACAAGCCTATGGTTTTGATTTTTGTCTATTGACTTGCTGTTTTCAATTGCACTGATTTCTGTCCTCTATGGATTTCCTATTTTCAAATCCACTGATTTCTCCTCTAATCTAATATTTATGATTTATTTCTTTCTTCTTCCATTAGATTTAATTTGCTCTTCTTTTTCTAGTTTCTCGAGGTGGAAACTTAAATTATTGATTTTAGATCTTACTTCCTTTCTAATACATGCATTCCATTTAAAATATGCAAACCCTTCAAATCAGCAGATCTTCTCCTAGAAATCGATCCTAGAAAATGTTCTCACAGGTATGCATAAAAATACTTACAGAGGAGTGTGTGTAAGCACACAGGCTGAAGCAGAGTTGATCCATCCAAATCCCCTCACTGTGGGGCATATGGTTAGAGACACCACAAGACATTCACAAAAGTGGTGACGGGTGTATGTCCTACTATGCAAAATAAAACTTACCTGTGTATGAAAGGAGGCTCCAGAGCAAACGAACTCCCAGAGGTTACTTCTGAAGGGAAGTGGGACCTGGAGGGGAAAGATCCAAAGACAAACACGAATACAGAGCTCTCTATTTCTCTTTATTCTTTTACTCATAACAAGTGTGTGTGTGTGTTCTGTAATTGGAAGATCTAAAAATTAAACCAAAGTTGAAAACTCAATGGTGTCTGGAAGTTCAGAAGAGGTTGCATCTGCTTCTGTGGCTGAGGGGACTTGGAATGTGGGAACCTGGAAGTGGTGGTATCAACCCCGGTTTTATTAGGATAAGTTGCAGTTCAGTGGGGAGGGACCACCAGAAAGGCAGACAGCAGGGGGCAGGAGGCTTCTGGTATATTCCATGATAGTCTTTGCACCATGAGCCCACCACCTAGCTTCTCTGTTTTCCCAGCCCCTGCTATCTATGTTCACATAAAAAGATACCTGTACCGGGAGCAGTGGCTCACACCTGCAATCCCAGCACTTTGGGAGGCCGAGGTGGGTGGATCATAAGGTCAGGAGTTCGAGACCAGCCTGGCCAACATGCTGGAACCCCCATCTCTACTAAAAATACAAAAATTAGCCAAGCATGGTGGCAGGCGCCTGTAGTCCCAGATATTCAGGAGGCTGAGGCAAGAGAATCGCTTGAACCCGGGAGGCGGAGGTTGCAGTGAGCCGAGATCGTGCCACTTCACTCCAGCCTGGACAACAGAGCGAGACTCTGTCTCAAAAAAATAAATAAATAAATAAAAGATACCTGTGCCACTTCAGCTTCCCATATTGAAAACCACCAACTCTCTTCCTACTTCCTCCCTCCCAAAAGGACCTGTCTGTCACCCTACAACCTCTCTGCAATCTCTTATCTACAGTCTGCCTTCTGCAATCTCTCTAGTTTATATGATCCCTGTTTGCAAAAGATATGTTGGTAATAATTTCTGCTTCCCTGCTGGGCACACACACACACACACACACACATACGCCTGCCAGCACCATTTTTCATTTTAAAAGCATTGGTGTCCATCATACAGAGAAATGCTTAGGATTGGAAACAGGAGATACCAATGGAAGGTTCCACATGAGTCAAGAACTTCTCTTTGTTATTGCTTCTGGCCACAGCTCTGACGTCTGACCCCACCCCAGCTCAGGGGCCCAAGAGATGCTTTAGCTCATGTTCCATCTGTCTTCCTGAAGACCAGGTCTCCTCCTCTGTGATGGGGTGGGAGGTCCGTGACGGCAAGGCAATGAGGGGCACGTGCAGGCATTTTAAGGAATCGCTCTTCATCCACAGCTGGTCACTAACCATGATGAGACCACTGTCCCTTTCCACGACACCAGCTTCTTGCTAGGAACATCTGCCTGGGGTCTTTTCTCTCCCCGAAAGCCTCTTGCAGACATTCTTTGGAAAGTACTCCTGAGCTCTGTGTGTTTGTTGAAGGCTGCTCTTGTCACACAGTTGCTTGAGGGCAGGTTTCTCAGCCTTAGCACTGCTGACATTTCAGCCCAGATGATCCTCTGTGGTGGGGCCATCCTGTGTACTGTAGGGTGTTGAGCAGTGTCCCTGGGATCTACCCACCAGATGCCAGACGCATCTTCCCAATTATGATACCTGAATCATTCACATTTGCAAACTATTGAATGGATAAATAATTGATGCATAGATAAATAATTGATAGATTGATGAACACGTATATGTGATTGTTAGATAACTGATTCACAGATGATAGATGTAATTAATAGATAACTGATTGGTAGGTAATTGATATGAATAGATGAAAGATCCATAGAAAGATGATTGATTCATAATTGATAGATATGATTGCTAGATAGATAAGTAATTGATAGAGAGAAAATTGATAGGTAGATAGATGATCGATTGATAGATAATTGATATAGATAGATGATAGATCAAGGGTTGCAAGACGATTGATATAGATAGATGATAGATGATAGATGGATGACAGGGGTTAGATCAACAAATGGATTCATGGATAGACAGATGGTGAATTTCTTCTTCTTCTTCTTCTTTTTTTTTTTTTGAGATGCAGTCTTGCTCTGTCGCCCAGGCTGGGGTGCAATGGCACAATCTCAGCTCACTGCAACCTCCGCCTCCCAGGTCCAAGTGCTTCTCCTGCCTCAGCCTCCCAAGTAGCTGGGATTAGAGGCACCCGCCACCACACCTGGCTAGTTTTTGTATTTTGAGTAGAGACGGGGCTTCACCGTGTTGGCCAAGCTGGTCTCAAACTCCTGACCTCAGGTGATCCACCCACCTCGGCCTCCCAAAGTGCTGAGATTACAGGTGTGAGCCACTGCTCCAGGCTGACGGTGAAGTTCTTATGCTCATGCCAGGTTGTCAACCTCAGCACTGTAGATATTTGAGGCTGGATGCTTCTCTGTGGTGGGGACCCTCCTGTGCATGGTAGGGTGTTGAGCACCATCCCTGGGCTCCACCCACCAGATCCCAGTAGCATCCTTCCTTAAGTTGTGGCAACCAGGGATGTTTCCTACATTTCCAACTATTCTTGAGGGTAGGGGAAGCCTTCTAGGTGACCCTTGTTCTTCTAGACCTGGCATCAGCCACCCTTGGCTACCTCTCAAACATCTATATGACCCATTATATTTCTTTTTTTTTTTTCTTTTTGAGGCAGAGTCTCACTTTGTCACCCAGGCTGGAGTGCAGTGGTGCCATCTAGGCTTACTGCAAGCTCTGCCTCCGGGGTTCATGCCATTCTCCTGCCTCAGCCTCCCGAGTAGCTGGGACTACAGGCACCCGCCACCACGCCCGGCTAATTTTTTTTTTCTTTTTTGTATTTTTAGTAGAGAAGGGGTTTCACCGTGTTAGCCAGGATGGTCTCCATCTCCTGACCTCATGATCTGCCCACCTCAGCCTCCCAAAGTGCTGGGATTACAGACATGAGCCACCGTGCCCAGCCGACCCATTATATTTCTAAATCGATATCAAGGACTCTTGCTCAAACAGGTCTGGGTGCACTAACAGTGACCCTGAGACCACATTGTAAAATCCTGAACAACTTGGTCATAGGAGGTGTCCCAAAGCTGGATTCTTCCTGTGACCCTTGTAGGTCAGCACCAGGTGTATACCTGTACCTCCTCCCTCCTGGAGCTGGAAGGGGTCTGATGCCTGGGTCATGGAGAGCTCTGGACAGCCCCTGTGCCATAGATCCACATGTCAAAGGTCAAGAAGATGTCTTGGCCCCTGCAGGGAGATGCTTGAGCAGGGAGCTCTGAGCCTTGCTTCCTTCCCTACCCTAGTGGTTCAATGCAACCATGGCAGGTGAGGAGAGGGTCCTATGCAGCCATTCCTCCTGGGCTTTGGCAAATCACATCATAATCTATATGCTCCACTCTGCTAGTGTTGGACATTTCTCAACAGTAAGTCAACCAAAGAAAGGGGGACTGCATGAATACATGTTGTTGTTGTTATTGCTTTGCAGTGCCGTCTTTATATCTTCAAGTCTTGAGATCCTTGTCTTCCATTGAGTTTCTGAGGCCCATTGGCTTGTTCCTCATTTCTTTCTCTTATCCTATAATCTTGTGCTTTTCATGCTTTATCTTTCTTTTAAGGTTCTTCCTCTCTTTTATTTGGTATGATGACGCTTTCTCTAATTTCTTTGAAGTCTGTTGGTTAAAACTTTTCCTCTCTTTTCTCGGTGTATTGGTTTGCGACAGCTGCCATAACTAATTACCACTGATGTGGTGGCTTAAATAACAGCAATGCATTCTCTCCCCATCCTGGAGACCAGAAGTCTGAGATGAAGGTATTGGCAGGGTTGGTTCCTCATTAGGGCTCTGAGGGAAAATCTGTTCCAAGCTTTGCTGCAGCTTCTGGTGATTTTCTGGAAACAATCGGCATTTCATGGTGGATAGAAGCATCCATCCATGCATCATCTATTCATCCATCCACCCATCTACCCACCCACCCATCTACCCACTCATCCATCCATCCACCCATCCATCCACCTACCCATCCACCCACTCATCCATCCATCCACCCATCCATACATCTGCCCATCCATCTACCCATCAACCCATCCATTCATCCACCCATAAATCCAGCCACCTAAACACTGATCCATCCATCCACCCACCCACCCACCCACTTATCCATCCCTCCACACAGGCATACACCTATTCATCTATCCATCCACCCGTCTATCCATCTACCCATCCATCTACCCATCCTCATCCATTCCTCATACATCCATTCACCCATCCTCCCACTCATCCATCTGTCCACCCATCCATCCACCCACACGTCCAACCACCTAAACACTGATTCATCCATCCACCCACCCACTTATCCATCCATCCATCCATCCATCCATCCACACACCCATACACCTATTCATCTATCCAGCCACCCATCTACACACCCATACACCTATTCATCTATCCAGCCACCCATCTATCCATCCACCCATCCATCTACCCATCCTCATCCATTCATCATACATCCATTCACCCATCCATCTACCCATCCTCATCCATTCATCATACATCCATTCACCCATCCTCCCACTCATCCATCTGTCCACCCATCCATCCACCCACACGTCCAACCACCTAAACACTGATCCATCCATCCACCCACCCACTTATCCATCCATCCATCCATCCATCCATCCATCCATCCATCCATCCATCCATCCACACACCCATACACCTATTCATCTATCCAGCCACCCATCTATCCATCTACCCATCCATCTACCCATCCTCATCCATTCATCATACATCCATTCACCCATCCTCCCACTCATCCATCTATCCACCCATCCATCCACTCACACGTCCATCCACCTAAACACTGATCCATCCATCCACCCACCCACTTATCCATCCATCCATCCATCCATCCATCCACACACCCATACACCTATTCATCTATCCAGCCACCCATCTATCCATCCACCCATCCATCTACCCATCCTCATCCATTCATCCTCCATCCACTCACCCATCCTCCCACTCATCCATCTATTCACCCTCCCATCCACCCACCCATCCACCTACTCATCTATTCATCCACCCATCCATACACCCACCCATCCATCTACCCATCAACCCATCCATTCATCCACCCACACATCCACCTATCTAAACACTGATCCATACATCCACCCATTCACCCACCTACCCACCCATTCACAAACCCGCCTACCATTCATCCACCCATCCACCCTCCCATCCACCCACCCATCCATCCACTCATCCATGCATCCGTCCATCCACCCACTCATCCATCTATCCACCCATCCATCCACCCACCCATCCACCTACTCATCTATACATCCACCAATCCATCTACCCATCAACCATCAATGCATCCACCCACATATCCACCTATCTAAACACTGATCCATCCATCCACCCATCCACCCACCCACCCACTCACCCATTCACAAACCCACCCACCATTCATCCACCCACCCATCCATCTACCCATCCCCATCCATTCATCATCCATCCACCCACCCATCCACCCAGTCATCCATCTATCCACCCATACATCCACCTACTCATCTATACATCCACCCATCCATCTACCCATCAATCCATCCATTCATCCACCCACACATCCACCTATCTAAACACTGATCCATCAATCCACCCATTCACCCACCTACCCACCCATTCACAAACCCACCTACCATTCATCCACCCACCCACCCATCCATCCACCCATCCATGCATCCATCCATTCACCCAGTCATCCACCTACTCATCCATACATCCACCCATCCATCTACCCATCAACTCATCCATTCATCCACCCACACATCCATCTATCTAAACACTGATCCATCCACCCACCCATCCACCCACCCACCCACTCACCCATTCAGAAACCCATCCACCATTCATCCACCCATGCATCCATCTACCCATCCCCATCCATTCATCATCCATCCAACCCCCCATCCACCCACTCATCCATCTATTCACCCATCCGTCCACGCACCCATCTACCTACTCATCTATCCATCTACCTACTCATCTATCCATCCACCCACCCATCCATCCACCCATCCATCTACCTACTCATCTATCCATCCACCCACCCATCCATCCACCCATCCATCTACCCATCAACCCATCAATTCATCCACCCACACTTCCAGTTATCTAAACACTAATCCATCCATCCACCCATCCACCCACCCACTCACCCATTCACAAACCCACCTACCATTCATCCACCCATCCACCCTCCCACCCACCCCCATCCATCCACCCACCCATCCGCCCACCCATGCACTCATCCACTCACCCGCCCATCCATCTACCCATCCACATCCATTCATCATCCATCCACCAACCCATCCACCCACTCATCCATCTAGCCACTCATCCATCCACCCACCCATCCACCTACTCATCTATACATCCACCCATCCATCTACCCATCAACCCATCAATTCATCCACCCACACATCTATCCACCTAAACACTGATCTATCCATCCACACATCCACCCACCCACCCACCATTCATCCACACATCCACCCTCCCACCCATCCACCCATCCATGCATTCATCCATACATCCTCCCATCCATCTACCCATCAACCCATCCATTCATCCACCCACACATCCTATCTAAACACTGATCCAGCCATCCACCCACTCACCCACCTACCCACCCATTCACAAACCCACCTACCATTCATCCGCACACCCACCCTCCCACCCACCCACCCATCCACCCATCCATCCACCCACCCATCTGCCCACCCATGCACTCATCCACTCACCCACCCATCCATCCATCCACCCACCCATGTACCCATTCATCCACCCATCTATGCATCTACCCATCCATCCACCCACCCATCCATCCATTTATTCATCCATCTACCCATCCATCCACTCTCGTCTCTGTCTTCATCTTTCCATGCCTTCTCTCTGTGTCTGTGCCTAAATTTCTCTTTCTCCTAAGGACGCCAGTGAATTTTATTAGGGCCTCTCCCTACTCTATTATGACCACATTTTGACTTCACTAATGACATAGACGCAGACCCTATTTCTAAGTAAGAAATGGCCATAATACCGAGAGTATCAGCCAGGGTGTGGCCCACGACAACTTCCTTCTACGTAATCAAAGTAGGTAATTGAAGCCAGCGTCTGTTTTGTCTTCCAAATCCACAGCTCCAACAGAGTGCCATTTGCTGTCTTTGGGGTTGAGGGCCTCCTGAGGCAGCCCTATCAAAAGAACCACAAACTGGGTGGTGCAAACACCCCCAGAAAACAGAAAGGAGAGCAGACGACAAGCACGGGGCTGGCTTGTGGTTCCTTAGGGCTGGGGCCTCTCACTCCCCTGTGTGTTCAACAGCTGGGACAGCCCCCAGCACTCAGGAAAGAGGGGTGGTTATAGCCAGAAGACAATAGCTGGCAAAAAAGGGTCTGTCACCGGCATGCAATCCCTGCTGCCCACGAGGAGATGCCTTTTGTCTATTTCTCATCCCAACCCTGTAAGGTCCACCCGGAACAAGACTGTAGTGATCACTGCACTCAGCATCTGAACCCTTTAGAAAGGGGTTCCCAGGGCTGGGAATGAGGGAAGAGCAGCTTTATGCACAATAGCCAAGAATCAGGAACACGCCAGGCGCGGTGGCTCACACCTGTCATCCCAGCACTTTGGGAGGCCGAGGCGGGCAGATCATGGGAGGTCAGGAGTTTGAGACCAGCCTGGCCAACATGATGAAAGCTTGTCGCTACTAAAATTATTAAAAAAAAAAAATGGGCTGGGTGTGATGGCTCGTGCCTGTAATCCCAGCACTTTGGGAGGCCGAGGAGGGTGGATCATACATCAGAGGTCAGGAGTTTGAGACCAGCCTGGCCAACATGATGAAACCCCGTCGTTACTAAAATTACAAAAAAAAAAAAAAAAAAAAAATGGGCTGGGCGCGGTGGCTCACGTCTGTAGTCCCAGCACTTTGGGAGACTGAGGAGGGTGGATCACCTGAGGTCAGCAGTTCACAACCAGCCTGGCCAACATGGTGAAACCCTGTCTCTACTAAAAATACAAAAATTAGCTGGGTGCGGTGATGCATGCCTGTAGTCCCAGCTACTCCAGAGGCTGAGGCAGGAAAATTGCTTGAACCGGGGAAGCGGAGGTTGCCGAGAGCCGAGATCACACCATTGCACTCCAGCCTGGGCAAAAAGAGCGAAACTCCCTCTCAAAAAAAAAATTACAAAAAAATTAGCCAGGCGTGGTGGCAGGTTCCTGTAGCCCCAGCTACTTGGGAGGCTGAGGCAGGAGAATTGCTTGAACCCAGGAGGCGGAGGTTGCACTGAGCCAAGATCGCACCACTACACTCCAGCCTGGGCAACAGAGCAAGACTCCATCTCAAAAAAAAAAAAAAAAATCAGAAAGAACAAAAATGTCCATCCACAGGAGAATGAATAAACAGAATGTGGTCTATCCACACAGTAGACTATTATGCACCCACTGAAAGGACTCAAGCTCTGACCCAGGCTGCAGCGTGGATGAACTTTGAAGACCCCTGGCTCAGTGACAGAAGCTAGACACAAAAGACCACATATTGTAGAATTTTATTCTTATAAAATATCTAGAATAGGCAGATCCACAGAGACAGGAAGCAGATTTGAGGTTCACAGGGGCTGGGGACAGGAACGAACAGGATTAGCAGTTGTGGGGTTCTGAAGGGTTTTTGTTTTGTTTTGAGATGGAGTTTTGCTTTTGTTGCCCAGGCTGGAGTGCAATGGTGTGATCTCGGCTCACTGCAACCTCTGCCCCCTACCCAGGTTCAAGCGATTCTCCTGCCTTAGCCTCTGGAGTAGCTGGGATTACAGGCATGTGCCACAACACCCGGTTAATTTTTTTTGTATTTTTAGTAGAGACAGGGTTTCACCATGTTGGGAAGGCTGGTCTTGAACTCCTGACCTCAGGTGATCCACCTGCCTCGGCCTCCCAAAGTGATGGGATTACAGACGTGAGTCACCGCGCCTGGCCCATTTGTTTTTGTTTGTTTGTTTGTTTAATTTTAGTAACAACAGGATTTCACCATGTTGGCCAGGCTGGTCTCGAACTCCTGACCTCAGGTGATCCACCTGCCTCGGCCTCCCAAAGTGCTGGAATTACAGGTGTGAGCCATGATGCCCGGCCAGGTCCTGAGTTTTGTTTAGGGATAAAAATGGTTCTGGAATTGCATTATGGTGTTGTTTGCACATCTGTGAATATATTAAAAACCATTGAACTGTATGAATGAGTGAAAGCTTATGGTACGTAACTCACGTCTTGGTAAAGCTGTTTTTTTGTTTGTTGGTTTTGTTTTGTTTTGAGACAGAGTCTCGCTCTGTTGCCCAGGCTGGATGGAGTACAGTGGTGCGATCTCGGCTCACTGCAAGCTCCGCCTCCCGGGTTCAGGCCATTCTCCTGCCTCAGCCTCCCGAGTAGCTGGGACTCGCCACCATGCCACCACGCCCGGCTAATTTTTTTGTTTTTTTGTTTTTTTAGTAGAGATGGGGTTTCACCGTGTTAGCCAGGATGGTCTTGATCTCCTGACCTCGTGATCTGCCCACCTCGGCCTTCCAAAGTGCTGGGATTACAGGTGTGAGCCACCGTGCCCGGCTGGCAAAGCTGTTTTAAGAAGAAATAAGTGAGAGGGCTGGAGGAGATACACACAGACCCTCAAGAGGAGAGAAACATTGCTGGATGCATTGCTGCCAGACAGGTGTGCATTTACCTGCAAAGCATAAGAAAAAGGGTCCAACCTGGCCAGGTGCAGTGGCTCACGACTGTCATCCCAGCACTTTAGGAGGCCGGGGCTGGTGGCTCACCTGAGGTCAGGAATTCAAGACCAGCCTGGTTAACATGGTGAAACTCTTTTTGGGGCTACAAAAAGTAAAAAATCAGCCAGGCGTGGTGGTGCATGCATGTAATCCCAGCTACTCAGGAGGCTGAGGCAGGAGAATCGCTTGAAGCAGGGAGACAGAGGTTGCAGTGAGCCGAGATCACGCCATTGCATTCCAGCCTGGATGACAGACTGCGAAAAGAAAAGAGGGGAGAGGGGAGAGGAAAGGAGAGGAGAGAGGGAAGGAGAGGAGAGAGGGAAGGAGAGGAGAGAGGGAAGGAGAGGAGAGAGGGAAGGAGAGGAGAGAGGGAAGGGGAGAGGGAAGGAGAGGGGAGAGGGAAGGAGAAGGAAGGGGAGGGGAGAGGGGAGAGGGAAGGGGAGGGGAGAGGGGAGAGGGAAGGAGAGGGGAGAGGGGAGAGGGGAGAGGGGAGAGGGGAGAGGGGAGAGGAGAGAGGGAAGGGGAGGGGAGAGGGGAGAGGGAAGGAGAGGGAAGGGGAGGGGAGAGGGGAGAGGGAAGGGGAGGGGAGAGGGGAGAGGGAAGGGGAGGGGTGAGGGGAGAGGGAAGGGGAGGGGTGAGGGGAGAGGGAAGGGGAGGGGAGAGGGGAGAGGGAGAGGGGAGAGGGGAGAGGGGAGAGGGGAGAGAGGAGAGAGGAGA
Organism: Homo sapiens; assembly: GCF_000001405.40. NCBI lineage: Eukaryota > Metazoa > Chordata > Mammalia > Primates > Hominidae > Homo > Homo sapiens. Next base: position 1,468,733 of record NC_000023.11, on the reverse strand, counting down.
GAGGAGAGGAGGGTCCCACCTACAGCCCCTGAGCGCCCACCTGTGGTCTGTCCGTTGCTTCAGACAATTCAGTGCCCAGAAATTTCTGGACAGCCACCTCTGCAGGCCAGACACCGCCAAGAACAACCGTTGTGCTGATTTTCTAAAATTTCCATCCTGCCCGCTGAGCCCCGGCGGGGCCCAAACCGCAAGCCTGTGCCTCCTGTGTCAGGGCAGCTGGCATCAGTTAGAGGTAATTTCTTGATTAGTCATGCGCGTTCCTCAGCAGTCCTGGCTGTCTGTCTTCCCCGGGGGCTGTCCGGTGGCCACAGGGCACAGACTCGAAATGGCAACAGATCTGGCTGCCAAGAGGCTGCTTGCTGGATCCCCAGACCACACAGGTACAGACACGAGGGTGGCCGGGTGAGGCCGCCACCGTAGGACTTTCAACAGCACGTGGTGTTTAAATGTGTGCGAGGCACTGCTGCCTACGTGGAGAGTTAAAGCAACAAATTCCAGCCCAGGTGTGTTGCTCACACCTGTAATCCCAATGCTTTGGGAGGCCGAGGCAGGAGGATTGCTTGAGGCCAGGAGTTTGAGACCAGCCTGGGCAACATAGCCAAACCCCATGTCTACAGAAAATAAAAATATTAGCTGGGCAGGGTGGCATGCACCTGCAGTCCCAGGTACTCAGGAGGATTGCTTGAGGCCAGGAGTTTGAGACCAGCCTGGGAAATGTAGCAAAACTGTGTATCTATAAAAAATAAAAATGTTAGCTGGGCACGGAGGTACTGTCACCTGTAGTCCCAGCTACTCAGGAGGCTGAGGCAGGAGGATTGCTTGAGGCCAGGAGTTTGAGACCAGCCTGGGAAACATAGCAAAACTCTGTATCTACAAAAAATAAAAATATTAGCTGGGCGTGGTTGTACTCTCACCTGTAGTCCCAACTACTCAGGAGGCTGAGGCAGGAGGATTGCTTGAGGCCAGGCGTTGGAGGCTGCAGTGAGTTACGTTTGCACTACTGCCCTCCAGCCTGGGCAACAAGGCAAGACCCCATATCTATAAAACAAACAAACAAAAGAACAATTCCAGGGCACCCCTGTTTCCAGCTCTGTCCACTTTACATTCTCAAAATAAAAGTAGTGTCCCTTTGACAGACACTTTTTCATCACCAGCTCATGGATAAAGCGTCTCTCCTTCCAGACGTCCCCCACGGCCACACCAAGCGGAACCCAAAGAAGGAAGGGTCTGCTTTTCCTCCTGAAGCCATAGGTGGCTGGAGGTGCCCAGCTGGCCGTGGGGAGCGGTGCTGACTCGTGCATAACTGTAGGTTTCACACCTGGGCACGGACCGGCGGGTCAGAAAACTTCTCCCTGAAACTGAAACGAAAACTCCGGGCCATTTTAAAGCCAGCTTGAGGAAGCTGTTTGTAGAGCAGTTGGTAAGAAGTCGCAGGTCTCCTCTGGAGGAAGAAAGAGCAGGGAGGAGCCGTGGGTTGACGCGGGTGTTAAAAGCTGGAAAGACTTTGGAGGCTGCGGGTTGGTCTCCTGGCACTCGGAGTGTGTGTTTTCTGCTGATAGACACTTTGTGGGTGGATGCCCCTGAGATGAGAGGACTCATACCCAGACTAATACTGCCAGGGTGTCAAGAATTCCCATTAAGACCACCCTGGGGGCTGACGGTGGCTTTGTGGTTTCCGTCCACGGGGGACACTGAGTCTTGAGGTTTGTATGACAATGCATTCAACCTGCCCAGGGGAGCCACAGCCCCACTGTGGATCATCTAAGAGTCTCAGCCTCTGACGTGGGCCGAGGTCTCCAATGACCTCCCTGATCCAAGGAAGGACGGGAGGGAGGGAGGGCGGGAAGGAAGGAAGGAAGGAAGGAAGGAGGGAAGAAGAGAAGGAAGGAGAGAGGAGGAAGGAAGAAGAAAGGGGAGAAGACAGGAAAGAAGAAAAGAATGACACAGGGTGAAGAAAGGAGGCAGAGAGGGAGGGAAGGAAGGAGGAGAGGGAAGGAGGAACTAAGGGAGGGAGGGAGGGAGGAGACAGCAGGCCCTGCTAAAGCATCTCCCCCGCCTTGGTCCCCGGGGAGCGGCGCTCAGGAGCCCTCCCGGCAGCCGCCTCTTTACCTGCGCCCCTGACCCGTACACCCTTCCCTCCTTCCCTTGCAGAGCCCGGGCGAGGACCCCTCCAGGATGCAGGTCCCGAACAGCACCGGCCCGGACAACGCGACGCTGCAGATGCTGCGGAACCCGGCGATCGCGGTGGCCCTGCCCGTGGTGTACTCGCTGGTGGCGGCGGTCAGCATCCCGGGCAACCTCTTCTCTCTGTGGGTGCTGTGCCGGCGCATGGGGCCCAGATCCCCGTCGGTCATCTTCATGATCAACCTGAGCGTCACGGACCTGATGCTGGCCAGCGTGTTGCCTTTCCAAATCTACTACCATTGCAACCGCCACCACTGGGTATTCGGGGTGCTGCTTTGCAACGTGGTGACCGTGGCCTTTTACGCAAACATGTATTCCAGCATCCTCACCATGACCTGTATCAGCGTGGAGCGCTTCCTGGGGGTCCTGTACCCGCTCAGCTCCAAGCGCTGGCGCCGCCGTCGTTACGCGGTGGCCGCGTGTGCAGGGACCTGGCTGCTGCTCCTGACCGCCCTGTCCCCGCTGGCGCGCACCGATCTCACCTACCCGGTGCACGCCCTGGGCATCATCACCTGCTTCGACGTCCTCAAGTGGACGATGCTCCCCAGCGTGGCCATGTGGGCCGTGTTCCTCTTCACCATCTTCATCCTGCTGTTCCTCATCCCGTTCGTGATCACCGTGGCTTGTTACACGGCCACCATCCTCAAGCTGTTGCGCACGGAGGAGGCGCACGGCCGGGAGCAGCGGAGGCGCGCGGTGGGCCTGGCCGCGGTGGTCTTGCTGGCCTTTGTCACCTGCTTCGCCCCCAACAACTTCGTGCTCCTGGCGCACATCGTGAGCCGCCTGTTCTACGGCAAGAGCTACTACCACGTGTACAAGCTCACGCTGTGTCTCAGCTGCCTCAACAACTGTCTGGACCCGTTTGTTTATTACTTTGCGTCCCGGGAATTCCAGCTGCGCCTGCGGGAATATTTGGGCTGCCGCCGGGTGCCCAGAGACACCCTGGACACGCGCCGCGAGAGCCTCTTCTCCGCCAGGACCACGTCCGTGCGCTCCGAGGCCGGTGCGCACCCTGAAGGGATGGAGGGAGCCACCAGGCCCGGCCTCCAGAGGCAGGAGAGTGTGTTCTGAGTCCCGGGGGCGCAGCTTGGAGAGCCGGGGGCGCAGCTTGGAGATCCAGGGGCGCATGGAGAGGCCACGGTGCCAGAGGTTCAGGGAGAACAGCTGCGTTGCTCCCAGGCACTGCAGAGGCCCGGTGGGGAAGGGTCTCCAGGCTTTATTCCTCCCAGGCACTGCAGAGGCACCGGTGAGGAAGGGTCTCCAGGCTTCACTCAGGGTAGAGAAACAAGCAAAGCCCAGCAGCGCACAGGGTGCTTGTTATCCTGCAGAGGGTGCCTCTGCCTCTCTGTGTCAGGGGACAGCTTGTGTCACCACGCCCGGCTAATTTTTGTATTTTTTTTAGTAGAGCTGGGCTGTCACCCCCGAGCTCCTTAGACACTCCTCACACCTGTCCATACCCGAGGGTGGATATTCAACCAGCCCCACCGCCTACCCGACTCGGTTTCTGGATATCCTCCGTGGGCGAACTGCGAGCCCCATTCCCAGCTCTTCTCCCTGCTGACATCGTCCCTTAGTTGTGGTTCTGGCCTTCTCCATTCTCCTCCAGGGGTTCTGGTCTCCGTAGCCCGGTGCACGCCGAAATTTCTGTTTATTTCACTCAGGGGCACTGTGGTTGCTGTGGTTGGAATTCTTCTTTCAGAGGAGCGCCTGGGGCTCCTGCAAGTCAGCTACTCTCCGTGCCCACTTCCCCCCACACACACACCCCACCCTGTTGCTGACCAAGGTGATTTTTGGCACATTTGTTCTGGCCTGGCTTGGTGGGACCCCACCCCTATTCTGCTTCTGTGAGTCCCTGATAGAGAAGGAGGTCCCATCAGGCCCCTGGAACACACTCAGGCTTCCCTGACTCAGGACAAGGACCACGGGAGGCCCAGGTGCGGAAAGGAGGCTCCGTGAGATGGGGTCCAGCCCATCCCAACACAAGGGTGCAGCTTGATTCGGGAGTTCCCCACCTCCTGCCCATTCTCCGCGTCCTTTTACCCCATGGAGAGCCTCAGCCATGGCAAGTCCATCTGGAGTCCAGGAAGCAGGCAACTGGCCTGACCCATGAGACCGTTTGGAGACCAAGCAGCAGATGCAGGTGTGGACCCCAGGAACCTACAGGGGTGTCAGCCGCTGAGCCCCCTCCCTGCTGTGTGGGTGGTGAGCAGGCTGGGTCTTTGTCTGTCTTCTTCTACACGGCATGTGCCTGCACCAGCCCCAACACCTGAGCTGGTTTAGCGCAAAGAAGAGCTCTGACTCTCCAGGGGTGCTGGGACATCACGTGGAATTGGATCCCAGGCTCTCTTGGGCGAGAAAGACCATTCTGGAGGTGGGAGTGGGAGAGCTGCCTGTCTGCCCACGGGCTCTGCGTCTCCGCAGTGGGTGGCCTTGGATGCCCGGCCCCTCCCTTTCTGTGCACTGGGGACGCTGATGGAGGCTGAAGCTGCTGTTCGGAGGCCCTCTATTGGTGCCTCTCTCCTGCCGTCATCACTATGGCAGGAAAACAGAGATGGTTTAGTAATGAATTATCATTCCCAAACCCGTGTCCACCTGGAACATCAGGATGGGACCATGTTTGAAAATCGGGTCTTTCCAAATGTAATTAAGTAAGGCGAGGCCATACTGCATTTACAATGGGCCCAATCCAGTGTCCCTATGAGAGACGGAAGAGGAGACACAGACACAAAGCAGGAGGCCACATAAAGACAGAGGCAGAGACTGAAGTGATGCTGCCCCAAGCCCAGGGATGCCTGGAGTCCCCAGGAGCTGGGAGAGGCAGGAAGGACCCTCCCCTAGAGTCTCTGGAGGGAACTGGATACAATTGCAGAGTGCACTAAACAGTTGCCCCAGAAAGACATGTCTTGTTTTAAAGCCCAGAACCTGAAATTATTATAGATTTTATTCGGTAATAAGGAACTTTGCATGTGTAATTACTTAAGGATATGAAGATGAGATTGTGCTGGATTATTAAGCACCCTAAATGCCATGACAGGTGTCCTTCCAAGAGACAGAAGAGGAGACACAGACACAGAGCAGGAGGACACGTGGAGACAGAGGCAGACTGGAGTGATGCGGCCACAAGCCCAGGGACACCTGGAGCCCCCAGGAGCTGGGAGAGGCAGGAAGGATCCTCCCCTAGAGCCTCCAGGGGGAACTGGAGGATGCGTAAGAGACCCAGAACTTCCACAGAAGGAGGAAAATTAACCTCCTGCTTCTCTAGACTGTTCCAAAGCTGAACCCTAGAAAGCAAAGCTGATACAGAAGCATCCAGGCTGCAGGAGTACAGGTCGCAAGTGCTGAGCGTGGGCCTTGGGTGTGTCTCATGGGGGAAAAAAAACTGTGAAAAACCTCAGAGTAGCATCTTCACAGTAACGCACGGACGATCCCTAAACTGCCTTGTAAACAAAAATGAGAGCTTGAGTCAGAGGAAGCCGAGACAATATCCTTCCTCGACAACGTGCGAGAACCCTGACGTCCCCCAGCAAAGGAAGACGTTGCAAGCAGGCAAAATGCGTCGATTTTTTTTTTTTGTCAGTATGATGATTTTTGCAGCCACTTGGCTATGGAGAGCAGCCGACACCCCCTCTTACAGCCGTGGATGTTTCCTGGAAGCTGACTCAGTCTGTTCACTGGTTGAGCTTTGAGTGAAAAGATAACACAGGTCTATTGACTCACACACATGTTTTAAGATGGAAAACTTTACTTCTGTTCTTGGCAGGACATGGAGAGAGGGAGGGATTCCAAAAAGTCTCAGCCTCCATCAAGGCGTGGCAGCTCATGCCGGTAATCTCAGCACTTTGGGAGGCTCAGGCGGGAGGACTGATTGAGTCCGGGTGTTCAAGGGCCAACCTAGGCAACACAGTGAGAACTCATCTCTGTAAAAAATAAAAATAAAACATTAAAAAAAAACATGAGCTTTGAAGTGCACAGGGCAAATGTGTTTCTGTCTCTGATTTCTGCAGGGCTTGCATTTTAAACACAGATCCCATTTTATGCTGGATCCAATGTCTTATCCTCTTCATAGGCTCCTTGTCTTGGTCCATTTATCCTGCTGGAAACAAACAAAAAACCAAACAAACAAAACACCATTGCATTACTCAGAGATCTCTAGAGGGACAGAACTAATAGGATAGATAGATAGATAGATAGACAGACAGATAGACAGACAGACAGACAGACAGATAGAAGATAGATTAGATAGATAGTAGATAGATTAGATAGATAGATAGATAGTAGATAGATTAGATAGTAGATAGATAGATGGATAGTAGATAGATTAGATAGATAGATAGTAGATAGATTAGATAGATAGTAGATAGATTAGATAGATAGGTAGATAGATAGTAGATAGATTAGATAGATAGATAGTAGATAGATTAGATAGGTAGATAGAGAGTGGATAGATTAGATAGTAGATAGATAGTAGATAGATTAGATAGATAGTAGATAGATTAGATAGATAGATAGTAGATAGATTAGATAGATAGGTAGATAGTAGATAGATTAGATAGATAGTAGATAGATTAGATAGATAGATTGACAGTAGATAGATTACATAGATAGATAGTAGATAGATCAGATAGATAGATCAGATAGATAGATTAGATAGATAGATAGATGATAGATCAGATAGTAGATATATTAGATAGATAGAGAGAGAGAGAGAGAGAGAGATTGAGAGAGAGAGAGAGGAGTTTCAGGCCAGGCACAGTGGCTCACACCTGTAATCCCAGCACTTTGGGAGGCCGAGGCAGGTGGATCACCTGAGGTCAGGAGTTCGAGACCAGCCTGACCAACATGGTGAAACCCCATCTCTACTGAAAATACAAAAATTAGCCGGGTGTGGTGGTGCATGCCTGTAATCCCAGCTACTCGGGAGGCTGAGGCAGGAGAATCGATTGAACCCGGGAGGTGGAGCTTGCAGTGAGCCGAGATCGCACCACTGCCCTCCAGCCTGGGTGACAGAGTGCAACTCAAAAATAAATAAATAAAAATAAATAAAGGGAAGTTTATTAAGTAAACTTCCTGGGTGACAGAGTGAATCTCAAAAATAAATAAATAAAAATAAATAAATAAATAAAGGGAAGTTGATTCAGTATTAACTCACATGATCATGAGGTCCCACAATAGGCCGTCTGCAGGCTGAGGAGCAAGGAGAACCCATCCCAGTCCCAAAACTGAAGAACTTGGAGTCAGATGTTCAAGGGCAGGAAGCATCCAGCATGGGAGAAAGATGGAGGCTGGGAAGCTAGGCCCGTCTCTCCTTTTCACATTTTTCTCCCTGCTTATATTCTAGCCTCGTTGGCAGCTGATTAGATGATGCCCACCCAGATTAAGGGGGGGGGGGTCTGCCTTTCCCAGTCCACTGACTCAAATGTTCATCTCCTTTGGCAACACCCTCACAGACACACCCAGGATCAATACTTTGTATCCTTCAATCCAATCACGTTGACTCTTGGTATTAACCATCGCAACCATCAACTGGGTGGCTCACAAACAATAGACATTGCTTGCCACAGTTCTAGAGGCTGGGGCCGGGTGTGGTGGCTCAAGCCTGTAATCTCAGCACTTTGGGAGGCTGAGGCAGGTGGATCACGAGGTCGGGAGTTCAAGACCAGCCTGGCCAACATGGTGAAACCTCGTCTCTACTAAAACCACAAAAATTAGCCGGGCATGGTGGCGGGCACCTGTAATCTCAGCTACTAGGGAGGCTGAGGCAGGAGGATTGCTTGAACCCAGGAGGCAGAGGTTGCAGTGAGCTGAGATCATGCCACTGCACTCCAGTCTGGGTGACAGAGCGAGACTCTGCCTCAAAAAAAAAAAAGACAAATGGATACATGATAGATGGATAGATAGGTACATACACAGGTAGATAGATGATAGATTGATAAATGGGTGATAAGAGATAGATAGATAGATAGATAGATAGATAGATAGATAGATGAATGATAGATGATAGATGGATAGATGAATATATAGATGATGGATAGATGGATAGATAGATGGATAACAGATTGATGATGGAAAGATAGACAGATGGATAGATAGATGGATAGAAGATAGATAGATAATAGATTGATGATGGAAAGATAGAAAGTTGGGTAGATGGATAGAAGATGATAGATAGATAGATGATAGACAGATGATAGATGGATAGTTATACAGATGATAGATAGATGGATACATAGATAAACAGAATGGATGGATAGATAGATAACAGATGATAGCTAGATAGATGATCGGTAGATAATGGATACACAGATGGATAATACATACATAGACAACATAAGGAGGGGATAAATGATAGATGAGATAGATAGGTAGATAAATAGATAGATGATAGGTAGGTAGAATAGATAGATGATAAATGGGTAGATTGATAGATGATATATCTAATGATAGATGATAGATACATAGATGATAGATTGATAGATGATAGACAGATGAATGATAGATAAATGATAATACTAAATACATAGATGGATAGATTGATAGATGATAGACATACAAATGATAGATACATAGATACATAGATGGATAGATAGATATATAGATAGATGATAGACACATACATACATACATACAGATGGATAGATACATACATAGATGATAGACACATACATACATACATACATAGATGATAGATACATACATAGATGGATACATAGGTGATAGATACATACATACATAGATGGATACATAGACGATAGATAGACAGATACATACATAGATAGATGGATAGATAGATGATAGACACATACATAGATAGATGGATAGATAGATGATAGATACATAGATACATAGATAGATGGATAGATAGATGATAGATACATGCATAGGTGGATAGATAGATGATAGATACATACATACATAGATAGATGGATAGATAGATGATAGACAGATACATACATATATACACAGATGGATAGATAGATGACAGATAGATACTTACATAGACAAATAGATGATAGACAGACACATACATACATAGATGGCTAGATAGACAGATGATAGATACATACATAGATAGATGATAGACAGATACATCCATACATAGATAGATGGATAGATACATAGGTAGGTGATAGATAGGCAGATATATACATACATACATAGATGGATACATAGATAGATGATAGATACATAGATAGATAGATAGATAGATAGATAGATAGATAGATGATAGATACCTACATACATAGATAGATGGATAGCTACATAGATAGATGATAGATACATACATAGATAGATAGATGGATGATAGGTAGATGATAGATTGATAGATGATAAATTAATATATAGATGATGGATAAATGGATAGATGGATAACAGATTGATGATGGAAAGATAGATGGATAGAAGATAGATAGATAATAGATTGATGATGGAAAGATAGAAAGATGGGTAGATGGATAGAAGATAGATAGATAGATGATAGTTAGATAGATAGATAATAGATGGATAGTTATACAGATGATAGATGGATACATAGATAAACAGAATGGATGGATAGATAGATAATAGATGATAGCTAGATAGATGATAGGTAGATAACGGATACACAGATGGATAATAAATACATAGACAACATAAGGAGGGGATAAATGATAGATGAGATAGGTAGGTAGATACAATAGATAGATGATAGGTAGGTAGAATAGATAGAAAGATAGATGATAGATGGGTAGATTGATAGATGATATATCTAATGATAGATGATAGATACATAGATGATAGATTGATAAATGATAGATAGACAGATGAATGATAGATAAATGATAATACATAGATACATAGATGGATAGATTGATAGATGATAGACAAATGATAGATGCATAGATGGATAGATTGATAGATGATAGACAAATGATAGATACATAGATGGATAGATAGATAGATAGATAGATAGATAGATAGATAGATAGATGATAGACAGATACATACAAACATACAGATGGATAGATACATGGATAGATGATAGACAGATACATACACACATAGATGGATAGATAGATAGATGATAGATAGACATACATACATACATAGATGGATACATAGATAGATGATAGATACATACATACATAGATGGATAGATAGATACATACATACATAGATAGATGGATAGATAGATGATAGATGCATACATAGATAGGTGGATAGATAGATGATAGATACATACATAGATGGATAGATAGATGATAGGTAGACAGATACATACATAGACGGATAGATAGATGATAGACAGACACATACATAGATAGATAGATGGATAGATAGATTGATAGATGATAGACAGATACATACATAGATGGATAGATTGATAGATGATAGACAGATACATACATAGATAGATAGATGGATAGACAGATGATAGACAGATACATACATACATACATAGAGGGATAGATACATAGATGATAGATTGACAGATACATACATACATAGACAGATGGATAGATACATAGATTGATAGATGATAGACAGACACATACATACATACATAGAGGGATAGATACATAGATGATAGTTTGACAGATACATACATACATAGACAGATGGATAGATACATAGATTGATAGATGATAGACACATACATACATACATAGAGGGATAGATACATAGATGATAGATTGACAGATACATACATACATAGACAGATGGATAGATACATAGATTGATAGATGATAGATACATACATACATAGATGGATAGATAGATGATAGATACATACATACATACATACATAGATGGATAGATAGATACATACATACATACATAGATGGATAGAGAGATACATAGATATTATGGCTAAATAGATGGAAGAGTGATAGATACATAGACAAGATAGATGGATACATGACAGATGAATAGCTGGATAAATGATGGATAACATGGATACATAGATAGATGATAGACAAACCCTCTCATGCTGACTCAGGGTTCCCCCACCTCAGCACAGCTGACATTTGGGGCTGGAGGACTCTCTGTGGTGGGGCCATCCTGGGCACTGTACGGTGCTGAGCAGAGACCCTGGGCTCCACCCACCAGATGGGAGCAGCACCCCTGCACTGCACGCACACCTCCAGACGTGATGGCCAAAAATATCTTCAGACATTGCCAGGTGTCTCCTGGACGGTAGGATCTCCTCAGTTGCTGGCAACTGAATTACACAAAACCCACACACATGCACACATTTGAGAATCTTTGAACCTCCAACCATGCAATGCTGGCTCAATGCAAAACAGAACATTAAGGATGGAAGCCCAGCCTGGTGGGACGGGGTGTATGAGTTTGCTGGGGTTGCCATAGCAAAGTCCTGTACGCTGTACAGCTTAGACAACAGACATCGATTCTTCCACAGTCCTGGAGGCTGGAGGTCTGAGGTCAAGGTGTGGGCAAGGCTGGCTCCTCCTGAGGCCTCTCTCCTGGGCTTGGAGACGCTGTCTTCTCCCTGTGTCCTCACAGGGTCGTCCCTCCATGTGTGTCTGTGTCTTCAGCTCCTCTTCTCCTCTTCTTATCAGATGTCTTAGTCCATTGCAGGCTGCTATCACAGAATACCATAGACTGGGTTGCTTATTAACGACAGGCATTGGTCGGGCACGGTGGCTCACACCTGTAATCCCAGTACTTTGGGAGGCCGAGGTGGGTAGATCATGAGGTCAGGAGATCGAGACCATCCTGGCTAACATGGTGAAACCCTGTCTCTACTAAAAAATAGAAAAATAAATTAGCCGGGCGCGGTGGCGGGTGCCTGTAGTCCCAGCTACTTGGGAGGCTGAGGCAGGAGAATGGCATGAACCCAGGAGGCAGAGCTTGCAGTGAGCCCAGATCGCGCCACTGCACTACAGCCTGGGTGACACAGCGAGACTCCATCTCAAAAACAAACAAACAAAACAAAACAAAACAAACAAACAAACAAAAAACAGGCATTGGCTGGGCACAGTGGCTCATGCCTGTAATTCCAGCATTTTGGGAGGCTGAAGTGGGCGGATCACCTGAGGTCGGGAGTTCAAGACCAGCCTGGCAAACATGGAGAAACCCCATCTCTACTAAAAAATACAAAAAATTAGCCAGGTGTGGTGGCGGTCCCAGATACTCGGGAGGCTGAGGCAGGAAAGCCACTTGAACCTGAGAGGTGGAGGTTGCAGTGAGCCAAGATCGTGCCACTGTACTCCAGTCTGGGCGACAGAGCAAGAGTCAGTCTAAAAAAAAAAAAAAAAAGCAAAGAAAAATCTGAAAGTCACGGAAGGGCACATTGAGAGCAGGAGGAGGCTGCAGTAGTCAGGGCTCCAGAGCAGTTAAACCTCTGCCTGCTGGGGTTTCAATGATGTGGCCGTAATGGAGAACTTATAGGGATAAATACAGGCATGTTAAAGGCTGCTGGACCCCATCTCTGGTTAGCACTCCTTCTGGAATGCTGGTATGGGGGACTGAGTTGATTCGTGCCTCCCCATAGATATGTCCACCTGGTGAATGGCACCTTATTTGGAAATAGGGTCCTCACATGTGCAATTAGTTCATGATTTCAAGATATCATGCTGGATTAAGGTGGACCCTAAGTCCAATGACAGGTGTCCTTGTAAGAGACAGAAGAGGAGACACAGACACAGAGGAGAAGGCCACGTGGAGATGGAGGCAGAGACTGCAGTGATGCGGCCACAAGCCCAGGGATGCCTGGAGCCCCCAGGAGCTGGAAGAGGCAGGAAGCACCCTCCCCTAGAGCCTCCAGAAGGAAGCAAACACAATTGCAATGGTTTAGATGGTGAGCTCCAAACCATATGTCCATGTCCTAAGCCCCAGAGCCTGGGAATGGGACCTCATTTGGAAAAAGGATCTTTGCAGATATGATTAACAATCTGGAGATGAGATCATCCTGGAGAAGGACGGGCCCTAAACACAATGACAGGTGTCCTTGTAAGAGACAGAAGAGGAGACACAGACACAGAGAAACCCACGTAGAGACGGAGGCAGAGACTAGAGTGATGCGGCCACAAGCCCAGGGATGCCTGGAGCCCCCAGGAGCGGGAGAGGCAGGAAGGACCCTCCCCTAGAGCCTTCGGAGGGAGCGTGGCCCTGCCTATTCCTTGATTTCAGATGTCTGGGCTCCAGAGCTGTAATACAATTAAGTTTTGCTGTTTTAAGCCCCAGGGTTTTGAGTGACAGTTACCAGCAACCCCCACTGTAGGTCACTAAACCCTCCAGCTTTGCCTGTACCCGTGTAGGAAGAGGCAGCCTTCACTTCATCTTCTATAGAGAATTACTGTAATTTCCTTTGCTATTTTTCTTTATGTTTAATATCTCACCCGCAGCTGGGCCCGGTGGCTCACACCTGTAATCCCAGCACTTTGGGAGGCTGAGTCGGGTGGATCACCTGAGGTCAGGACTTCGAGACCAGCCTGGCCAACACAGCGAAACCCCATCTCTATTAAAAGTACAAAAATTAGCTCGATGTGATGGCAGGTGCCTGTAATCCTAGCTACTCAGGAGGCTGAGGCAGGAGAATCGCTTGAACCTGGGAGGCGGAGGTTGCAGTGAGCCGAGATTGCACCATTGCACTCCAGCCTGGGCGACACAGTGAGACTCGGTCTCAAAAAACAAAGAAAGAAACAAACAGAAAAGAAAGAAACAAACAAACAAAAACCTTCACCTGCATGGAGTTTATGTTATATGCAGTACAGTTTATAAACTTATGATTCCTTCTATCGCTTCAAAACGAAGAAAGTTACTTCTCCAAAATTCTGAAATGTGAATCTATGTGCTTTTTAAAATTTTTTTTCAAAAACTCACAATATTGAAAATCAGACATCACATGGTTTAGATGCTTTTTTCCTCTCTTTTATTTGGCTCTTCTGTGACTTCTCTGACTACAGTTTTTCGTTTTCTCCGTAATGTGTTGGACACCCTCGGATGTCATTCCACAGTTAACAAAATTAACTGTAGGATTCCATTTTCTGCATCTACACATCACTGGCATAGGCTCTGGGTATATTATTATTTTTGACATTTTATTTTAAAATCTTTTGAGTCACAAAGGCTGGGGAAACAGTGCCCGGAGTCTCCACGCCACGCTGGGTTTATGTGGAGCAGGTGCGGCTGGGCTCTGGGGTTTAAGAAAAATCCTCGCACAGCTCACGCGCGCCCCCTGCAGCCTGCGGCGCGCAAGGGACCCGCTGCCCTGGAGGTGGGCTCCGTTTAGGGAGGGAAGGCACAGCCGGGCGTCCCCCACCTCACAGCGCCCGCCCTGGTCCCATCCCTGCGCCCCCAGCACCGCGCCCCCAGGGGGTCCCCACGCCGCGCCCATCACCACGCCCGCGCGGATCCCCAGTGTCCACGCCCCTCCCACAAGGACCCCCACCTTCTCCACGCCCCTCCCACCAGGCACGCGGGGACCCCCCCCCCACCCATCTCCCCGCCCTTCCCACCCGGCCCGCGGGGACCCCCATATCCATACCCCTCCGAGCATTCTCGCGGGGACCCTCATCTCCAAACCCCTCCCACCATCCCCGCGGGGATCCCCATCTCCACGCCCCTCCCACCAGGCCCGTGGACACCCCCATCTCCACGCCCCTCCCACCAGGCCCGTGGACACCCCCATCTCCACGCCCCTCCCACCAGGCCCGTGGACACCCCCATCTCCACGCCCCTCCCACCAGGCCCGTGGACACCCCCATCTCCACGCCCCTCCCACCAGGCCCGTGGACACCCCCATCTCCACGCCCCTCCCACCAGGCCCGTGGACACCCCCATCTCCACTCCCCTCCCACCAGGCACGAGGACATCCCCATCCCCACGCCACTCGCACCGGGTCCGCGGGGAACCCCCTATCTCTACCTTCCCCGACGCGGCTCCCACAAGACCCCCATCTCTGCGCCGGGCCCCTCCACGTGCGGGTAAGAACCCCCCACCCCCACAACTGCCCACAACCGCAGCTGCGGAAACCCAGCATTTCCACTCCCCACGCCGCGCCTGCAAGGAACCCCAAGTATCCACGCCAGCCTTTCCTCCCCGGGACCCCGCAGCTGCCTGCGCCATTGCAGGTCTTGGCGCCGCAGGCGGGGTGGGGAGGGGCGGGGCGAGCGCCGGGGGCGGGGACGGGGCCCGGGAGGCGGAGCTGGGGGCGGTGCTTCACCAAGCGGCCGGGGCGGTGCCCGGGGGGGAGGCGGGCGGGGGTGTGGCCTGGGCGTGGCCTCACGGGGAGCTCAATGGCGGCGTGGCATGGGCGTGGCCTGGCGGAGAGGGCAAGGAGGTGTGGCCTGGGCGTGGCCTGGCGGAGCGGTCAATGGCGGCGTGACATGGGCGTGGCCTGGCGGAGAGGGCAATGGAGGTGTGGCCTGGGCGTGGCCTGACGGAGAGGGCAATGGAGGCGTGGTCTGGGCGTGGTCTCAGGGGAGATCAATGGGGCGTGACATGGGCGTGGCCTGGTGGAGAGGGCAATGGAGGTGTGGCCTGGGCGAGGCCTGACGGAGTGTTCAATGGAGGCGTGGCCTGGGCGCGGTCTCGCGGGGAGGCCACTGAAGGCGCGGACTGGGCGTGGCCTCGCGGAGGCGGGCGGGGGCGTGGCCTCGCGGAGGCGGGACTCTGGCCGCCTGTTTTTTTTGCAGCCGCGCTGCGCGCACCGCGGGCTCCGGGCTCAGAAGTGCGGACGCCCGGCTCCCGGCGTGGACGCCATGGTGCTGTGCCCGGTGATTGGGAAGCTGCTGCACAAGCGCGTGGTGCTGGCCAGCGCCTCCCCACGCCGTCAGGAGATCCTCAGCAACGCGGTACGGCCTGGGCCTGGGCGGGGCAGGGGACCGGGGACGGAGGGGCTGAACCCCGGAGGGCCCAGCGACTCAGGAACTCTAGGGATAGGGATGGGAGAGTGACCCGAGACCCTTAGGGATGGGGGAGGGGAGAGTGTCCCGGGACCTCCAGGGATAGGGTTGGGGAGAGTGACCCGGAACCTCTAGGGATGGGGGAGGGGAGAGTAACCCGGAACCCCCTAGGCATGGGGGTGGGGAGTGACCTGGGTCCCCATAGGGATGGGGGAGGGGATCGTAACCCGGGACCCCTAGGAATGGGGAGGGTAGAGTGACCCAGGACCGCTAGGGATGGGGACAGCAGAGTGACCCCGGAGCCCCATGGATGGGGATGAGGAGAGTAACCCGGGACCCCCAGGCATGGGGATGGGGAGAGTAACCCGGGACCTCCAGGGTTGGGGATGGGGAGAGTAAGCCGAGACCCCCCCTAGGGATGGGGGTGGGGGAGTAACCCGGGACCCCTAGGGATGGGGGAGAGGAGAGTAACCCGGGACCCCCAGGCATGGGGATGGGGAGAGTAAGCCGAGACCCCCAGGAATGGGGTTGGGGAGAATAACCCGGGACCCCTAGGGATGGGGTTGGGGAGAGTGACCCAGGACCCCCTAGGGATGGGGGAGGGGAGAGTAACCCGGGACCCCCCTAGGGGTGGGGGAGGGGAGAGAAACCCGGGACACCTTAGGGATGGGGTTGGAGAGAGTAACCTGTAACCTGGGACCCCCTAGCGATGGGGGTGGGGAGAGTAACCCAGGACGCCCTAGGCATGTGGTTGGGGAGAGTGACCCGGGACCCCCTAGGGATGGGGAGGGAGGAGTGACCCAGGACCGCTAGGGATGGGGACAGCAGAGTGACCCCGGAGCCCCATGGATGGGGATGGGGAGAGTAACCCGGGACCCCCAGGCATGGGGATGGGGAGAGTAACCCGGGACCTCCAGGGTTGGGGATAGGGAGAGTAAGCCGAGACCCCCCTAGGGATGGGGGTGGGGAGAGTAACCCGGGACCCCTAGGGATGGGGGAGAGGAGAGTAACCCGGGACCCCTAGGAATGGGGAGGTCAAGTGACCCGGGACCCCCCTAGGGATGGGGGTGGGGAGAGTGACCCGAAACCCCTAGGCATGGGGTTGCAGGGAGTGACCCAGAACCCCCTAGGAATGGGGATGGGAGAGTAACCTGGGACCCCCTAGGGATGGGGGAGGGGAGAGTAAGCCGGGATCCCCCTAGGGATGGGGGTAGGGAGAGTAACCCGGGACCCAAAAGGATGAGGGAGGGGAGAGTGACCTGGAACCCCTAGGCATGGGGTTGGGGAGAGTGACCCAGGACCCCCTAGGGATGGGGGAGGGAAGGGTGACCCGGGACCCCCAAGGAATGGGGAGGGGAGAGTGACCCAGGACCACCTAGGGATGGGGAAGGGGAGAGTAACCCAGGACCCCCTAGGGATGGGGGTGGGGAGAGTAACCCAGGACGCCCTAGGCATGGGGTTGGGGAGAGTGACCTGGGACCCCCTTAGGGATGGGGAGGGAGGAGTGTCCCAGGACCCCCTAGGGATGGGGAGGGAGGAGTGTCCCAGGACCCCCTAGGAATGGGGAGGGGAGAGTGATCCAGGACCGCCTAGGGATGGGGGAGGGGAGAGTGATCCGGAATCCCTAGGTATGGGGGAGGGGAGAGTGACCCAGGACCCCCTAGGAATGGAGAAAGCAGAGTGACCCGGGACCCCTAGGGATGGGGGAGGGGAGAATAACCCAGGACCCCTAGGGATGGGGGAGGGGAGAGTGAGCCAGGACCCCCTAGGAATGGGGAGGGCAGAGTGACCCGGGACCCATAGGGATGGGGGAGGGCAGAGTGACCCGGGACCCCTAGGGATGGGGGAGGGGAGAGTGATCCAGTACCGCCTAGGGATGTGGGTGGGGAAAGTAACCTGGGACCCCTAGGGTTGGGGGAGGGGAGAGTAACCCGGGAACCCTAGGGATGGGGGAGGGGAGAGTAACCCAGAACCCCTAGGGATGGGGTTGGGGAGTGTGACCCGGAACCCCCTAGGGATGGGGGAGGGGAGAGTGACCCAGAACCCCTAGGGATGGGGGAGGGGAGAGTGACCCAGAACCCCTAGGGATGGGGGAGGGGAGAGTGACCCAGAGCCCCTAGGGATGGGGGAGGGGAGAGTGACCCAGGATGCCCTAGTGATGGGGGAGGGGAGTGTGATCCAGGACCTCCTAGGGATAAGGGAGGGGAGAGTAATCCAAGACCCCTAGGAATGGGGGAGGGGAGAGTAACCCGGGACCCCCTAGGGGTGGGGGAGGGGAGTGACCTGGGACCCCTAGGGATTGGGGAGGTGAGTGACTCAGGACTTCTAGGGATGGAGTGGGCCCTGTGACTGATGGTTGGACTTTGTAGCTGGGGTATGGGAAGTGTTTCCTGGTGCCCCCATGAGGATCTTATTCCGGGTGGTAGGACGCCTAGGTAGTGGGTGTCTGCCTCTCTCTGGAGCCCTAATCACATGGAGGAGACGGTCTAGTGATGAAGGGATAGTTACTTGTGATGGGGGGTAGTTACTGGTGACAGGCGGATAGTTATAGGTGATGTGGGATAGTTACTGGTAATGGGGTGATAGTTACTGGTGATGGGATAGTTACTGGTGATGGGGGCATAGTTACTGGTGATGGAAGGATAGTTACTGGTGATGGGGGATAGTTACTGGTGATGGGAGATAGTTACTGGTGATGGGGCGTAGTTACCGGTGATGAGGGATAGTTACTGGTGATGATGGGGCATATTTACTGGTGGTGGGGGTTAGTTACTGGTGATGGTGGGATAGTTACTGGGTTTGATGATGGGGCATAGTTATTGGTGATGGGGGTAGTTACTGGTGATGTGGGGATAGTTACTGGTGATGGGAGGATAGTTACTGTTGATGGGAGATAGTTACTGGTGATGGGGGGATAGTTACTGGTGATGATGGGGCATAGTTACTGGTGATGGGGGATAGTTACTGGTGATGGTGGATAGTTACTGGTGATGGGGGGTAGTTACTGGGTTTGATGATGGGGCATAGTTACTGGTGATGGGGGGTAGTTACTGGTGATGTGAGGTAGTTACTGGTGATGGCAGAGAAGTTACTGGTGATGGTAGGGTAGTTACTGGTTGCCTATGGATGGTGCAGTGGGGCAGGAGTCTACTCTTGGGGACTACGGACTGGAGGTCTGGTACCCTGGGAGGGGGGACACCACATGCCTGGTCCTAGTGACGGGGATGAGAGTGGTCAGGGTGCCTCACAGAAGGCATGGGTCTCCATGATTGGGGGTGACAGGGCATAGGGCAGGGGTCTATATGATCTGGGGTTGAGATCTGCAGGGCAGGTCCAGGGCTTGGTGACTGGTGCCCTGAAGACCAGGATGGGCGTCAGGGCCAGGATCTGGGGGCACCTTCAAGAGGTGAGGAGCGCTGAGGAGTGTAGAAGAGTGGAAGAAAGACGAAAAAAGAAAAGCAGCTTCACAGTCAAAGACGGGTTTATTTTGGAGAACAAGCCTGAGCGGGGCTTCTGGCTGAGTTAGGTCAGGAGTGTTCTCTCTTACAGACTAAGGGTATTTAAGGGTTTAGGAAGGGGAATCTTATCGCAGGCTCGGAATGTTTCCCTGTGAGGCAAAGTTGACTGAGGTGTTAGAATGTCTCTGGTCTGAAGGAGGTTATCTTGGGCTTGGGATGTTTCTGGTCAGAGGCGGTTTATTTCAGGCTTTGACTGTTTCTGGTCATGCTGACATTAGCCATTAGGCTGATGTTTTGGGGCTGGTTTTAGGCAGTTTTTAATCACGGGAACTTAAAATGGCAATGCTTGTCCAAGATGGCGGTGTGTGTCCAAGATGGTGGTGTGTGTCAAAGATGACCATGCATGTCCAAGATGGCAGTGCTTGTCCAAGATGGTGGTGCTTATCCAAGATGGCGGTGTGTGTCCAAGATGGTGGTGCTTATCCAAGATGGTGGTGTGTGTCCCAGATGGTGTGTGTCCAAGATGGTGGTGCTTCTCCAAGATGGCAGTGTGTGTCCAAGATGGTGTGTCTCCAAGATGGTGGTGCTTATCCAAGATGGCGGTGTGTGTCCAAGATGGTGGTGCTTATCCAAGATGGCCGTGTGTGTCCAAGATGGTGTGTGTCCAAGATGGTGGTGCTTATCCAAGATGGCAGTGTGTGTCCAAGATGGCGGCATGTGTCCAAGATGGTGGTGCTTATCCAAGATGGCAGTGTGTGTCCAAGATGTTGTGTGTCCAAGATGGTGGTGCTTTTCCAAGATGGTGGTGTGTATCCAAGATGGTGGCGTGTCCAAGATGGCGGTGTGTCCAAGATGGTGGTGCTTGTCCAAGATGGTGTTATGGGTCCAAGATGGCAGTGTGTGTCCCAGATGGTGTGTGTCCAAGATGGTGGTGCTTATCCAAGATGGCGGTGTGTGTCCAAGATGTTGTGTGTCCAAGATGGTGGTGCTTATCCAAGATGGCAGTGTGTGTCCAAGATGGTGTGTGTCCAAGATGGTGGTGCTTATCCAAGATGGCGGTGTGTGTCCAAGATGGTGGTGCTTATCCAAGATGGCGGTGTGTGTCCAAGATGGTGTGTGTCCAAGATGGTGGTGCTTATCCAAGATGGCTGTGTGTGTCCAAGATGGTGTGTGTCCAAGATGGTGGTTCTTATCCAAGATGGCGGTGTGTGTCCAAGATGGTGTGTGTCCAAGATGGTGGTTCTTATCCAAGATGGCGGTGTGTGTCCAAGATGGTGGTGCTTTTCCAAGATGGTGTTGTGTATCCAAGATGGCGGTGTGTCCAAGATGGCGGTGCTTGTCCAAGATGGTGTTATGGGTCCAAGATGGCAGTGTGTGTCCCAGATGGTGTGTGTCCAAGATGGTAGTGCTTATCCAAGATAGCTGTGTGTGTCCAAGATGGTGGTGCTTATCCAAGATGGCGGTGTGTGTCCAAGATGGTGGTGTGTGTCAAAGATGGCCATGCATGTCCAAGATGGCAGTGCTTGTCCAAGATGGTGTGTGTCCAAGATGGTGGTGCTTCTCCAAGATGGCGGTGTGTGTCCAAGATGGTGTGTCTCCAAGATGGTGGTGCTTATCCAAGATGGCGGTGTGTGTCCAAGATGGTGTGTCTCCAAGATGGTGGTGCTTATCCAAGATGGCCGTGTGTGTCCAAGATGGTGTGTGTCCAAGATGGTGGTGCTTCTCCCAGATGGCGGTGTGTGTCCAAGATGGTGGTGCTTCTCCAACATGGCCGTGTGTGTCCAAGATGGTGTGTGTCCAAGATGGTGGTGCTTATCCAAGATGGCAGTGTGTGTCCAAGATGGTGGTGCTTCTCCAAGATGGCCATGTGTGTCCAAGATGTTGTGTGTCCAAGATGGTGGTGCTTATCCAAGATGGCGGTGTGTGTCCAAGATGGTGTAATGGGTCCAAGATGGCAGTGTGTGTCGAAGATGGCAATGCTCCTGCTCTGTGAATCCAGACCCTCTAGTTATAACAGGACGAGGGGTGGTGTGTTCTTTCTGGCCACTTCCTGCTGAGGGAGGTGGTTATTACGGGTCACCAAACACAGCCCTGGAGGGGAAGAGGTTGATTTGTTCCTGGTAGCACTCTTTAGGGGCCTTCCAAGCAGCACCCGTTGAAACATCTAGCTTTTAGTTCACAGGGCTTTAAGAAAGCAGAACTTGGGTTTCAGAGGTTTTCAGTTAGGAAAAATTGGAGAAAAAGAAAAAGGAAAAGAATGCAAAACATTATCTTGGAGACATGTAGCCAGAAAAATTAGAATTTAATTCAAACCG
This sequence comes from Homo sapiens, assembly GCF_000001405.40. Classification (NCBI taxonomy): domain Eukaryota; kingdom Metazoa; phylum Chordata; class Mammalia; order Primates; family Hominidae; genus Homo; species Homo sapiens. The sequence goes on along the minus strand of NC_000023.11, from coordinate 1,446,923 downwards.
TAGAAAAGAATAAAAACTGAAAACCATTAGGCAAGACTAGAATTTCACGACAGGGGTAACTATAGTTTTTCAAACACGATTTTTCTTTTTCCAGTTTTCCCACTTTTATTAAAAGACAAATTATGGGCTGGGCATGGTGGCTCATGCCTGTAATCCCAGCAGTTTGGGAGGCCGAGGTTGGCGGATCACGAGGTCAGGAGATCGAGACCATCCTGGCTAACATGGTGAAACCCCGTCTCTACTAAAATTACAAAAAATTAGCCGGGCGTGGTGGCGGGCGCCTGCAGTCCCAGCTACTTGGGAGGCTGAGGCAGGAGAATCGCTTGAACCTGGGAGGCAGAGGTTGCAGTGAACCGAGATGGCACCACTGCACTCCAGCCTGGGCGACAGAGCAAGACTCCGTCTCAAAAAAAAAAAAAAAAATGTCATGAGATGTAGGGACCAGCCCCACAGGGTCAGTGGATCTCTCCCTGTGTGCGGAGGCATGAGAGTGTAGAAATAAAGACACAAGACAAAGAGATAAAAGAAAAGGCAGCTGGGCCCGGGGGACCACTACCACCAAGACGCGGAGACTGGTGGTGGTCCCGAATGCCAGGCTGCGCTGATATTTATTGGATACAAGACAAAGGAGCAGGGTAAGGAGTGTGAGCCATCTCCAATGATAGGTAAGGTCACGTGAGTCACGTGTCCACTGGACAGGGGGCCCTTCCCTGCCTGGCCGCCGAGGCAGAGAGAGAGAGGAGAAGGAGAGAAACAGCTTACGCCATTATTTCTGCTTATCAGACACTTTTAGTACTTTCACTAATTTGCTCCTGCTAACTAAAGGCAGAGCCAGGTGTACAGGATGGAACATGAAGGCGGACTAGGAGCGTGTGACCACTGAAGCAAAGCACCACAGGGAGAGGGTTAGGCCTCCGGATAACTGCGGGCGGGTCTGACTGATGTCAGGTCCTCCACAGGAGGTGGAGGAGCAGAGTCTTCTCTAAACCCCCCCAGGGAAAGGGAGACTCCCTTTGGTGACCCCGTCTGGGCATAACAGAAGGCTCGCGCTCGTCTTCTGGTCGCACCTCACCATGTCCCCTCAGCTCCTATCTCTGTATGGCCTGGCTTTTCCTACATTATGATTCTAGAGCAAGGATTATTATAAGATTGGTATAAAGAGTAATTACTACCAACTAATGATTAATGATATTCATATATAACCATATCTAAGATCTATATCTGGTATAACTTTCTCGTTTTATATTTTATCATATACCGGAAGAGCTCGTGTCCTCGGTCTCTTGCCTCAGCACCTGGGTGTCTTGCCGCCCACAATGAGAGGTGCAACTTGACATAGGGAGGGTAGAAGATAGCCTGAGTATAGGGAACCTCTTGCCATTTCCTGGTGATAAAGTTGTCAAGGTCCCTGAGAATTTGCAAGTTAAAGGTGCTATGTTCGGGCCATCTGCTGTCATTATGTAGTTTGTATTGATGCCAGACTATTGCAATAAAAAATTCAACACTCTGGCTTTAGGTTCCTCTGTAAGCCAAGTTTGGCCAGGTTGGAAAGGAGACATCCCAGAGAGGAGGACATAGGAATGTCGGGTTGTTTGGCACCCACGTGGGCTGGTAAAAGGAAGCCGAGAGTGTCTGTTTGTGTTTTAGGCAACCCCAGACAAAAGACAGAGACCCAGAATCCTCTTTATAAGGAGGACGGCCAAGCTGAGAAGATACTGGGCATCCCTCAAGATCGCTTCTAGCTTAGTGCCGCTGGTCCTCCGAGGACTGGGATGGCCGACCTGACTTTTCCTGGGTACCAAAAGTCAGAGGAGGGCAGATCTTACCAGACGGCTGGATTTGTGTCTGATGTTGGATGTTCCTGTTGGAATTGGCAAAGGGGCTCCCAAACTGGAGCCGCGCAGGGAAGACAGAGAGAGAGAGAGAAGAGGGAAGAAGACGGACGAAGAGAGAGGAAGACGAAGCAAGGGTTAGGGAGCGAAATACCTGTTGCAGGGGGTCAGAGGTGGATTTCTGAGACCTGAGGGTTTTGAGAACCCTCCAGCTTGAGCCTCTAAGTCCCCTTTACATGAGTTGTCTTCCTCACACAAATTGCTTGGAAGGTGAATGGAGAGAAAAGATGGGAGGGGTGGCCAGAGACCCTCACGATCCAGGAGTTAGCCCAGGATGAGCTGCTGCTGCCCACAGCTTCCTGGGTTGCAAGAGAACCTCCACTCCCAACACTCAAAGAGGGAGAGAGAGAAAGGACAGGGTCAGAGGGCCAGAGGCTCTAAAGGATCCAGGAGTTAGCCCGGGACAGGCTGCCCCTGCCCACTGCATCCTGGGTTGCAAAAGGGCCTCTGTCCGTAACACCTGTCCTGGGTTTCGGCACCAAATGTAAGAGTTTAAGAAGGAGGAAACAAATATAGAAAGTGAGCCTGGGCGCAGAGGCTCACATCTGTAATCCCAGCACTTTGGGAGGCCGAGGCGGGCGGATCACCTGAGGTCAGGAGTTCGACACCAGCCTGACCAACATGGTGAAACCCCATCTCTATTAAAAATACAAAAATTAGCCGGGTGTGGTGGCGCCCACCTGCAATCCCAGCTACTCGGGAGACTGAGGCAGGAGAATCGCTTGATCCTGGGAGATGGAGCTTGCAGTGAGCCGAGATGGCATCACTGCCCCTCCAGCCTGGGCGACACAGCGAGACTCCGTTTCAAAAAAAAAAAAAAAAATACAAAAAGTGGCTCAGCAAAGGGTTTTGGAAAAGGGGGCTTCTCGCAGGCTCGGAATGTTTCTGTGTGAGGGAAAATTGATTGCGGGGTTGGACTGTCTCTGGTCGGAGGGGAGGTTTCTGGTCACAGAGGGGTTTATCCCACGGCTGGAATGTTTCTGGTCATGCTGACATTAGCCATTAGGCTGATGTTTGGGGGCTGGATTTAGGCAGTTTTTAATCAAGGGAACTTAAAATGGAAGTGTGTGTCCAACATGGCAGTGTCTGTCCAAGACGGGGGTGTCTGTCCAAGATGGCGGTGTGTGTCCATGATGGGGGTGTCTGTCCACGACGGCGGTGTCTGTCCACGATGGTGGTGTGTGTCCTCGATGGCCAAAATGGCGGTGTGTGTCCACGATGGTGTCTGTCCACGATGGGGGTGTGTGTCCACGATGGCCAAGATGGCAGTGTGTGTCCACGATGATGTCTGTCCACGATGGGGGTGTGTGTCCACGATGGCCAAGATGGCAGTGTGTGTCCACGATGGCGGTGTGTGTCCATGATGGCGGTGTGTGTCCATGATGGCGGTGTCTGTCCACGATGGCGGTGTCTGTCCACGATGGCGGTGTCTGTCCAAGATGGCGGTGTGTGTCCATGATGGCGGTGTGTGTCCAAGATGGAGGTGTCTGTCCAAGATGGCGGTGTGTGTCCACAATGACACTGTGTCCATGATGGCCAAGATGGCGGCATGTGTCCACGATGGTGGTGTGTGTCCAAGATGGCGGTGTCTGTCCAAGATGGCGGTGTGTGTCCAAGATGGCGGCGTGTGTCCAAGATGGCGGCGTGTGTCCATGATGGTGGTGTGTGTCCAAGATGGCGGTGTCTGTCCAAGATGGCGGTGTGTGTCCAAGATGGCGGTGTGTGTCCAAGATGGCGGTGTGTGTCCATGATGGCGGTGTGTGTCCAAGACGGCGGCGTGTGTCCACGACGGCGGTGTGTGTGCACGACGACGGTGTGTGTCCCAGATGGCAGTGTGTGTCCACGATGGCGGTGTGTGTCCACGATGGCGGTGTGTGTCCAAGATGGCGGCGTGTGTCCACGACGGCGGTGTGTGTCCACGACGACGGTGTGTGTCCCAGATGGCAGTGTGTGTCCACGACGACGGTGTGTGTCCACGATGGTGGTATGCGTCCAAGATGGTGGTGTCTCTCCAAGATGGCGGTGTGTGTCCAAGATGGCGATGCTTTTGCTCTGTCAGAGGGGAGATGGTCAGAGGGGAGATGCGGAGTTCCCTGCACCCTGGCAGGGTGTGGCAGCCAGGGGCTCCCCCACTGGAGGCATTTACCACCATCATTCCTGACCCCACGGTCTCTGCAGGGGTCACTACCTCTAGGCCAGGCCTCCCCAGGGGCGGTGTTGTCTCTTCCTGGGTACCAGGGATTGACGTAGAGCCATCATTGTCTCCCTTCCCACAGCCATCATTGCTGGCGTTTTTCCTGAATTTCCTGTGGGCAGGTTGGGTTTTGTACTCTGCCCCAACCTTCAGGTCTCTGGGAATCCTCGGACACTGTTGGCTCGTGGGTTCAAGGCCCGAGTCAATACCTCCCTGCTGGCCTCTTTGTTCCTGGCTTCTTCCTTTGCCAATCTCTTCCCTCGAGAGCCAAGAAGGCCCCTGGTCAGTCCCTGAAGGCCCCTGGTCAGTCCGCGGCCCACTAACCACACTTAGGGAAAGCCCTGGTCAGTCCCCGGCTCCCCAGCCACACTTAGGGAAAGCTTGGCGGATGGATGAGCTCACCTGGGACAGGGTCGGGGAGTGTAGCAAACGCTATGTGCGTCCTGCAAATCTTGCATGTCCCATTCACTTTTCATAGGGTCTTTCATTGACCCTTCTGACCCCTTTTCTACTGTTGCAGGGTCTCAGGTTTGAGGTGGTCCCCTCCAAGTTTAAAGAGAAGCTGGACAAAGCCTCCTTCGCTACTCCGTATGGGTACGCCATGGAGACCGCCAAGCAGAAGGCCCTGGAGGTGGCCAACCGGCTGTACCAGGCAAGGGGCCCCTGCCCTTCGGCCCTTATGAAAATTCCTTTGCTGTGATGAGGGGATTTGCGGGTGGTAAATATACATGACACAAATAAACGTCATTCAAAAGATGCAGTTGGTGGCACAGCTTAGCTATTGCTATGTTATAATGTAATGCACTATTGCAGTAACCTAATAATACCATTAATGATACAGAATTAATGGAGCTTATCTGTTACTGTGTGTTATAATATTCTCTTGCAATTGATACAGTATCATTGATGATATACAATTAATGTAGCTTATCTGTTACTATGTGTTATAATAATTTCTCGCAATTGATACAGTATCATTTATGATATACAATTAATGTAGCTTATCTATTACTATGTGTTATAATATCCTCTTGCAATTGATATCATAGTATCATTGATGATACAGAATTAATGTAGCTTATCTATTACTATGTGTTATAATATTGTCACAATTGATATCACAGTATCATTTATGATATAGAATTAATGTAGATTATCTGTTACTATGTGTTATAATATTCTCTTGCAATTGATTTCATAGTATCATTTATGATATAGAATTAATGTAGCTTATCTATTACTATGTATTATAATCTCTTGTGGCCGGTCGCGGTGGCTCATACCTATAATCCTAGCACTTTGGGAGGCCAAGGCGGACAGATCACCTGAGGTCAGGAATTCGAGACCAGCCTGACCAACAGGGTGAAACCCCGTCTCTACTAAACATACAAAAATTAGCTGGGCGTGGTGGCGGGTGCCTGTAATCCCAGCTACTCAGGAGGCTGAGGCAGGAGAATTGCGTGAACCTGGGAGACGGAAGTTGCAGTGAGCCGAGATCATCCCACTGCACTCCAACTTAGGCAACAGAGCAAGACTTCGTCTCCAAAAAATAAAAAATTAAAACAAAAATTATCTTGCAATCAATATAATAGTCTCGTTGATGATATACAATTAATGTAGCTTATCTATTACTATGTGTTATAATATTCTCTTGCAATTAATATAATAGTATCATTTATGATATAGAATTATGTAGCTTATTACCATGCCACTAAGTAATATCGGATTTTAATTAAAATAATATCATTTATAATATAGAATTATGCAGTTTATCTGTTGCTGTATGCTACAATGCAATATACAATTATAATTAATATACTACTATCATTTAAGATTTAAGATTCATGTAGCTTGTTACTATGTTTGAATATAATATTGCAATTAATATAGTAATATCAGTTACGATATAGAATTAACATCCATTACTATGTGTTGTGATACATAGAATTAATATGTTACTGTGTGATACTATGTAATATACTATGACAATTAATATAATTGTATCATAATGTAGAATTATGTCATTTATCTGTTACTATATGCTCCTATGTAATACATATTATTTTAGTAGAGATGGGGCTTCACCATGTTGGCCAGGCTGGTCTCCAACTCCTGACCTCAGGTGATCCACCCGCCTCGGCCTCCCGGAGTGTTGGGATTACAGGCGTGAGCCACCGCACCCCACCGTAATACACTATTATAATTAATACACTACTGTCATTTAGGATGTACAATTAATGTAGCTTATCAATTACTATATGTTATATATGACTCTAACATAATGTCAGTCACAGTATATAAAATTAACATAGCTATTACTGTGTGTTTTAACTTGCTGTTACAATGAATATAATGCTATCATTTAGGATATAGAGTTAATGTAGCTTCCCTGCTGCTGTGTGTTACCACACAATATACCATTACTGTTAATATAAGAAATACATTCGGGGCCGGGTGCAGTGGCTCACACCTGTCATCCCAGCACTTTGGGAGGCCGAGGCGGGCGGATCACGAGGTCAGGAGTTCAAGACCATCCTGGCTCACACGGTGAAACCCCGTCTGTACTAAAAACACACACAAAATATTGGCTGGGCGCGGTGGCGGGCGCCTGTAGTCCCAGCTACTCGGGAGGCTGAGGCGGGAGAATGGCGTGAACCCGGGAGGCGGAGCTTGCAGTGAGCCGAGGTCGCGCCACTGCCCTCCAGCCTGGGCGACAGAGCGAGACTCCATCTCAAAAAAAAAAAAAAAGAAAGAAAGAAATACATTAGAGGTAAGGCTGTTGTGAGTCGTGCTATCAAGACAGGAGTATTGATTGTGGGTTTTGGCAGTGCACAGCTTAGGGAGGCCAGTGCGGGGCTGAGCTAAGGTCAAAGCTGCACACAGATGTCCTGTGACTGCCTGTTGCTCTGAGGCTGAATTTTCAACCTGGATTTGTTTTATCGTCCTAAGTACCTTTTTCTTTTTCTTTCTTTTCCTTGTTTTTTTTTTTCTTTTTTTTTTTGGAGACTGAGTCTCACTCTGTCACCCAGGCTGGAGTGCAGGTGCGCAACCTTGGCTCACTGCAACCTCCGCCTCCTAGGTTCAAGCGATTCTGCTGCCTCAGCCTCCTGAGTAGCTGAGATTACAGGTGCCCGACTGATATTTTGTATTTTTAGTAGAGACGGGGTTTCACCATGTTGGCCAGGCTGGTCTCGAACTCCTGACCTCAGGAGATGCGCCCGCCTCGGCCTCCCAGAGTGCTGGGATGACAGGCGTGAGCCACCGCGCCCAGCCCTAAGTAGCTTTTTCTGAAATTACATTGAACGGATCAAAAACCTTTTGGCCTTAATTCTGGGTAACTCAGGGAGGTTTGGGGCCCCTGAATCAAACCTTACCTGCCGCCCGGAAGAACAAAAGCTTACGGAACAGGCATTGCGTTTCCCGTAGTGCCCGTGAGATGCTCCGTGAGTGCCTGACCCCTGATCACGCAGCCCCCGTGGGCCCCGGCCTCACCCACGTTCCAGCCCCTGCAGGGCGACCACCGGCGGGACCCACTTGTGTCCTTGCTCGTGACCTTGAGCACCCCCAGCCTTCACTTCCAAAGTCGGCCTGGCTTCGCCCCTGCGGTGCTCTTTCACGCCCGTACCGACGGGAAAACTTCTCTGTGAGACCCACGGCACGTCACCGGTAAACCGGAATCTGGTTTTCTTACAGAAAGACCTGCGGGCCCCCGACGTGGTCATTGGAGCGGACACGATCGTGGTGAGTGCGGCCAGGGTGCCTCGTTTCTAATGTCCGATGTGGTTTTCCTGTGCTTGGTGATTCTGCCTCTTGTGGATGTTGTACATTCCCCTTAAGACAGCAGTGGACTCGCTTCCAGAAACTCCCATCACAAACTACCAGCAGATGAGGGGCCTAAGGGCACGGGAAGGGGCCAGGCGCCGTGGCTCACCCCTGTCATCCCAGCATTTTGGGAGGCCGAGGTGGGCGGATCACCTTAGGTCATGGGTTCGAGATCAGCCCGACCAACACGGTAAAACCCCATCTCTACTAAAAATACAAAAATTAGCCAGACGTGGTGGCTAATTGATAGTATCATAAGTGATACTATATGATATCAATTGCAAGAGAATATTATAACACATAGTAACAGATAAGCTACATTAATTCTATATCATCAATGATACAGAATACAGACTCCGCCTGTAATCGCAGCTACTCGGGAGGCTGAGGCAGGGGAATCGCTCGAACCCAGGAGGCGGGGTTGCAGTGAGCCGAGATCGCGCCACTGCACTCCAGCCTGGGTGACAAGAGCGAGACTCCGTCTCAAAAGGCACAGGAAGGTACGCAGTTCTAGAGGCCAGCAACCACAAATCACGGTGTCTGTAGGGTTTCTTCCTTCCAGAGGTACTGAGGAGAAGTTGGTCTTGGTCTTTCTCCAGCTCCTAGAGGCTGTTGGCAACCCATTGTCTCCTTTGGCTCATGGCCCTGTGGTTCCTATCTGTGCCTCCATCTCCATGTGGCCTTCTCCCCTCTGGGTGTCTGTGGCCAAATTTCCCTCTTCTTTTTTTTTTTTGAGAGAGAGTCTCACTGTGTTGCCCAGGCTGGATTACAGTGGCGTGATCTCGGCTCACCGGGACCTCCGCCTCCCGGGTTCAAGCGATTCTCCTGCCTCCTGAGTAGCTGGGATCACAGGCACCCGCCACCACGCCCGGCTGATTTTTGTATTTTTAGTAGAGACGGGGTTTCACCATGTTGGCCAGGCTGGTCTCAAACTCCCGACCTCAAGTGATCTGCCCACCTTAGCCTCCCACAGTGCTGGGATGACAGGCGTGAGCCACCGCGCCCGGCTGAAATTTTCCCCTTCTTTTAACAACACCACTCATAAAATGCGCATCCTAATTCTGTCCAACCGCATCTTAATTACCTAGGCAAAGACCCATTTCTCCTTTTTTTTTTTTTTGAGATGGAGTCTCACTCTGTCGCCAGGCTGGACTGTAGTGGCATGATCTCAGCTCATTGCAACCTCCGCCTCCCGGGTTTCAATGATTCTCCTGCCTCAGCCTCCCGAGTAGCGGGGACTACAGGTGCGCGCGACCACGTGTGGCTAATTTTTTGTATTTTTAGTAGAGACGGGGTTTCACCATGTTGGCCAGGATGGTCTCGATCTCCTGACCTTGTGATCCACCCGCCTCGGCATCCCAAAGTGCTAGGATTACAGGCGTGAGCCACCACGCCCGGCCCATGTCTTTTGTTCATAAGCCACCCAGTCTATGGTATTCTGTGATAGCAGCCTGAAATGGACTAAGACATCTCATAAGAAGAGGAGATGAGGACACAGACACACACAGAGGGACGACCCTGTGAGGACACAGGGGGAAGACGGCGTCTCCAAGCCCAGGAGAGAGGCCTCAGGAGGAACCAGCCCTGCCCACACCTGGATCTCAGACTTCCAGACTCCAGGATTATGGAAGAATCAATGTCTGCTGTTTATAAGCCACCCAGTCTATAGTATTGTTTTAGCAGCCTGAAATGGACTAAGACACCTCATAAGAAGAGCAGATAAGGACACAGACACACACAGAGGGATGACCCTGTGAGGACACAGGGAGAAGACGGCGTCTACAAGCCTAGGAGAGAGGCCTCAGGAGGAACCAGCCCTGCCCACACCTGGATCTCAGACCTCCAGCCTCCAGGGCTGTGGGAGAATCACTGCCTGTTGTTTATAAGCCACCCAGTCTGTGGTATTCTGTGACAGCAGCCTGAGATGGACTAAAGCATCTCATAAGAAGAGGAGATGAGGACACAGATACAGAGGGACGAGTCTGTGAGGACACAGGGAGAAGATGGCATCTCCAAGCCCAGGAGAGAGGCTTCAGGAGGAACCAGCCCTGCCCACACCTGGATCTCGCCCTTCCAGTCTCCACGACGATGGGAGAATCAATGTCTGTAGTTTAAGCCACCTGGGTTGTAGGACTTTGCTATGGTGGCCCAGTCAGACTAATACATCTACTCTTGTATGTACCCAAAAGGATTCAAAACAGGTGTTCCACCAAAACCTTCTACATGAATGTTCACAGCAGCACTATTCACAACAGCTAAAAGGCAGAAACAGCTCAAGTGTCTGTCAGTGGGTAAATGGGAAATTACAACATGGTCCATCCACACACAGTGGAATATTATGCAGCCATGAACAGGAATGAGGCTGGCCGGGTGCGGTGGCTCACCCCTGTCATCCCAGCACTTTGGGAGGCCGAGGCGGGTGGATCACAAGGTCAGGAGATCGAGACCATCCTGGCCAACATGGTGAAACCCCGTCTCTACTAAAAATACAAAAAATTAGCCGGGTGTGGTGGCGGGCGCCTGTAGTCCCAGCTACTCGGGAGGCTGAGGCAGGAGAATGGCGTGAACCCGGGAGGCGGAGCTTGCAGTGAGCCGAGATCGCGCCACTGCACTCCAGCCTGGGTGATAGAGCGAGACTCTGTCTCAAAAAATAAATAAATAAAAAATAACAAAAATTAGCCAGGCATGGTGGTGTGCACCTGTATTCCCAGCAACTCGGGAGGCTGAGGCAGGAGAATCACTTGAACCCCGGAGGCGGAGGTTGCAGTGAGCCAAGACCGTGCCACTGCACTCCAGCCTGGGCGACAGAGTGAGACTCCATCTCAAGAAAAGGAAAGGAACGAGGCTGTGAAACAGGCTGCAACATGGATGAATGTTGAGGACATCACGGTCAGTGACAGAAACCAGCCCCGGAGGACCACACGTTGCAGGATTCCATGACTACACCACGTCCGCAACAGGCAAACGCACGGTGAAAGAAAGAGGATGGGCGGTTACCAGGATCTGGGGAGGCGCACTGGGGAGGGACAGCTGCGTGGGGACAGGGTCTCCTTCTGGAGTGAAGAGAACATCCTGGAACCAGGCAGGTAGTGGTGGTACAACATGGCAACTCTGGTTAGTTGTTTGAAATGGCGACTCTCAGGACGTGTCAGCTTCATTTCCATAAAACAAGTGACTTCTGCGAATGGGACCGTGGGACTTGCACAGGCCTGACCCAGCCGGTGGGAACCAACTCCCTCTGTCCCTTCCTCTCACAGACAGTCGGGGGGCTGATTCTGGAGAAGCCGGTGGACAAGCAGGACGCCTACAGGATGCTGTCCCGGTAAGCACCATGTTGGCCTCTGAGCCCTCTCGGGTTCTGAGCCACAGAGTAGCTGTGGTATCTGGCCGGGTGTCCTGGGGAGCAGGGTGGATCTCTGTCAGCTCTGCCGTCTGAGCTGTGCTGTCTGAGCTGTGCTGTCTGAGCTATGCAGGGAGGCAGGCACTATCCCTCCATGCTCATCCTTGTCTAGGATTCTGCAGCACTGATCCCAGAATGTCTCATGCCCACTGCAGACTGTTGGGGTCATGAGAAGTTGGCAGTGTCCTGTCCTTCCCACTGGGCATCCTGGACCTGAGCCCGTAGCCTGGGACGTCATCCCCATCCCAGGACGTGGAAGAGATGCACCCCCTGCCCGCCATAGGCCCAGCTGAGAGCTGCCTGGCCTGGCGCCTCCCGTCAGGGCCACTGCTGGTGGGATTTGTGACCCCTTCCCTCGGCCTCTCCGTAAAGGTTTCCCTGGAGACCCCACAGCGGGACGATCGGGGAGAAGATGCTGGGGACGGATCCAGGATTAAGGACGCCTCGCTGCCTCCCCTGGTTTTGAGAAACTCGCTTTGTAGCTCCCACGGGTCACAGCATGGTCACGTGGTCACCCGTTGTTGTCTTACAGGTTGAGTGGGAGAGAACACAGCGTGTTCACAGGTGTCGCGATCGTCCACTGCTCCAGCAAAGGTAACCGCGGCCCAGGTTTCGGGGTAGCCCCAGAGGCCGAGACAAGGACCCGGGACATTCTCGGGACCCTTGGCTTGAGGGAGGAGGACGGTTGCTCACCCCCACCTGTGGAGGGGTTTGTGCCTATGTCCTGCTTGGGAAAGTTGTCCGCCGATTTGGAAGTCTGCAGGACAAAGGAAAACGTGTGGTTTTATCTTTTTCTTTTTCTTTCTTTTTTTTTTTTTTTTGAGATGGAGTCTCGCTCTCTTACCCAGGCTGGAGGGCAGTGGCACGATCTCAGCTCACTGCAACCTCCGCCTCCCAAGTTCAAGTGATCCTTCTGCCTCAGTAGCTGGGATTACAGGTGCCCACCACCATGCCCGGCTAATTTTTGTATTTTTAGTAGAGACGGGGTTTCACCATGTTGGCCAGGCTGGTCTCGAACTCCTGACCTCAGGTGATCCACCCGCCTCAGCCTCCCAAAGTGCTGGGATTACAGGTGTGAGCTACTGCACCCGGCCTTTCTCTTTCTTTCTTTCTTTTTTTTTTTTTTGAGACAGGGTCTCCCTCTGTCACCCAGGCTGGAGTGCAGTGGTGTGATCATAGCTCACTGCAGCCTCGACCTCCTGAGCTCCAGCGATCCTCCCGCCTCAGCCCCTACAGTCACAGAAACTACAGGCACACGCCACCACACCTGGCTCATTTTTGTATTTTTTATAGAGGTGCGGTCTTGCTATGTTGCCCAGACTGGTCTCGAACTCCTGGGCTGAAGAAATCCTCCCATCTCAGCCTCCCAAAGTGCTGGGACTGCAGGTGTTCACCATATTGCTGGGACTGCAGGTGTGCACCACGGTGCCCGGCCCAGGCAGTTGTATCACCATATTGCTGGGTTCTTCCTGCACCAACCCATTCCCAGCTTGTTGGCGGACACCAGGAGGCATCGTAGAATTCAGTCAGTTCTGACAGTAGCCGTCGGAGTTAGCGCAGATCCCACAGGTGAAGGGCCGGGTCCCATGGGACCTCCACGCACAATCCCAGCCCCATATCCCTGGTCACACCTGTAGTTTTCTCACCCACCTGCCGCTCACTGCTGGCTCCTGCAAGCACCTGCTCAGGTTGGGTCATTTGCTCGAGGGGCTCACAGAACTCGGGACAGCACTTTCCTTCCCAGCTTGGGGTTTTGTTATGAAGGAGCAGGTCAGGAAGTGCCAGACAGAAGCCAGGCACAGCGCAGGGTGCTGGGTGCAGGATGTATGGAGCCTCCATGCCCGCCGTGGCACAGCTCTGCCAACACCCTGATGTGTTCACCCACCAGAAGCTCCCTGAACCCTGTCCTTCTGGGTCTCTTTTTTTTTTCTTTTTTGTGACAGAGTCTCGCTTTATCGCCCAGGCTAGAGTGCACTTGCGCCATCTCGGCTCACTGCAAGCTCCGCCTCCCGGGTTCACGCCCTTCTCCTGCCTCAGCCTCCCGAGTAGCTGGGACGACGGGCCCGCCACCACGCCCGGCTAATTTTTTCTATTTTTTTTTTTTTTTTTTTTTTAGTAGAGACGGGGTTTCACCGTGGTAGCCAGGAGGGTCTCGATCTCCTGACCTTGTGATCCGCCCGCCTCGGCCTCCCAAAGTGCTGGGATGACAGGCGTGAGCCACCGCGCGCGGTCCCTTCTGGGTCTCTTAAAAGGCCAGGATTAACGACATCATCCGCCACTGGGGAGCAAACTCCATCTCCAGCCCCCTCCCCCTGTTCCCATGACAACCAAAGCCTGCCCTTTCCAAAAGGCCCCTCATTAACATAAGGTCCCCTGCGGATGAAAGGGGCTTGTCACCACATAGCAAAACGCCTGCTTTCGCTCCTGTCACTCAACAGATTCCCCGGGATTCAGGGGCTCTGTGTCCGGACCCTGAGGCACAGACCAAACATCTGTTTCTTTTATTATTTATTTATTTGAGACAGAGTCTCGCTCTGTCGCCCAGGCTGCAGTACAGTGGCGTGATCTTGGCTCACTGCAACCTCCGCCTCCCGGGTTCAAGCGATTCTCCTGCCTCAGCCTCCCGAGTAGCTGGGATGACAGGTGCATGCCACCACGCCCGGCTAATTTTTGTATTTTTAGTAGAGACGGGGTTTCGCCATGTTGGCCAGGCTGGTCTCGAACCCCTGGCCTCTGGTGATCCATCCGCCTCGGCCGCCCAAACTGCTGTTTCTTTTGTTTTTTTTAGAGACGGAGTCTCGCTCTGTGGCCCAGGCTGGAATGCAGGGGCGCGATCTCGGCTCACTGCAACCTGCACCTCCCGGGTTCAAGCGATTCTCCTGCCTCAGCCTCCCGAGTAGCTGGGACTACAGGCACCTACTACCAGGCCTGGCTAATTTTTTGTATTTTTAGTAGAGACGGGGTTTCACCGTGTTAGCCAGGATGGTCTCGAACTCCTGACCTCGTGATCCACCCGCCTCGGCCTCCCAAGGTGCTGGGATGACAGGCGTGAGCCACCGCGCCCGGCCCCTTTCTCCCTTTTCTTGTCCGAAATGAACCTTATTCTCCCATGAAGCATCCATATCTGAACTGTGCGCTGCGCTCGAGTACACACCTCCACAGCACAGCCACGCAGCTGTCAGGGCACGGAGGTGACAAGCTGGCGTCCACGCTCACCCCCACGGCTGTGTCCTTGCAGACCATCAGCTGGACACCAGGGTCTCGGAATTCTACGAGGAAACGAAGGTGAAGTTCTCGGAGCTGTCCGAGGAGCTGCTCTGGGAATACGTCCACAGCGGGGAGCCCATGTGAGTCTCGGGGGCGGTGGGGGGACGGGGGACACGTGTGGAAGCCTGGCCACCCTCACACGTGGGGTGTCCCACCCAGCCTTTGGGAAAGAAGGAGGCCCCGCTCCGGGGGCCGTGTGGCACAGGGAGAGCCGCCCGGCTCAGAAGCACAAACCCTTCACGACCACACTGACCCATGGAGGCTCAAAGAGGCAAACTCCCAGGACAGAGAGGGGCAGGGTGGGAGCCAACGCTGGGCTGCGGTGGGGACTGGGGAGGCGCTGGGCAGGGGTAGAGGAGTTCACGTGGTGGGAGGAGGAGACCCCAGAGGTCTGTGCCCAGGACGCTGGCTGCAATTAACACGAATAAACTCTGTGATCCAAAGTCACCCTAAGAGGTGATTCTACCTGTCGTCCCGTCCACAGATTGGTGAGCACGGGAAGTATGCGTGCACCAATCAGCTTCACTTCATCACCCACCATTTGCGTTTATATGTATTATATTTATCTACATCATATGTCATATAATGTCTACATAATTATACATTATATAATGTAACATGATATATATTTACAATTATATATAATTTATGTATTCCACATTATATATTCTATTAATTATATATAATCTACATTATACAAATTATATAATATATATTTATAATATATTGTATTATATACTATAATAGATTATACTGTAATATGTATACTATATTACATATAGATATTATAATATAGATTATATATTAACACTTTTGATTGAAATTTAATGATTTTTAATGATTAATTTTAATAAGTAGTGATTAATATTAATGTAATATATACCATCTATTATAATATATACTGTTATAATAGATTATATGATAGGTTATATAACTGTTAAAATAGATTATATAATAGGTAGTTATAATCGATTATAATTATATATAAATTATATAATTTATATTTATAATTATTTATAATTATATATAAAATATATAATTTTATATATTTTATATATTTAATTTTATTTATATATAAATATATAATTACATATATTTATAATTATATATAAATATAATTTATAATTATATATAATTAATTATAAATGATATATAATTATATATAATTATAAACAATTATATAAATATAAATTATATATAATTATATATATAATTATAAAATGATTATATATTATAAAATATAATTATATATTTATATAATATAGAAATATATGAATATATGGATAATATGTAATATGTATTAAATATGATTAATATATGTAACTGCATATTAATACATATTACATAATAATATAAAGTGTGATTATATGTAAATTATATATTAATTAAATATATGTAATACATATTAGTTATATATAATATATAATGTATTATGTGTTATATAAATATATAATTATATAAAATATATTTTTATATTATAAAAGTATATAAATATATAAATATATGTATATAAATACATTTGTATAAAATATATGTTTATTTTATATATTTATATAAATAATTTTATTTATTTTTTTGAGACACGGTCTCACTCTGTCACCCAGGCTGGAGTGCAGTGGTACAGTCATAGCTCACTGCAGCGTCAGCCTCTTGAGTCAAAATGATCCTCTCACCTCAGCCCCACTAGTGGCTGGGTCTGCAGACGCATACCACCACGCCTGGCTAATTTTTTCTATTTTTTGTAGCAATGGGGTCTCACTATGTTGCCCAGGCTGGTCTTGAACTCCTGGGCTCAGGCGATCCTTCCACCAAAGCCTCCTGAGTAGGTGGGACCACAGGACACGCACCAACACACGCGGCCGATTTTATTGTTAGTTTTTGTAGAGATGGAGTCTGCGTAATATATATGTATATTAACCTAGAGGATTTTACATCAATTGAAATAAGCCCGGCAGAAGAAGACACATACCACAGGATCTCACTTATATGGAATATAAAACAGTTGCACTTGGTCAAAGGATACAAGATTTAAATCAGGGCCAGGCATGGTGGCTCACGCCTGTCATCCCAATACTTTGGGAGGCCGAGGCAGGCGGATCACCTGAGGTCAGAAGTTCAAGACCAGCCTGGATATGGCAAATCCCAATCTCTACTAAAAATACAAAAATTAGCCCGGTGTGGTGGCAGGTGCCTGTAATCCCAGCTACCCAGGAGGCTGAGACAGGAGAATCGCTTGAACCCAGCAGGTGGAGGTTGCAGTGAGCCGAGATCGCGCCACTGCACTCCAGCCTGGGCAACAGAGCGAGACTCCGTCTTTTAAAAAAAAAAAATTAAGTGAGACGGGAGAAGTTCAAGGCTCTTTACAGCCTAGTGACTGTGGTTTACAGGAACAGTGTCTTACTGGAAAATTGCCAGCACACTACATCTGAAGTCTTCTCCCCACACACACAGAATAGGTACATGAGGTGCTCGATGGGATAATTGGCTTGATTTAATGATGTCACATGTATACATATATCAAAACATCCCATTTAACACATGAAATTTTTTTTGAGACGGAGTCTTCCTCCGTCACCCAGGCTGGAGTGCAGTGGCGCGATCTTGGCTCACTGCAACCTCCACCTTCCAGTTTCAAACGATTCTCCTGCCTCAGCTTCCCAAGTAGCTGGGACTACAGGCACCCACCGCCACGCCTGGCGAATTTTTTATTTTTAGTAGAGAAGGGGTTTTGCCATGTTGGCCAGGCTGGTCTCGAACTCCTGACCTCAGGTGATCTGCCTGCCTCAGCCTCCCGAAGTGCTGGGAGCCACCGCGCCCAGCCCAACACCTGCACTTTCATACATACTTTAATGTTTACATACATTTAAAGAAAGACAGGCCGGGCACAGTAGCTCAAGCCAAGACGGGAGGATCACTTCATCCCAGGAGTTCGAGACCAGCCTGGGCAACAGAGTGAAACCCCATCTTTATAAAAAATGATAAAACTAGCTGAGTGTGTCCCTGCTACGTGGGAGGCTGAGATTACAGCATCATTTGAGCCCAGAATTTTGAGGGAGCAGAGAACCAAGAATGTACCACTGCACTTCAGCCTGAGCAACCGAGTGAGACCCTGTCTTGAAAAAAAAAAATAGATAAAATAAGAAAGAGAAAAGAGGGCCAGACGTGGTGGTTCACACCTGTAATCCCAGCACTTTGGGGGGCCGAGGCAGGCGCATCACCTGAGGTCAGGAGTTCGAGACCATCGTGGCCAACATGGTGAAACCCCGTCTCTACTAAATACAAAAATTAGCCGGGTGTGTTGGCAGGTGCCTGTCATCCCAGCTACCCGGGAGGCTGAGGCAGGAGAATCGCTTGAACCCAGGAGGCGGAGGTTGCAGGGAGCCGAGATCGCGCCACTGCACTCCAGCCTGGGCGACAGAGCGAGACTCTGTCTTTAAAAAATAAAAATAAAAAATAAAAAAGTGAGACAGGAGGAAGAAGTTCAAGGCTCTTTACAGCCTGTGACTGTGGTTTATAGGAACAGTGTCTTACTGGTAAATTGCCAGCACACTAGATCTGAAGTCTTCTCCCCACACACACACACACAATTCGTAGATGAGATGCTGAATGGGATAATTGGCTTGATTTAATGATGACGCATGTATACATATGTCAAAACATCCCATTTAACACATGAAATTTTATTTATTTATTTATTTATTTGAGACGGAGTCTTCCTCTGCCGCCCAGGCTGGAGTGCAGTGGCACGATCTCGGCTCACTGCAACCTCCTCCTCCTGGGTTCAAGTGATTCTCCTGTCTCAGCCTCCTGGGTAGCTGGGATTACAGGCGTGTGCCACCACACCACACCCGGCTAATTTTTGTATTTTTAGTAGAGATGGGGTTTCACCGTGTTGGCCAGGCTGGTCTTGAACTTCTGACCTCAAGTAATCCACCCGTCTCGGCCTCCCAAAGTGCTGGGATTACAGCCGTGAGCCATTGCGCCCAGCCTTGCTGTGAAATTGTTTTTCTTTTTTTTTTTTTTTTTGAGATGCCAAAGGCGCCTGCCCCCACGCCTGGCTAATTTTTTGTATTTTTTTTAGTAGAGACAGGGTTTCACTGTGTTAGCCAGGATGGCCTCGATCTCCCGACCTCGTGATCCACCCACCTCCGCCTCCCAGCCGTGAAATGTTCAGACCCAGGAACTTTTCTCCTCCTTGTCACCTCTTACCTTCCCCTGCCCACCCAGGGACAAAGCTGGCGGCTACGGGATCCAGGCCCTGGGCGGCATGCTGGTGGAGTCCGTACACGGGGACTTTCTGAACGTGGTGGGATTCCCGCTGAACCACTTCTGCAAGCAGCTGGTGAAGCTCTACTACCCGCCCCGTCCGGAGGACCTGCGGCGGAGTGTCAAGCACGACTCCATCCCGGCCGCGGACACCTTCGAAGACCTCAGTGACGTGGAGGGGGGCGGCTCGGAGCCCACTCAGAGGGACGCGGGCAGCCGCGATGAGAAGGCCGAGGCGGGAGAGGCGGGACAGGCCACGGCAGAGGCTGAGTGTCACAGGACTCGGGAGACCCTGCCTCCGTTCCCGACACGCCTCCTGGAGCTGATTGAGGGCTTTATGCTATCCAAGGTACCTGTGTCTGTCTCCTCAGGCCACATTTCACAAATGAGCCTACACACTCGGCTTAAATCAAAGGGAATTTACTTCTCACTGTCCTGGAGGCTGGCAGTCTGAGGTCAGGTTGTCTCAGGGCCATGCTTTCTCCGAAGGTTCTAGGAGAGGGTCCTTCCTGCCTCTCCCAGCTCCTGACAGCTCCAGGCATCCCTGGGCTTGTGGCCGCATCACTCCAGTCTCTGCCACGTCCTCCACGTGGCCTCATCCACTGTGTCTGTGTCTCCTCCTCTGTCTCTTAGAAGGACACCTGTCATTGGACTTGGAGTCCACCCTTCTTCGTGATGATTTCCTCTTGAGATTCTTAATTACATCTGCCAAGACCCCTTTTTAAAACAAGGTCCCATTCACAGATTCTGGGGATCAGGATATGGACAGATCTTTCAGGAGGACCACAGTTCAGTCCACTACAGATGTATCCAGTTCCTTCTGGAGGCCCCAGGGGAGGGTCCTTCCTGCCTCTCCCAGCTCCTGGGGGCTCCAGGCATCCCTGGGCTTGTGGCCGTATCACTCCAGTCTCTGCCTTTGTCTCCACGTGGCCTTCTCCTCTGTGTCTGTGTCTCTTCTGTCTCTTAGAAGGACACCTGTCATTGGATTTTGAGGTCTCCCTAATCCACTGACTCCAACTCATCTGAAGTCCCCTAGCTTACTTACGTCTGCAAAGACCCTTTTTTCTTTTTCTCTTTTTTTTGTTTTTGTTTTTGTTTTTGAGACAGAGTCTGGCTCTGTCATCCAGGCTGGAGTGCAGTGGCATGATCTCGGCTCACTGCAACCTCTGCCTCCCGGGTTCAAGCGATTCTCCTGCCTCAGCCTCCTAACTGTGGTCCTCCTGAAAGATCTGTTCATAGCCTGATCCCCAGAATCTGTGAATGGGACCTTGTTTTAAAAAGGGGTCTTAGCAGATGTAATTAAGAATCTCAAGAGGAGATCCTGAGTAGCCTCAGGAGTAGCCTCCTGATTACAGGCGCCCACCACCAAGCCCGGCTAATTTTTGTACTTTTAGTAGAGACAGGGTTTCGCTATGTTGGCCAGGATGGTCTCGAACTCCTGACCTCAGCTGATCCACCCGCCTCGGCCTCCTAAAGTGCTGGGATTACAGGCGTGAGCCAGCGCGCCCGGCCTGAGGCCCCATCTTTCAGCTGTTCTGTTCAGGGGCCCCTCACGGTGGCAGCCTAGAAGGGATGCAGCCCTCCCAACACCAGGGGTCCCTCACAGGGCGTCCTCCGGGAAGCAGAGGTGGGGATGTCGGGTGCAGGAGGGACGCAGGCTTTGGGAGACAGGGAGACGGGCTGATGACACCTCCTGCCATTCATCATCAGGAGAGAGAACATGCAGTGAAT